>NC_000011.10:62100831-62403861 GCF_000001405.40 Homo sapiens | reverse complement strand
TGCTGGGATTAACAGGCATAAGCCACCGTGCCTGGCCTTTTTTTTTAATTTTTATTTTAGAGACAGGGTCTTGCTCTGTCACACAGGCTGGGATGCAGTGGCTTGATCATAGCTCACTCACTCCTGAGCTCAAATGATCCACCCGCTTTAGCCTTCTGAGTAGCTGGCACTGCAACAGCACCTCACCACCCACAGCTGATTTTTTATTTTTTATAGAGACAGGGTCTTACTATGTTGCCCATGCTGGTTTTAAGTAATCCTTCCGTCTCGGCTTCCCAAAGTGCTGGGATTACAGGCATGAGCCACCGTCCCGGCCTTAGTCCCCTTTCTGAGGTGGTGATGGAGTTGACAGGGTGGTGACGGATGGGGTGGTAATATCATCCTTTCTTATATTATTCTTGCCAATAAAAATTGGCTTCATAGAATCAGATATAAAAGTTTTGAAGGAAAAGATCATGCCATGGGAGGGACTGATAGAACTTTGACAAACAGAAAGCAGTTGCTGTAAATGTCATCTGAGCATTTTCATGAAATAACAGACTTCTCTGTAGTCTAAGCCGCTAAAGAGTAAGTTTTAAAATACGATCCTCATTAAAGTAATGAAGTCCTCTTTGTCTCTCTTTCTTTCCTTTGAAGGGTGGGACCTTAATGTGAAATGTTCAGGCCCTAAGGCGGGCACTTCTGGGACTCTGTCCCACAAGAGTCTACATAGTGCCAAGTATGTGGACGTTTGGAAGGATGTTGAACTTTCCGCTTTTTTTCTCTAAGCCTCAGAGGTCTTATCTGTAAATTGGGGCTGATGGAGGCCACCAGCCTCCACATCAGAGGGGTGGGCTGTCACAGCTTGTTAGGTGACGGGAAGAATCAAAGCTCCCAGAGGGTGTGGACTGGTGTGGCTGAGGGGCTGGTGTGGGAAGACACTGTTGTGGGTTGGGCCCAGGGGCTTGGGGCTGCCTCAAGGGTCTCACAGTTGAATGGGGAGGCAGATGGACAAATCTGGCCATAGTTCATGGGAAGTCCCCTAAGAATTGCTCAGAGGAAAAAAAACACAACTTCTGGGAGAGTGCAGAAGGCTTTCTGGAGGAGGTGTCTTTGGGCTGGGTCTGGTGGGGGCTGGGATAGACCTCATGGGAGGAAGTAAGGTCAGAGCTGGGAGAAGCCAGGAGCCTCTGTCTGGTGCTTTTTCATCCCACACACATAAGAAGGCCCTACTATGCACCACGCCTGGTGCTAGCACTGGGCCACTGTCTAGAGGGGGAGACAGATGCTCATTGCAATGGCGACCGTTTCCAGGAAGGAGAGATTCAGGGGTGTTGGAGGGATCACCAGGTGAGGGGGTCGGAGGAGGTGGCCCTGAGTGAGCTGTATCGGTGTCTGAAGTGGGGAGGAAGAGCGCTGTGGGCAGAGGGAAGAGGGTGGAGCTCGGTGGTGGGAGGAAGCGGAGCACGTGGCACAGAGGCGCTGAGCACTCCCAAGGCTGCAACCCCGGGGAAGGGCCAGACCATAGCTGTGAGTGCCAAAGAGGCATTGAGGTTTCACTTGGGAGTCGATGGGACACTACGAAAGGCATGAAAGCGGGGTCAAAGGAGGCAGGGCTGGGGAGGTGAGGGCAGCGGTCATGGGAGGAGGAAGTGCCCCCAGGGACTGGAGAATGGGGTTTGTTGGGGGGTCGGAGGGAGGGGGACACAGCCAGGTGCCAGGGCCACAGTTCAATTCAGGGTCTTTTTGAGCTCTGCGTGCTGAGCTCTCCTGGCCAGCAGCAGGCGGGTTAGGATTGGGGTGGAGTTTGCTTTCATTGTTATTTCTGCTTTGTGGCCATGGCTGTTGTTATGTTTGTTAAATGAATGTGAATGATCCCTCTGCCTGGGCTCATGGACTTGGATCCCACCCCACACGCACCCACGCAAGCCTGAGCCCTGCCACGGCCTCCCCTTGCTCCACACAGCCTGGCACTGCCCTCAGCCCCACGGGCCTTCCTGTAGGCAGCAGCACCTTGTACACTGGGCCAGTGACTTGGGGGCCCCCAGGTGTGTACTCCTGTATCCCCCTGTTCTGTTCTCAGCTTCTCACCACCCCCACATTTGCTCCCTCCACCCCAACTCTTGTTCTCATGGAGCCCTGCCCTCTCTCTTCCTGCAGGCCCTGACCTGCTGGGGACCCTCCCGTAAGAGCTTCACCAGTGATTGGGAGCTGAGCTCTTGTCCTCAAAGGCAGGGGAGGGAGAGAGGGCAAGGGGACCCCAACCCTGTGAAGTCACTGGTGCAGATGGAGTTGCCCTGTAGGCTGTGGGGTTAGGAGGGGTGGTGGGCAGGGCTGGCTGTGTTTCCCAGGCCTCAGGGTGGGCTTGCCTCAACCAGGCACCTTCGCAGCCAGGGCTGAAGCACCTGTAATCCCGCCTTCCTCAGGACAAGTGAAGGACGCATCTAGGGATTCATTCTTTCATTTCACAGATATTTATTGCACATGGTGCCGGAGAATGGCTATGAGCAAGACAGAGGTGGTCTCTGTTCTCAAGGCAGCTACAGAGGGACAGCCACTCCCCCAGCCCCCAACTATGAGCTTCCCAGAACTGGCCTGAAGGTGCAGCTGCAATGATACGGGCTCACATCCTGGCATCCTCATTTGCTAGCGTGAAAATCGCATTTCTCCAAACCTCGGTTTTCTCATCTGAAAAACAGGCACAGCACCTAGTTTGCAGGACTGGGAAAGTTACAGAGGGTTAATGGCAATGCGGTTGGCCTTGGGCACTCCTTGTTCTGACCTCTGGAGTTCGGCTGCCCTGTGGTCTGGCCCTGGCTCTGTGGAGAGGCTTTCCCAGGCCGAGGGGCTCACCAGGCCTTCCCTAGTGAGGAGCTCTTTCTGCCAGAGCTGAGCTCATGGGCAGGGCGGGGCGCAGAGGCCACATATCAGCCAGCTGTCCTCCCTTTCCTGGGAGCTGGTCCAGAGACGAGGGGCAGGGCGTCTGGTTTTCATTGTGCGGCCGTCTCTAATTCCTCTGGCATCTGAGCTACTTTTCAGAAGGAGGGAGATGCACTTAACTGGTTGTGACCCAGCTTGGTGCTGAGGAAGAAGCCCTGGGCCTGGGATCAAGCAGAGTTGAACTCGAAGCCTGCCTCAGCCACTTACCTGCTGTGTGACGCGGGTAAGGCACTCCACAGCACTGAGTGTCAGGGGCCCCGATTGGAAAATGGCAATGATGATTTCTGCCCTGGCTACTCCACAAAGTAGAAATAGATGCAAACGTGTTTCATAAAACATAAAATATGAAGCTGGGGTTCTCCTCTGTGTTAATAGCATGGAGGGTTGGGGTTCTGCCCAGTGCCCAAGCCTTGCACAGAAATAGCCGCGCCCCTGCTGGTCCATGTGTCCAAAATGGTTAAAGCAACTTTGGGTCCATGGAACAGAGGTGCATTTCAGAAGCTGCTGGCTGGTGACCATGAGGAGGGCCAGGGCTCAGAAAAGGAACGGCTCACTCTGGTTGGTATGGTTAATAAAATAATAGCTAACATTTACCGACGGCTTATGAAGGGGCAGGCACACTTCTGAGAACTTTCCAGTTGTTAATCAATCCTCATAACAACCCTCTCAGAGAGGTTACTACTGTTCCCCCTGTGAGGACCTTTGAGGGAGGAAAGGCATTTCTGGAGAGGGAATTGGGTGTGCAAAGGCCTGGGGAGCCCCTCATATCCTGGGGGGCAGTGGGGGACCCGGCCTACAGCCAGGAGGGGCTGGCCTATGGGGCCTTGAAAGTCGGCCAAGGGGTTTAGACTGGATCCAGGCAGCAGGAGGAATCCCTGGAGCCCCCTGCGTGACCTCATTCTGGAGGATGGGTGGGATAGCGCTTCTGGGAGGGGCTGTGATGGACTGGTGTGGGTGGAGAGTTCAGGGAAGGAGGTGGGATTTCCTTATTCTTGGGTCTTCATCCTTGAGCACAGGCCCAGCTGCCACCCTAGTGGCCGCCACGGGCAGCCTCGATGCTGAGATGGGCTCAAAAGCCAGGCTGTGTGTGGTATGGGGTCTCAGAGCCCAGGCAGGGCCAGGGTGGCACCAAATGGCCTGCAGCTTAGTCCTGATGCTGCTTGTGCCCTAGCCCTCACAGGTAGCTCTCCAGGGGCCAACTGTACCCCATCCTGGGAGCTGACCCCAGGAAGGTCAGGGCAGTGCTGCCCGCTGGGTCCTAGAGGTGCCTGGAACATCTTGCTCACACCAGCAGGACACTCATGCCTTCCCCATCTGAGCCCGCTGCAGGCAGACCCTGGCCAGGGGCTGGCTGAGTTGGGGAGGGGGCAGGAGGGCCGTAGCCATGGTGGTTAGAGACAGGAGCAGTGTTGGTACCCTTTCTCTCAAATAAAATGAAGCCCCTTGCCAGGGAGGCCACTGTAGAGCTGGCACGAAGGAGGCTTCCTGTCTGAAGGAGCTGGTGCAGACACACCGGTGGGGCACCCGGCAGAACAACAGCAGAAGATCTGCAATCACACGAACTGGCTGCCTGTTCTCTACACGAGTCCAAGTGAGAACTCTGGGCTGGGAATGCTAAGGAGGCGAGTGTGGGGAGAATTCTCAGTTCTGCAGGGTGCCTTGCCCTGAGTCCTGACCCTTTGTGCTTGAGAGCAGTGGACAAATATGTTGGAAGTTCTTTTTTTTTGAGTTGGAGTTTTGTTCTTGTCGCCCAGGCTGGAGTGCAGTGGCATGATCCTGGCTCACTTCAACCTCTGCCTCCCGGGTTCAAGCAATTCTCCTGCCTCAGTCTCCTGAGTAGCTGGGACTACAGGCATGTGCCACCACGCCCAGTTAATTTTGTATTTTAGTAGACACGGGGTTTTGCACCACCACGTCCAGCTAATTCTGTATTTTTAGTAGACACGGGGTTTCACCATGTTGGCCAGGTTGGTCTTCAACTCCTAACCTCAGGTCATCTGCCTGTCTTGGCCTCCCAAAGAACTGAGATTACAGGCATGAGTCACTGCGCCTGGCCATATATTGGAATTTCTAGGGAAGACAGGGAAAGGGCTTGGGGAAAGTGATGGACTTTTAGTCATGAGGCATCCAGGGTGTGATATTTGTGCCAAAGCCAGAGATAAGACAACAAAGATGGCCCGGAAGATTGTGAGGCCTGACAGAGAAAGGCCAGATCTGGGGTGAGGTCACCGGGGAGACATGCCGGCCTGCAATGAGCCGCCGCCGCTAGCGGGAGTGGGCCCAGGGGAGGGGCGGGGAGCAGATGGGAGGAGGAGGGGAACTGGCCTTGGTGTTTCTTACTTTTAAAAAAGATGAAATACTTGGTGTCTGCAAAGAAAGTTGGGAGAATTTGGGGGTTCGAGCCCCCGGGGATCTTCACTGGGTAGCCAGGGAATGTGGTTCTATGCCCGAGGTAAATGTTCCTGGATTTGGTGTGAGTGGCCTCCACCTGGGGTAATTTGTAAACACTTCTGAAAGTGGCCCTTTGGCCAACAAGCACGTGGGGTAGCTCTGGCTCCTAGCTGTGTGGGAAAGGCTGAGGTGAGGGGAGCTGGGAAGGGAGCACACACGCTTTTTGTATGAGGGGAAGTGACCTGGGAAGAGGCCGCTGAGGAAGGGTGGGGGCAGGTCCTTTCCTGGTGGTGGCGCAGGGTGGACTTGCTCCCCACCTGCTCTTCTCACTCCAAGTCACCCTTTGCCAAACTTCTGGGTGGGGCCTTGTGCTTTGGCACAACCCATATTTCCCTTTCCAAACCCTCCCCAGCCCACAGGCCAGCGCTGCATGGCTCCTGCGGTGGCAGGGTGTCGACATTTCTGTTTGAAATGGTCGGCCTGGCCCCCAGCGCCTGTGGTGGTGTTCAGCCAGGTGCTTCCCTCACTCAACGAGGGGCAGCCTGACAAGCAGAAGATGCGACGCCGAGGGGCCCGGGGCCCTAACTACCCAGCAAGCAGTGCCAGTAAGAAAGGTGCTGGATTTGAACAATTCTGCTAAAAAGACAATTTTTGAGAAAACTGGGGAAATTTGAATATTGACCAAATATTAGGTAAGGTGAACATTTCTTGGCAAGCAATGGTGGAGAGTGTTAACTGAAACATACATGGCATGGTCTCACTTTTGAAAAAATAATTATGCATATACACACCCAGAAAAAGATCTGCAAGAATATACAGTAAGATTTTAATAGTGATATTCACTGGCTGATAGGAAATTTTTCCCGTGGTTTTTTTTTTTTTTTTTTGAGACGGAGTTTGATTCTTGTTGTCCAGGCTGGAGTGCAATGGCGTGATCTTGGCTCACCACAGTCTCCACCTTCCGGGTTCAAGTGATTCTCCTGCCTCAGCCTCTCCAGTAGCTGCGATTACAGGCATGCATCACCATGCCCGGCTAATTTTGTATTTTTAGTAGAGACGGGGTTTCTCCATGTTGGTCAGACTGGTCTCGAACCCTGACCTCAGGTGATCTGCCCGCTTCAGCCTCCCAAAGTGCTGGGATTACAAGCATGAGCCACCATGCCCAGCGTCCCCCATTTTTTGTTGTTTTTTTCTCACATGTGCTTTACATTTTTCATTATTCTTGGCCGGGCACGGTGGCTCACGCCTGTAATCCCAGCACTTTGGGAGGCCGAGGTGGGAGGATCACGAGGTCAAGAAATCAAGACTATCCTGATCAACATGGTGAAACTCCATCTCTACTAAAAATACAAAAATTAGCTGGGCGTGGTGGCGTGTGCCTGTGGTCCCAGCCACTCGGGAGGCTGAGGCAGGAGAATCGCTTGAACCCAGGAGACGGAGGTTGCAGTGAGCCAAGATCGCGCCACTGCACTCCAGCCTGGGTAACAGAGTGAGACTCCGTCTCAAAAAAAACAAACAAAAAAGTTTAATAACAAACTGCTGCCCTGCAAGGTGACAATCCAGGGCCAAGGCGGGCAGGCATGAGGCCGGTGGCTGCTGAGAGGAGCCTCAGTATTACAGAGATAGGACAGGAAGACTCAACCTCTTTTCTCCTTGGCTGCCTGCTGTGGATAAGAACTCTAACACTTATCTGAGTTCTGCACATGATCCAGAAAGTGCTGATAATTGCATAGCAAAAAAGTTAACTCTTGAGATGATCAGTGATTAAAAAAAAAAAAATCACCCCAGGCTGGTTTCCCCTATCAGCAGAGTCCATGGCTGGCCCCTACCTCTGTCACTGAAAATCCAACTTCATTTAAATAGTGGTTTGTAAAAATCCCAGAATTTTGAAAGCTAGAGCTGTCCATGTGTGCTGGTCTTTCTTGCTTTTCGCCTGGGGCCCTCTTGGGGCTGCCTCTAGATCTAGGAGCAGCAGCTTAGGGGTGAGAGCCGGAGGATTTGAAAATAGGGAAGGCTGAGTTAAACTTCACTTTAACCTGAGAGGGACAAGAGACCGGGGAAACTCCAATTTTTCTAGGCCTTATTTTCTCATCTTCCAAAAGGGTAGAATAATTCCTATGCCTCCTCCTACATATTTTTAACTTCTCAGAAGAGATGTGCTATGGACGGCTGTGGCTCAGCTCTTTGTGGGGGTGTGGATGTGGGGTGGGGTGAGGTGGAAAGGCTGGTTTTGTTTAATGGCATTTACATTCTGGATGCAGCCACTAATGGGCACCCCCACCACCTCCCCCAACCTCCACTGTGTTCCAGGCCCATACTCCCACCCCCATTCCTAGGCCTGGTTCTGCCTCTGTCCTTCTGCCCATCCCCATTCCTCTCTGGGTCACGCCTACACCTATGCAAAAGGGAGAGGACACCTGCATTTTTTTTAGCCAGACAAGGTTGATGGGGCCACTTCCTTGTTCCCATGAAACAGCTACAAAGGCCGGGTGCGGTGGTGCTGTAATCCCAGCACTTTGGGGGGCCGAGGTGGGTGGATCACTTGTGTTCAGGAGTTCGAGACCAGCCTGTCCAACATGATGAAACCCTGTCTCTACTAAAAGTACAAAAAAATTAGGCAGGCATGGTGGCGGGCGCCTGTAATCCCAGCTACTCGGGAGGCTGAGGCAGGAGAATTGCTTGAATCTGGGAGGTGGAGGTTGCAGTGAGCTGAGATCGTGCCACTGCACTCCAGCCTGGGTGACAGAGCAAGACTCTATCTCAAAAAAAAAAAAAAAAAAAAAAAAAAAAAAGAAACAGCTACAAAATCCAAATGCAGTGATGGTTTTGTGCAAAGATGAAGGCTGATGGGAGGACTTCAGAGGAGCAGGTGGGGGGCGGGAAGAACGAGTGTCCCTTCCCAGCCTTCCCCACACACCATCACCTCTGACAACAGGACACTGAAGGGGACTAACGTGTGCCCCACTCCTTCCTTTGGTCTCAGAGTTTACAATCCCTCAAGCTAGAGAGGAAGAAGTCTAGGAATATTATTTGAGAAAAATGTGTATTATGCAACAGCTACGAGATCAAGGCCCTTCCTTACCCAGGACTCTTCTCTGCAGCCCAGCAGTGGGGCTGAGTCCTGACTGCAGCAACTCCTGCTTGGGGACACTTGGCCTTGGCTCAGGGCCCGTCTTGTGCTCCTTATTATCCCACCATTTTGGTGGGTGAGCCACATGACGATGTATCTGTCTTCCTGGCTGGAAGGAGCAAGTGGGGGCGGGGCCGGGCTGCCAGAGCTTGTTCACCGTGGGATCTGGCATCCGGCATCTGGCAGCGCCCAGGGCAGAGCGAGCTTCCACTGTTGATCTGGGTGGGTTCTTCGGGCCATTTGCTAGCGTTTGTGTTTTGGACAATTCTGCTCTAAAATAAATTGTAGTATTTGGACGAAAATGAAGGTCAGGAAGAGGAATGTTCTTTTGGTTCCAAATTTTCTAAATAGACTGCTCTGATCCAGATAGAGTACCTTCCCTTTGGGCGGCTGAAGCCATGGATAGTTTATAGTTTGCTGCCCTCTTGTGGCACAGAAGTGATAAAAAGATTGTCTTCCCCTTTCAGATGCTGTCAGGCTCATTTCTCTGTTTGACAGTGAGCCATGGACAAGCTGTGGGGCAAAAGCAAGAACTGTACGTGGTCTCCATTTACAGAACTCCCAGGCTGGTGGAGGTGGCTTTTGGTACAACTCAGGTCTGAGGGCAAAAATACACACTTTGGCTTTGCACAAAGGGGCTGACGACCCCATACGTACCCTAGCACCTGGGCTGCCCAGCTAAAGAGGTCAAGTGGCCACAAGCTGAGCCTACGGTAATCTTTAATAACTAGAGTAAATTTCCTTGTGAACTGGAGAATTGGTAAGACAAGCTCAAAACCAGATCTTCCAACTGGCCTCCCTATCCCCCAGCTCCCTCCTTCCTTTTTTCTATCTCCTTAGCGATTGTTGTCTTCTCCAAAGGGTCTCCCCTTTCCAAACCCCAACATGATTCTGTTTTGCCTCCTGTTATGGACTGAATTCTGTCCTCTCCCAAATTCACATGCTGAAGCCCTAACCCCCAGTACCTCAGCATGTGAGTGTATTTGGAGACAGGGCCTTTGAAGAGGTGATTAAGGTTAAATGAGGTCATTAGGGTGGACCTTAATCTAATATTATAATTTACATATTATATATAATATATATTATAAATTATAAATTATATATCATATATTTTTATATAATATATAATATATACAATATATGATATATAATATATAGTATATAATATATAACAAATTATATATAATACATAAAATATATAATATTATATATCATATATTATATATAATAGTATATATATTTATATGATATATAATATATATGTATTATATAAATGTTATATATTTTATTATATATAATATATATGTAAATTATAATATATATTATATATTGTATAAATTATAATATATAATAAATATACCATATTAGATATATTGTAACTTATATATTATATAATTTATATATTATAATATATAAATTATATCTAATATGGTGTCCTCATAAGAAGAGGGGATTAGGACATATAGAGACAGATGGCAGGGCTGTGCACGTACAGAGGAAAGACCATGTGAGGACACAGTGAGAAGATGGCCAGCTATTACACAAGCCATGGAGAGAGGCCTCGGGAGACACCAACGTGGCCGACACCTTGATCTTGGACTTTTAGCCTCCAGAGCTGAGAAAATATTAATAAATTTCTGTTGGTTAAGTCACTTAGTCTGTGGAATCGTGTTGTGGCAATCTTCAACTAATACACCTCCTAATAAAATACTTGTTTCTAAAGGGGGAGTTGTTGCATGTTGAGGTTTTTACTGTGCACCTCTGTCTGGGGTGAATGCTGGCAAACTGCAGGAAGACTGCGCCATAAACCCTATCATGGTTTGGCTTCTTCCTTGACCCACTCAGAAAAAGTTCAGTTCTTCTGAAAAACTCACGAGTACTCCACAAGGTGGCACATATCACCCTCCACACCATCCTCATCTCGAGGTCTCTGTAGTACACCTGAGACCAAGGGGGGAGCTCGTGTACATTCTGGTCTTTGTCAACAGTGACTCCCAACCACACCCTTATTCTTTCAAAATATATTTTATTAGCGGCACATGGAATGTCAAGTTAAGCAAATTCTTTCCAGAGAGAAGGTGAGCCTGACAGACTAAAACGTTGAGCACGGATGATACAGCAGAAATAACATTTCCAGTGTAATGAGAGATAAAGAGGAATACTGCCCACCGAGGAAATGACTTTCTTCACCATGCTGACCACACTGCACAGCGCCCGATCCGGCTGGTGAGGATGGGGAGGTGGGAAGAATCTCAAAGCACTGGACAGGGTGAGGACTCAGGAAGTCACGGGGTCAGCCCTACAGCATCAGCTCCTCTCTGTTGTTGGAGAGGCCCTGAGCCCCATTACTCACTATACGAGGACCAGAGTGTCTTTGGCAGGTGGAGGCTGGCTCACGGGAGAACACCAAGTGAGGGGGCTCCTCTGTGAACCCAAGAAACTTCAAGGAACCCCACAGCGTCTCCCTTATGACCTCCCATCTCCAGATTAGGAAGCTATGGATTCCCAGAGGGTCCTTTGGAAGTATCTAGAAATGTCCAGGTAAGTCAGAGAAGGGCTGAACTTTCTTAGAAAAATCACTTTAGTCTCTCATACATGAAGAACATTTTCCTTAAAGGATTCTGGTTCTTTTCCCTGATGTTCTTGTGCAACGTTCTGAGGGTCACCTGGGCTTCGCCCACCACTGCTTCTACTGCTGCTGTGTCACTTTCAAACAGCTCCACCTCCACCGGCCCCTCCCTTCCCACCTTCCAGCCCACAGTGTCTGCAGGCTGTGGGTCTCCCACATCTGTCATGTCAGGATCATGCTGCTGCTTTCTTTCTTTTTTCCCTTTTCTTTTTTTTTTTTTTTTTGATACAGGGCCTGGCTCTGTTGCCCAGGCTGGAGTGCAGTGGAGTAATCATGGCTCACCTCAGCTTTGACCTCCTGGGCTCAAGTAATCCTCCTAATACGGGCATTTCTCTCATCGCTTCAGAACCCGCCCCACAACCAAACATTCAGATGCTTATTAAGGCAACAAAACAAGTGACAGACGGGACAATTTTTCCAATTCTAGATCTAATTGATTAGGCTATGTCTCATGAGGAGACTGTACTTGACCTCTAAGCTAGCATCTGGAATACAATCTTCCAGCGGCTTAGGGAAGGTCGGTGATAGTAGTATCGTCAGGATCAATTCCGAAGTGCAGCTTGCCGTCCTTGGCGGCTGCCCAGGGCATGGAGGTGGAGGTCCACTTTGCCACCCAGTCTCCTGTTTTGCTAACCACGATGAGGCCACCTAAACCTTTAACCCTTGACTTCATATAACCCAACGATAGGTCCGCAGCCTCTTCTACCGTCTTTCCTGAAAACAAGGAAGGGTTGAGAAACAACACACATTACTGAAAGGAATCTCATGGGAAAATCACTTGCCATTTGAAATGCCAAAGTGAGCTAGCAAGGATTTTTGGTAAATGAACGCCTGAATGCTTAAAAGGAGGGTCCTCACCTCCTTGCCCTGAGACAGCGCCCTAGCATCAGCCTGAGCAGAGGGGTCTTCCCTCCCACATCCAGGCTCAATGTCTCTCTACTGCCCCCTTCTCCTGAGATGTGGAAGATAACAGTACTCAATGCTCTACCATTCCAGACCTAAGGGAAGGCGGAGAGTCAAAACAAGGTGTTAACGGCCTGAAAGCAACATCTGTAGCCAACAGGAAAGGGTTTCCTACACTTCTCCATGCGCTTACTTATCAAATACCTTCTATGCACTTATCTTCACAAATTATTTTACTTGTCCTGTGGTCTGTGTACCTTGTTCTATGTGGAACAGGGTGAGTCTAGCCAGGTTCACCTTCAGGATGCTTTCCCCATGCCCTGTGGTTGAGACGGCTCCGATGTCATTGTCGGCATAACCTCCAGCTCCTGCTCAAAAAGGGTGATTGTTCTGAGCAGTAACAGTCAAGAAATTCAAATCCATATTAGAAGTCGGACGCTACATGAAAGTTAAATCGCGAAGGGTGCTCAAGTACCGACAAAGGTCAGGTTAGTAGCCATGATCTGCGGAGGCAAAGGTGGACTAGAAAGCGTCATGTAGATGCCCCAGAATTTAGGAGGATAAAGGGAGCCTCAGAGGGGCAGGCCTGACCTTTCACAGAGCAGCTACAGCAGGACAGCATCTCCTTGGCCCCAAAGCACAGCCATTCCTTTTTGCTCAATGAAGCCACCCTCTCCCTGTCTCCTCCTCATGCCCCACACACTATGGAGGAAGAAACAGCATGACTGCATTATATGGATCTCTAGCAAGGCCATCATGTTCCAGTGATTTGGGGAAAATGATACCCACAACCTAACATCCATGCACACTGTCTAATGGAGGGCAGTTATATTTGTTGAGGGTGGGCATAATTGGACCTGAGGGAACTATTCTGGGCTATCCACTTAAGTGGGGGTCTGGAGTGAAAGCTACTTTGATAAGATTTCTTCCTTATTTTGGGCTTGGATTAAGCAACCTTACAGCCTTCTCTGAGTCATTCTTGTATCTGTTCACACACAGCTACCAGCCTCAGAGTCCTTTAGCCTTGGAAGGATTCGCCTTTACCCTCCCACAGTTGATACAGAAGCACAGAAGATTGACATTTGCCTTACTTATTGATGCTGGACATGGGGCAAGGACTCAGGAGTTGAGATGCTGCATTGGATTGTCACAAGGCCCCAGAGGTTCTCAAAGGCAGATAATCCCTGGCTCTGGTTCTGGAGGGAGCTGACACTGGACAGCCAATGAACTGCTGCAGTGGGAGGAGGCGCCTTTACTTTTTCTTATAAGCTTCTGCTGGGGAATTAACTGACCGGGTTCCATGGTGTCAAAGTGCCCTAATATTTGGAAGCAGCCAAGTCTTTGCTTACTTTTCAGTTACTCTAGGACCACAGAAGGCCAGGTGTCTCCAAGGGTGGTCCTGGCACAGGCATCGGGCGTGTGAAGCTGTCCTCCCCGCCACATGCACTTCTCAGGACAAGTGCATTGCCTGAGGTGACCACTGCTGAGCCTAGTACCGTCCCCCATGACTGTCCAGGCAGGGGCCTGGCCAGTGGCAGTGCTCCTTGGGGAGGCTCCTCAGAAGGCCAGGCAGAGCACACCTGGTGCTCACAGCTGGACAGAGAGTTCTGAGAATTTAGCTTATGCCTTTTCTTGTCAAGATTTACCACTGTAACTCAAGCTTAAAATTAATTTCTAGGATCTAACCTGGAGTGGCCCTGTGGCCTGGTCTGAACGCAGCTGAAGCAAGCTGCACTACTGACCAGGCACAGTTTGGTGGGATTTTTGCCAAGGAGAAAGAAAGGTAGACTACTTCACATCTCTTGGGTGATATACCAAGGAGAAGAGGAGTTACCAAGCCTCTACTCTTTTTAAGGAAGCTTCCAGTGTCTCTGAGTTCATGACAGAAAAAGGGTATCAAGAATTGTCGAGAGTGTAGATTATTACTAAAGACTAGAGCAACACATTAAAAAGGGAAGGTAGGGCTAGTTTTCCTCTAAAAGAATAAGCTGCTCTTTAGGGCAGATGGAACAATTTAGCTGCTTCTCAAAACTTCAGTCACCTGTGGGGGTTCATGAGGATTCCTGCATGACAAGTGTGAAAGTCTGCACGGAGTGAAACATACAGCCCCCCAGCCCTGCCTCTCACCCACTCCTGGGAATGAGATGGCGTGCTTCCCCGTTAATGTAAACAACATCTCAATCTATAATGTGTCTGTAGAAGTATGTCACTTTCATGCTGCTCAGATCTAACAACTGCAGTCTCAGATTTCTCAGATTGCTAATCAGAGCCCATGTCTCGGGAGTAAGTCTTACTCAAGTAAGTCTGCAGATCCTGAAACTGTGGCTAAAGAGAAGACAGAATCACGACAGGGTAGACTGGGGGCAACGTTAGCATCCCTGTCTCCACTTCTCTCCCCAAGTTGTTCCAAAAAGGCATGCAATCTAGTAAAAACAGTGGCGCCAGATACAAACACCCTCTCAAGGCAGCACCCCGAACAACCCCTTCCAACCCCATTGTCACTCCCAGACATCCTGGAGCTGCACCAAAAGCAGAAAGGGAACGCAGCAAGAAACGGAGAGGGGCAGGGAATAGAGAGTGAGGAAAGCCTGAGGGCGGGAGAAGAGGGGAAGGGGCAGGAGGCATCCCTTGGTCCTACCTAGACACGGTGAGTCCCCAACGCGGCCGACCATTTTATTAACGATACCGCCTGTGGAGGTTGCGTAGGCTACATTCCCTTTGCAGTCCAAGGCAACAGCACCCACGGTTCCCAAGTTTCTGCCAAAAATAAACAGAAAAAAAGTGACAGGCTGAAAATGAGAATGAACACCATAACCAACAATGTACCTTAAAACCACTTAAAGTTTCATGTTATATGTTGATGGGGCACCCATTTAATTCCAACATTCTAGAAAGAACCTGCTGCTTCTCATTCTACGTGTAAGTTACAGGTGGATTGCTGGACACTCCTCCACACCTCAGCTTTAAGAGTACATCCAATCCCAACACCACCGTTTTCTAGCTGTGATGCTAAGTTTTATTTTGTGTCTCTTTGTCCCCATCATAAAATGGGGATAAAAGTAAGAGTGCTTCTCAAACTTTAGTGTGTATAAGAATTCCTGGGGTGCTTGGGCCCACAGAGACTCTGAAGCTGCCACCAAGAGGAGAAAGGAAAGGAAAAAGTGACTTGGTAGATACAGGCTGGGACCCAAAATCCTGCTTTTTTTTTTTTTTTTTTTTTGAGATGAAGTCTCACTTTGTCGCCCAGGCTGCAGTGCAGTGGCACAATCTTGGCTCACGGCAACCTCTGCCTCCCGGGTTCAAGTGATTCTCCTGCCTCAGCCTCCCAAGTAGCTGGGACTACAGGCATGCACCACCACACCTGGGTAATTTTTATATTTTTAGTAGAGACAGGGTTTCATCATCATCTTGGCCAGGCTGGTCTCAAACCTCTGAGCTCAGGTGATACGCCTGCCTTGGACTCCCAAAGTGCTGGGGTTACAGGCGTGAGCCACTGTGCCTGGCTGATCCTGCGTTTCTGACAACCTCCCGGGTGTCGCTGATGCTGCCTGCCTATGGACCCTGTGCATGGGGTTGTCGTAAAGATCAAATCCGTTAATTTTCCCCTAACATTTTATTATGAATTCTCGAATACAGTCATGTGCCACCTATGATGTTTTGATCAACAGACTGCATATAGGATGGTGGTCCCATGAGATTATAATCCTCTATTTTTACTGTACTTCTATGTTTAGATACACAAGTACTTACCATTGTGTGACAACTGCCTAGAGGATTCAGGACAGTCACATGCTGCACAGGTGTGTAGCGTAGCAGCAACAGGCCGGACCACATAGCCTAGATGTGTATTAGTCTCTCCTATCTGGGTTTGTGTGAGTGCACCCCTATGATGTTTGCATGGCCATGAAATTGCCCAACTATGCATTTCTCAGGATGCATTTCTTGTCCTGTCATGAGACGCGTGACTGTAACACAGTTGAACAAATTGTACACGAACACCCCAGCATACCCACCAGCAAGGTTCTATAATGAATTATATTTGAGGCATTGTTTTAAGTGCTGGGACACAGTGGTAAAGCTAAACAAAGTCCTTTCTCCCATGGAGCCTGCATTTGGGGTAGAGGGTGGTAGTAACAGGGCAATAATATGTCAGGTGACAAAAACAAAACAAAAAAACAAAAAACCCAAACAAAAAAACAAAGAAGCACCAGGGAAGAGTGATGGTGGGGAGGTGCTGTTTTACACAGAGTGTCTCTGCAGGACAGAGGGGCAATCATGCCATCCCAGCTGCTGGGGAGGAGCGTTCCTGATGCACAAACATGCCTGCCATGTGCATGGAATTTGAAGGAGGCCAGTGTGGCTGGAGAGAATAAAATGAGGGAGAGCGTGGTAGGAGAATGATCAGAGGGACAGCCAAGTCCAGATCACGATATCTCTTGACAAGTGGGGTGACCATACACACTAGTTACCCAGGCCAGTTCAAATGTATGCCTGCTGTCATGGCTTAATTATTAATAGTACCACTTTTACTCTCAAAATTAAGTTTCAGTTTAAACACTAAAGAATATAATCATCCTACCTTTAGGCCATTGCAAAGGCTTTTATTCTGAGTTAAATGGGAGGACGCTGGGCAGTTTGAGTTAGGAAGTGACACAACCTGAGTTCAATCTTAAAAATAATCATTCTTGGCCAGGCGCTGTGGCTCACACCTGTAATTCCAGCACTTTGGGAGGCCGAGGCAGGCTGATCACCTGAGGTCAGCAGTTTGAGACTAGCCTGGTCAACATGGTGAAACTCTGTCTCTACTAAAAATACAAAAAAAAAAAAAAATTAGCTAAGTGTGGTGGCGTGTGTCTGTAATCCCAGCTATTTGGGAGGCTGAGGCAGAAGAATCGCTTGAACCCAGGAGGTGGAGGCTGCAGTGAGCTGAGATTGTGCCATTGCACTCCAGCCTGGGTGACAGAGTGAGACTCCATCTCAGAAAAAAAAAAAAAAATCATTCTTTCCACTCCACCTGCCCTCCAGTAGAATGGCTAAAATGAAGAGGCACATCAAACCTGGCAAGGATGTGCAGGAAGTGGAACTCTCATTCAGTACTGCTGTTAGTGTCAATTGTACCAACATCTTTGGAAAAGCATTTCACAGTATCTACTGAAACTGATGATATGCACATTCCATGACTCAGCAATTATACACCTGTGTATCTGTCCATCAGAAATATGGACAGGTGTTTACCATAAGCGCATTCTCAAGTGTTCACAGCAGCAGTAGGTGTAAAACAGTAGTCCCCCCTTATTTGCAGGGGATACGTTCCAAGACCCTCAGTGGATGCCTGAAACCTCAGCTAGCGCTGACCTCTATAAACACTATCTTTCCCCCTATACATATCTATATATGTACATATATATGTACATATCTATGATATGTATGATATGTACATATCTATGATAAAGTTTAATTGATAAATTAGGCACAGTAAGAGATTAACAATAATAAAATAATACAATTATAACAATATACTATAGTAAAAGTTATGTGAATGTGGTCTCTTTCTCAAAACATCAGACCGCAGTTGAGTGTGGGTAACTGAAAGCACAGAAAGTGAAACCGCAGATAAGGGGAGCTACTGTAACCCTAAACTGGTTACAGTCTCAAACTCCTGACCTCAAGTAATCCACCTGCCAGAAAAAATTTAAAATCTTTTTTTATTTTACTTTTATTTATTTTTGAGATGGAGTCTCACTCTGTTGCCCAGGTTGGAGGGCAGTGGCGTGATATTGGCTCACTGCAACCTCTGCCTCATGGGTTCAAGCTATTCTCCTGCCTAAGCCTCCCGAGTACCTGGGACTACAGGCGTGTGTCACCATGCCCAGCTAATTTTTGTATTTTTAGTAGAGATGGGGTTTCACTATGTTGGCCAGGCTGGTCTCGAACTCCTGACCTTGTGATCCACCCACCTCAGCCTCCCAAAGTGCAGGAATTACAGGCGTAAGCCACTGCACCCGGCCTATTTTATTTCATTTTTGAGATGGAGTTTTGCTCTTGTTGCCCATGCTGGAGTGCAATGGCGTGATCTTGGCTCACTGCAATCTCCACCTACTGGGTACAAGTGATTCTCCTGCCTCAGACTCCCAAGTAGCTGGGATTACAGGCATGCACCACCATGCCCGACTAATTTTGTATTTTTAGTAGAGACGGGGTTTCACCATGTTGGTCAGGCTGGTCTCAAACTCCTGGGCTCAAGTGATCCACCCGCCTCAGCCACCCAAGCTGCTGGGATTACAGGCGTGAGGCACCACGCCTGGCCCTAAAATCTTTTATGTGGCAAAAATACCATAGCAAAAGCAAAATAAAAACAGCAGATTTGGGATTTTTTAAAATTTTATTTACAGCAGAACATAACCTTAAGGCTCATAAGAGCCAGGTACAGTGGCTTGTGCCTGTAGTTCCTGCTACTCAAGAGGAAGAGGTAGGAGGATCACTTGAGCCCAGGAGCTCAAGGCCAGCCTGAGCAACATAGAGAAATCCCATCTATCTATAAAGAACGTTAAAAATGTAAAAGAAAAAACAATGAGACTGATAAGAAAGGGAAAAAATAATTCAAAGGAAAAAATGAGTGTAGGACAAAACTAGGCAAATTTGTAAAAAGGAAAAACCCATAAACAAATGTAAAATGCTCAAACTCACTGTCAGGGAAAGGGAAGAGCAAATTAAAGTAACAGTGTTACCCTTTACCTGTTAGATAAGGAAGGAGGGTTCTCCCAGTCCCTGCTGGTGGCAGGCCCACCTCTAACATTTGCAAGGGGCCATGGCAACAATACAAATACAACTGGAGGCCCACATACCATATATTTAATATTGGGAAGTTATAAGTATGTTCTATCCTGTTACTGTGGTAAATGTATCTTGAAAAATCGGTATTTTTCTTGTATATATGTTTCACTGTATATAAGGTGAACTTTTTTTTTTTTTTTGAGACAGTCTTGCTCTGTGGCGCAGGCTGGAGTGCAGTCGTGTGATCTCGGCTCACTGCAACTTCCATCTCCCAGGTTCAAGTGATTCTCCTGCCTCAGCCTCCTGAGTAGCTGGGATTATGGGCATGCACCACCACTCCCGGCTAATTTTTTGTCTTTCAGTAGAGACGGGGTTTCACCATGTTGGCCCCAGGGTGGTCTTCAACTCCTGAGCTCGGGCAGTCTGCCTGTCTTGGCCTCCCAAAGTTCTAGGATTACAGGCATAAGCCACCACACCCAGCCATGAATGTTTTGATATACATAGTGAAATTATGATTACAGTCAACTAGAATAACATACCTATCATCTCACAATTACCTTTCTTTATTTTTTTGTGGTAAGAGTACCTAAAATCTACTTTTTAAATTTTTTTGAGATGGAGTCTTGCTCTTTTGCCCAAGCTGAAATGCAGTGGCGCCATCTCAGCTCACAGCAGCCTCTGCCTCCCGGGTTTAAGGAATTCTCTGCTTCAGCCTCCCAAACAGCTGAGATTACAGGCGTGTACCACCACACCCAGCTAATTTTTCTGTATTCTTAGTAGAGATGAAGTTTCACCATCTTGGCCAGGCTGGTCTTGAACTCCTGACCTCATGATCTGCCTGCCTTGGCCTCCCAAAGTGCTGGGATTAAAGGTGTGAGCCACTGCGCCCGGACTTTTTTTTGTTTTTGAGACGGAGTCTTGCACTGTTGCCCAGGCTGGAGTGCAGGGGTGTGATCTTGGCTCACTGCAAGCTGACAAACTACCAATGATGACTTAACTTAGTTATTATTGTGCATACCAGGGTCATTTGTTAATCGGCTGGTGATGGCAGATGAATGGCAAACACACACACACACACACGCACACACGTGCACACACACACATGCACACACACAGATGCATTTAATAAGTTATGTATTTATTCCATTAAAATATTTTTTCTTGGCTTCATTCCAGGGAGTACTGATTTTTTTTTTTTTTTTGAGACCAACTCTTGCCCTGTCGCCCAGGCTGGAGTGCAGTGGTGTGATTTCGGCTCACTGCAACTGGGTTCTAGCAGTTCTCCTGCCTCAGCCTCCTGAGAAGCTGGGACTACAGGTGCACACTGCCAAGCCTGGCTAATTTTTTGTATTTTTTAGTAGAGATGGGGTTTCACCATGTTGCCCAGGCTGGTCATGAACTCCTGAGCTCAGGCAGTCCACCCACCTTGGCCTCCCAAAGTGCTGGGATTACAGGCGTGAGCCACCAAGCCTGGCCTGATGATGTTCTTTTTTTTTTTTTTTTTTTTTTTTTTGAGTAGGAGTCTCGCTCTGTCGCCCAGGCTGGAGTGCAGTGGCGGGATCTCGGCTCACTGCAAGCTCCGCCTCCTGGGTTCACGCCATTCTCCTGCCTCAGCCTCCCGAGTAGCTGGGACTACAGGCGCCCGCCACTACGCCCGGCTAATTTTTTGTATTGTTAGTAGAGACGGGGTTTCACCGTTTTAGCCGGGATGGTCTCGATCTCCTGACCTCGTGATCCGCCCGCCTCGGCCTCCCAAAGTGCTGGGATTACATGCGTGAGCCACCGCGCCCGGCCCCTGATGATGTTCTTATACTTAACGTGACTTCTATTGACAAAATGGCAAAAGACAAGCTTTCTTGAGTCAACATAGTTTTTAGCAAGTTTTTAATTTATTTTAATTTGGAGAAGCTTCCTTCTGCTGAAGCAGCAGCAACTGGAATTACCAACAAAATTCTCAAAGCAGTACTTAGATTTAGAAATGAATACTGATTTTTACATTATCACACTCAAATACTATATGGATTTGTGGGGAAACGAAAGAGATCAGGCTGTTACTGTGTCTATGTAGAAAGAAGTAGACATAAGAGACTCTATTTTGTTCTGTACTAAGAAAAATTCTTCTGCCTTGAGATGCTGTTAATCTGTAACCCTACCCCAACCCTGTGTCGCAGAGACGTGCTGTGTTGACTCAAGGTTTAATGGATTTAGGGCTATGCAGGCTGTGCTTTGTTAAAAAAGTGCTTGAAGGCAGTATGCTTGTTAAAAGTCATTACCATTCTCTAATTTCAAGTACCCAGGGACACAATACACTGCGGAAGGCTGCAGGGACCTCTGCCTAGGAAAGCCAGGTATTGTCCAAGGTTTCTCCCCATGTGATAGCCTGAGATATGGCCTTGTGGGAAGGGAAAGACCTGACCGTCCCCCAGCCCGACACTGTCCCCCAGCCCGACACCCCACCCGTAAAGGGTCTGTGCTGAGGAGCATTAGTAAAAGAGGAAGGCCTCTTTGCAGTTGTGATAAGAGGAAGGCATCTGTCTCCTGCTTGTCCCTGGGCAATAGAATGTCTGGGTTTAAAACCCGATTGTATGTTCTATTTACTGAGATAGGAGAAAACAGCCTTAGGGCTGGAGGTGAGAGGTGCTAGCGACAATACTGCTCTTTAATGTTTGTATACATGCACATCAAGGCATAGCACCTTTCCTTATTTATGACACAGAGACATTTGTTCACATGTTTTCCTGCTGACCCTCTCCTCTCTATTAACTTATTGTCCTGCCACATCCCCCTCTCCAGATGGTAGAGATAATGATCAGTAAATACTGAGGGAACTCAGAGACTGTTGCCGGTGGGGGTCCTCCGTATGCTGAGCACCGGTCCCCTGGGCCCACTTTTTTTTCTCTATACGTTGTCTCTGTCTCTCCTGCCTCAGCCTCCTGAGTAGCTGGGACTACAGGCACCCGCCACTGGGCCCGGCTAATTTTTTGTATTTTTAGTAGAGATGGGGTTTCACCCTGTTAGCCAGGATGGTCTCGATCTCCTGACCTCGTGATCCACCGGCCTCGGCCTCCCAAAGTGCGGGGATTACAGGCGTGACCCACCGCACCCAGCCTCTTATTTCTTTTCTCAGTCTCTCGTCCCACCTGATGAGAAACGCCCACAGGTGTAGAGGGGCTGGCCACCCCTTCATCTGGTGCCCAACGTGGGTGCTTTTCTCTAGGGTGAAGGTGAGCTAGAGCGTGGTCATTGAGAACAAGTTGATGAGAGATTCCCGAGTACGTCTACAGTCAGTCTTGTGGTAAGCTTGTGCCCTCGGAAGAACCTAGGGTAACAATGGGGCAAACTGAAAGTAAATATGCCTCTTATCTCAGCTTTATTAAAATTCTTTTAAAAAGGGGGGAGTTAGAGTCTCTACAAAAAAATCTAATCACGCTATTTCAAACAGTAGAACAATTCTGCCCATGGTTTCTAGAACAGGGAACTTTAGATCTAAAAGATTGGGAAAAAATTGGCAAAGAATTAAAACAAGCAAGTAGGAAGGGTAAAATCATCCCACTTACCGTATGGAATGATTGGGCCATTATTAAAGCAGCTAATTTAGAACTGTTTCAAACAGGAGAAGATAGCGTTTCAGTTGCTGATGCCCCTGAAAGCTGTGTAATAGATTGTGAAGAATAGGCAGGGATAGAATCCCAGAAAGGAATGGAAAGTTCAAAAGTTCACATTGTAAATATGTAGCAGAGTCTGTAATGGCTCGGTCAATGCAAAATGTTGACTACAATCAATTACAGGAGGTAATATATCCTGAAGCATTAGAATTAGAAGAAAAAGGTCCAGAATTAGCGGGGCCATCAGAGTCTAAACCATGATGGCCAACTCCTCTTCCAGCGGTTCAGATGCCTGTAACATTACAACCTCAAATGCAGGTTAGACAAGTACAAACCCCAAGAGAATATCAAATAGAGAGTCTCTGTCATGGCAACGCCAATCCAAATACAGTATCCACAATATCAGCCGGTAGAAAATAAGACCCAACCGCCAGTAGCCTATCAATACTGGCCGCCAGCCGAACTTCAGTATCGGCCGCCCCCAGAAAATCAGTATGGACAGCCAGGAGTGTTTCCAGCACCACAGGGCAGGGCGCTATAGCCTCAGCCGCCCACTATAAGACTTTATCCTACAGCACCACCTAGTGGACAAGGTAGTGCATTACATAAAATTATTGATAAGGCAAGGAAACAAGGAGATATTGAGGCGTGGCAATTCCCAGTACCGATGCCACCTGGAGAAGGGGCCCAAGAAGGAGCGCCTACCCTAGTTGGGGCCAGATATGAGTCCTTTTCTATAAAAATGTTAAAAGATATGAAAGAGGGAGTAAAACAGTATGGACCCAACTCCCCTTATATGAGAACATTATTAGGTTCCACTGCTCATGGACATAGACTCATTCCTTATGATTGGGAGATTTTGGCCAAATCATCACTCTCACTGTCTCAATTTTTACAATTTAAGAGTTGGTGGATTGATGGGGCACAAGAACAGGTCTGAAGTAATAGGGCTGCCAATCCTCCAGTTAACATAGATGCAGATCAACTATTAGGAAAAGGTCAAAATTGGAGCACTACTAATCAACAAGCAATAATGCAAAATGAGGCCATTGAGCAAGTTAGAGCTATCTGCCTTAGGGCCTGGGAAAAAAATCCAAGACCCAGGAACCACCTGCCCCTCATTCAATACAATAAGACAAGGCTCTAAAAAGCCCTACCCTGATTTTGTGGCAAGGCTCCGAGATGCTGCTCAAAAGTCAATTACCGATGAAAATGCCCGTAAGGTCATAGTGGAGTTGATGGCATATGGAAACGCCAATCCTGAGTGTCAATCAGCCACTAAGCCATTAAAAGGGAAGGTTCCCACAGGATCAGATGTAATCTCAGAGTACGTAAAAGCCTATGATGGAATTGGAGGAGCTATGCATAAAACTATGCTTATGGCTCAAGCAATAATGGGAGTTGCTTTAGGAGGACAAGTTAGAACATTTGGGGGAAAATGTTATAATTGTGGTCAAATTGGTCATCTAAAAAAGAATTGCCCAGCCTCAAAAAAACAAAATATAACTATTCAAGCTACTACAACAACAACAGATAAAGAGCCACCCGACTTATGTCCAAGATGTAAAAAAGAAAAACACTATTAGAATTCTATCAAATTCTAAATTTGATAGAAATGGGCAACTATTGTCAGGAAACAGCAAAGGGGCCAGCCTCAGGCCCTGCAACAAACTGGGGCATTCCCAGTTCAGCCCTTTGTTCCTCAGGGTTTTCAGGGACAACAACCCCCACTGTCACAAGTGCCTCAGGGAATGAGCCAGTTACCACAATACAACAATTGTCCCCTGCCACAAGCGGCAGTGTAGCAGTAGATTTATGTACTATACAAGCAGTCTCTCTGCTTTCAGGGGAGCCCCCACAAAAAATTCCCACAGGGGTATATGGCCCCCTGCCTGAGGGGACTGTAGGACTAATCTTAGGAAGATCAAGTCTAAATCTAAAGGGAGTTCAAATTCATACTGGTGTGGTTGATTCAGACTACAAAGGTGAAATTCAATTGGTTATTAGCTCCTCAATTCCTTGCAGTGCCAGTCCAGGAGACAGGATTGCTCAGTTGTTACTCCTGCCTTATATTAAGGTTGGAAACAGTGAGATAAATAGAAAGGAGGGTTTGGAAGCACTGATCCGGCAGGAAAGGCTGCATATTGGGCAAGTCAGTTCTCAGAGAGCAGACCTGTGTGTAAGGCCATTATTCAAGGAAAACAGTTTGAAGGGTTGGTAGACACTGGAGCAGATGTCTCTATCATTGCTTTAAACCAGTGGCCAAAAAATTGGCCTAAATGAAAGGCTGTTACAGGACTTGTCGGCGTAGGCACTCCTCAGAAGTGTATCAAAGTACTATTACATTGTTTAGGGCCGGATAATCAAGAAAGTACTGTTCAACCAATGATTACTTCAATGATTACTTCAACCAATGATTACTTCATCTGTGGGGTTGAGATTTATTACAACAATGGGGTGCAGAAATCACTATGCCTGCTCCATTATACAGCCTCAGGAGTCAAAAAATCATGACTAATATGGGATATATACCAGGAAAGGGACTAGGAAAAAATGAAAATGGCATTAAAGTTCCACTTGAGACTGAGAGAAATCAAGAAAGAAAAGGAATAGGGTATCCTTTTTAGGGGTGGCCACTGTAGAGCCTCCTAAACCCATTCCATTAACTTGGAAAACAGAAAAACCGGTATGGGTAAATCAGTGGCCGCTACCAAAACAAAAACTGGAGGCTTTACATTTATTAGCAAAGGAACAATTAGAAAAGGGACATATTGAGCCTTCGTTCTCGCCTTGGAATTCTCCTGTGTTTGTAATTCAAAAAAAATCCGGCAGATGGCATAAGTTAACTGACTTAAGAGCCGTAAATGCCGTAATTCAACCCATGGGGCCTCTCCAACCCGGGTTGCCCTCTCTGGCCATGATCCCAAAAGACTGGCCTTTAATTATAATTGATCTGAAGGACTGCTTTTTTACCATCCCTCTGGCGGAGCAGGATTATGAAAAATTTGCCTTTACTATACCAGCCATAAATAATAAAGAACCAGCCACCAGATTTCAGTGGAAAGTGTTACCTCAGGGAATGCTTAATAGTCCAACTATTTGTCAAGCTCTTCAACCAGTTAGAGACAAGTTTTCAGACTGTTATATCATTCACTATGTTGATGATATTTTATGTGCTGCAGAAATGAGAGACAAATTAATTAACTGTTATACATTTCTGCAAGCAGAGGTTGCCAATGCTGGACTGGCAATAGCATCTGATAAGATTCAAACCTCTACTCCTTTTCATTACTTAGGGATGCAAATAGAATATAGAAAAATTAAGCTACAAAAAATAGAAATAAGAAAAGACACATTAAAAACATTAAATGACTTTCAAAAATTGCTAGGAGATATTAATTGGATTCGGCCAACTCTAGGCATTCCTACTTATGTCACGTCAAATTTGTTCTCTATCTTAAGAGGAGACCCAGATTTAAATAGTAAAAGAATATTCACTCCAGAGGCAACAAAAAAAATTAAATTAGTGGAAGAAAAAATTCAACCAGCACAAATAAATAGAATAGATCCCTTAGCCCCACTCCAACTTTTGATTTTTGCTACTGCACATTCTCCAGCAGGCATCAATGTTCAAAATACTGATCTTGTGGAGTGGTCATTCCTTCCTCACAGTACAATTAAGACTTTTACATTGTACTTGGATCAAATAGTTACATTAATTGGTCAGGCAAAATTACGAATAATAAAATTGTGTGGAAATGACCCAGACAAAATAGTTGTTCCTTTAAACAAGGAACGAGTTAGACAAGCCTTTATCAATTCTGGTGCATGGCAGATTGGTCTTACTGATTTTGTGGGAATTACTGATAATCATTACCCCAAAACAAAAATCGTCCAGTTCTTAAAATTGACTACTTGGATTTTACCTAAAATTACGAGACATGAACCTTTAGAAAATGCTCTGACGGTGTTTACTGATGGTTCCAGCAATGGAAAGGCAGCTTACATAGGGCCAAAAGAGCAAGTAATCAAAACTCATTATCAATCGGCTCAAAGAGCTGAGTTGGTTGCAGTCTTTACAGTGTTACAAGATTTTAATCAACCTATTAATATTGTATCAGATTCTGCATATGTAGTACAGGCTACAAGGGATGTTGAGACAGCTCTAATTAAATATAGCATGGATGATCAGTTAAACCAGCTGTTCAATTTATTACAACAAACTGTAAGAAACAGAAATTTCCCATTTTACATTACTCATATTTGGGCACACACTAATTTACCAGGGCCTTTAACTAAAGCAAATGAACAAGCTGACTTACTGGTACCATCTGCATTCATAAAAGCACAAGAACTTCATGCTTTGACTCATATAAATGCAGCAGGATTAAAAAACAAATTTGACGTCACATGGAAACAGGCAAAAAATATTGTACAACATTGCACCCAGTGTCAAGTCCTACACCTGCCCACTCAAGAGGCAGGAGTTAATCCCAGAGGTCTATGTCCTAATGTGTTATGGCAAATGGATGTCACGCATGTACCTTCATTTGGAAGATTATCATATGTTCATGTAACAGTTGATACTTATTCACATTTCATATGGGCAGCTTGCCAAACAGGAGAAAGTACTTCCCATGTTAAAAAACATTTATTGTCTTGTTTTGCTGTAATGGGAGTTCCAGAAAAAATCAAAACTGACAATGGACCAGGATATTGTAGTAAAGCTTTCCAAAAATTCTTAAATCCGTGGAAAATTACACATACAACAGGAATTCCCTATAATTCCCAAGGACAGGCCATAGTTGAAAGAACTAATAGACCACTCAAAACTCAATTAGTTAAACAAAACGAAGGGGGAGACAGTAAGGAGTGTACCACTCCTCAGATGCAACTTAATCTAGCACTCTATACTTTAAATTTTTTAAACATTTATAGAAATCAGACTACTACTTCTGCAGAACATCTTACTGGTAAAAAGAACAGCCCACATGAAGGAAAACTGATTTGGTGGAAAGACAACAAAAATAAGACATGGGAAATAGGGAAGGTGGTAACGTGGGGGAAAGGTTTTGCTTGTTTCACTAGGAGAAAATCAGCTTCCTGTTTGGATACCCACTAGACATTTAACGTTCTGCAATGAACCCATCGGAGATGCAAAAAAAAGCGCCTCCGCGGAGACAGAAACACTGCAATCGAGCACCATCAACTCATATGATGAACAGAATGGTGATGTCAGAAGAACAGACGAAGTTGCCATCCACCAAGAAAGCGGAGCCACTGACTTGGGCACAATTAAAGAAGCTGGCACAGTTAGCTAAAAAAAAAAAAAAGCCTTGAGAACACAAAGGTGACACAAACTCCAGAGAGTAGGCTGCTTGTAGCTTTTTTTTTTTTTTTTTTTTTTTTTGAGATGGAGTCTTGCTCCGTCACCAGGCTGGAGTGCAGTGGTGCGATCTCAGCTCATGGCAACCTCCACTTCCCAGGTTCAAGCAATTCTCCTGTCTCAGCCTCCTGAGTAGCTGGGATTACAGGCGCGTGCCACCACGCCCAGCTAATTTTTCTATTTTTAGTAGAGACGGGGTTTCACCATGTTGGTCAGGCTGGTCTTGATCTCGTGATCCACCCGCCTCGGCCTCCCAAAGTGCTGGGATTACAGGCATGAGCCACCATGCCTGGCCGCTTGCAGCTTTGATGATTGTATCAATGGTGGTAAGTCTCCCCATGCCTGCAGGAGCAGCTGCAGCTAATTATACCACTGGGCCTATGTGGCTTTCCCGCCCTTAATTTGGGCAGTCACATGGATGGATAATCCTACTGAAATATATGTTAATAATAGTGTATGGGTACCTGGCCCCACAGATGATCGTTGCCCTGCCAAACCTGAGGAAGAAGGAATGATGACAAATATTTCCACTGGGTATCGTTATCCTCCTACTTGCCTAGGGAGAGCACCAGGATGTTTATTTTTTATTTTTATTTTTTCAGTAGATAATGATGTCGTTTATTTAAAATGTTTACTCCAAGAAATATATATATATATATATATATATATATATATATATATATATATATATATATAAAGTAAGACAATTACAGCACTAAACCAGGCACCTTCAACCAAATCACAACCTCCTCTTTGATTCCCCTTCACACTAAGCCTCTTTCAAATTCTTTTTCCTGAGCTAGAAGACCAGTCAGATGCTCGCAGGGATGTGCCAAGCACGTTCCCAGCCGGGCAACTGTGTACCTTTCTCTAGGAGTGCACGGCACCCTTCCCCCACAACTCTTTGTTTTAAAGGATTTAACCCATTAGGAAGCCCATTTTTCAATCTAAGCCAGAAGGAGGTGCGGGACAAGGCAGTCTTCACTTTGAAGATCCCTTTCCTGCTCCAGTCCCTGGGCTAGGGTTCTAGAAGAGGCTGGCTGCCGGGTTTACATGAGGCCACCGAAGATCTAAGTCCAGCTCTGCCCAGGGCGGCTCCTGCAAAGGCTGGGACCTCAGGTGCTGCGTCCTCAACCCTCTCGGTGACCACGACTCAAAGGAGAGACCTCAAGGGTTCCAGGAGCACAGGTGCCTGGGCTGCGTTCCAGGAGAGACCTGTCCAGGGAAATGGATCAGGCTGTCGCATGGAAGCTTGAGTCAGAGATGGTGGTTTTGGGGTGATTTGGACAAATTAGGTTAGTTTAGCAAACTCTGAAGTGGCAGAAGCTTCTTCCCTGGACTACTGACTGAACACAGATCAAGAGATGCGCGTGGCGTCAGACTAAGTCTTAGAGAGATGCAGGCCAGTCTCTTCCCACAGGGCCTTGGGACTGGCTGGACAGACACTGCTACATGCCCTCCAAGGGCAGGAGTCATGGTAAGGAGCGACTGGGGTGGAAAATAGGGAAAAAAGTAACAACAACTAGATCATTTTTGGCATTTTAACATGGAGACAGTGACAAGTGGTAACAATAGCTAAAGAAAAAACTTGAAGAGACCAATATTTAACTTTCCCATCCACCCAAATCTCACACTTAAGTTTCTAGTCCCATCTCCCCCATAAGCACCACTGAACTAAATATCTATTTTAAAGCACCCAAACCAGTCCAGACCCTCTGGAAACCAAGAGCCCCAGCCCCAGCTGTTGCCTCTCTTGGGTCCAGGCAAGAGGAGGGTTCCGGGAAAGGCACCTCATAACTCACTCAGTGCAGTGCACACAGCGGCTAGCTTGGGCACGGGCACTTGACGGGGACACGGGTGGCAGTCACGGCATCCGTGCTGACATGTGAGGAAGGGGACTCTTTGGTAATCCCAACTATTTGGTACTAGAGCCAAGCAAACGTGACTAAAGGGAGCTGGGTCAGCAGAACGGTACCCCGAGTCTCAGCAACAGGATGGCCCGCACGAGGCAGGATCCAGGCAGGGGAGAAAAGGAGACCAAAGTACAAGGCGATCGAGGCTGGTACAGAAAGGGCTGATCCTTCTTGCAAGGACTGGAGAATGCATTTGACTGCTGGCTGATCAATCTCTAATTGGCGAGTGCGTGTGACAAGGCTCAGCCCTGGCTCCGCAGGGAGCCATGAAGCTGACTCAACTGATACAAATGTTCCCACCTTTGCTCCACCCCCAAGTCCCCATGGTTCCATAATCACCTGATTTTCATTTGGACTTCTTTAACAGCTAAAGTAGATATAAGTGGCTAAACACAGATCCCCAATCCCCCACCAGGGGGGACACAGCTGATTCTATAATGTTGCAGCCAGAAGGCTGTGGGTGTACAGGCAGCCAAGAGGAGAAACAGAACTGACACCGGCCTAGGCCGATCTGCAAGAAAAAGCGGGAAAGGAGTGACCCGGATGCTTCCGAAGCACGCGAGCATGATTTTGGATGGAGGTGGGCCGGCGACTTCGCCTAGCTGCTGCCGGTTCCTGTAAGGGACATTTTTTCTGAGTAAATGGCGATTCCTCTTCCATGTAGCATCCACTTAGATCACGATGCTAATTATAACTGGAAAGGAGTGTTTTGGGGAGTGTATTCAGGAGAGGAAGAAAGAAAAAAAAAACACCTAGATTGCTCAAAGTTTCTGCCTCTTTGTAGGAATGGTAAGTCAACTACGAGCAAGTATTTTAATTCGACATTAAGAGGAAAAAAGGGTCTTTGGAAAGCAAACAGAAAAAAAGGTAGTTAACGTTGGATCACTTGTAAAACGGAACCTCAGGGAGTCTAAATAAAAATGCACCTTCGGTCCACTTTTGCTTTTTTAAATTCCTTGTTTGACTTCCCGTCCCAGTGCACATGGAAATGACAGCTGCCATGAGAGGTGTGGAGTCGGAGGAGTCTCTGGGAGCATCAGAGGGTTTGGGGGCTGTATTCTGGCAGTTTCTTGATCTTTTCTTTCTCAGTTTCACTTTCATCTCTTGCTATCACCAAGGAGTGTGAGTAGCCCATGGCGACCGGCTCTGAGAAAATGCCATGCAGAGTCTTCACCTCCTGGGCTGCAGTGGAAGACTTGGGCTTGTGATCCCTGTAGCCCAGTTCCCCAAAGGTCGGTGATGGGCCCCAGCTGATGGTGCTCTCATCGGCTGCCACAATGATGCTGCTCTTCCCACAAGCCAGGCTCCAGATTCTCCAGCTGCAGAGGTCCTGCACTGCTTTTGGGTACATGGTAGATTCATGGGAGGTGTTGGTGGCCCCCCAGAAAAACAGACCACCCACTTCACTGACGGCAAAGGAGCAGGTGTAACCAGCATAGATCTGGGAAGCCCCATGCCCAGGGAAGTCAAATAGCTTCACCAGGCGGGGGACCATCTCATCCTTCTGCTCTGTGTAGCCCAGCCAGCCATAGCCACTGAAGCCCCAGGAGAAGACTCACTTCTGGGAGTCCAGGACCAGCATGTGGTTAGCGCCACAGGCCACGTCTCGCATAACCATATTTGGTACAGGCAGAATCTGTCTTTTGTCTTCTCAATGAAGATGGCCACTCGCTGGGGAACTAGTTTGCAGTCATACTCTATCTGCTGTGCCCGGGCAATGAACTTCCCATCTGAGTTGTGTCCCAGCTGACCATATTCAGGGCACCCAAAGGAATAGAGGTTTCCTTTGCAGTCCATTATCATACTGATTTGCAGCCTCACAGGCCATTTTGGTAATTGGCAGGCTGTTGTACATTATCTGCACAGGGCTGGGGACAGCGTCTGTCTAGTTGCCAAGGCCCAGCTGCCCCATCTTGTTTTCCCCAAACGCAAACACGGAGCCCGTTTCCGTCAAGGCCAAGGTGTGGTTCCGCGCACACGCTGCACACAATCACTTCGTGGCTGAGACCCTCGGTGAGTCTGGGGGCTTCTACTCTCTTGGTGTCACCATGTCCCAGCTGCGCCTTCTCATTTCGACCCCAGCTCCACAGCTTTCCTTCTGTGGTGATGAGGAGGCTGTGTGCAGCACAGGAGCCAGAGACCACTGTCCGCACCCGGACCCCCGCCAGGCACCCATACCTATGGGGTCCCCACAAATTCTGACGGATATTGCCGTACGCAGCTTCCTGTTTAGGAACTTTTTTTTTTTTTTTTTTTTTGAGACGGAGTCTTGCTCTGTTGCCCAGGCTAGAGTGCAGTGGCGCGATCTCGGCCCACTGCAAGCTCCGCCTCCCGGGTTCACGCCATTCTCCTGCCTCAGCCTCCTGATTAGCTGGGACTACAGGAGCCCGCCACCACGCCCGGCTAATTTTTTTTGTATTTTTAGTAGAGACGGGGTTTCACCGTGTTAGCCAGGATGGTCTGGATCTCCTGACCTTGTGATCTGCCCGCCTCGGCCTCCCAAAGTGCTGGGATTACAAGCCTGAGCCACCACTCCTGGCCTTGTTTAGGCACTTATTTTCGACCAATCAAGTCCCAGTTGGTTGCCCCCAAAATCAAAAGCTCCCCTTTGCACTTTGTGAGGAAGTCCCTGTGGCCTTCCGCAGTGTATTGTGTCCCTGGGTACTTGAGATTAGAGAATGGTGATGACTTTTACCAAGCATACTGCCTTCAAGCGCTTTTTTAACAAAGCACAGCCTGCACAGCCCTAAATCCATTAAACCTTGAGTAAACACAGCACGTCTCAAGTTTGACGTGCTTCTTGGTGTGCTCGGGTTCGGCGACCACCACAGCCGCACCGCCCACCTTGCCTGCTGCCACAGGCTGCGCCGCGCGCTTGCCCCTGCCGGGGGCCCCGTCGAGCTCCAGGCCGTCCTCGTCGCCGCTGCTGCTGCTGCCACCACTGCTGCTACTGCAGCGCTCGGGAGGCTCGCGCTTCCGGCTGCGGGGCCGCCACGTTTCCTGGGCCCTGGCGTGGGCAGTGCCGTTGCCCGAGCTCAGCTCCTCCCAGGCCGCCACCGCCGCCTTCTTCCTGGGCATGGTTGCGGCTGGTTGGAGTGATGAGAAACCAGAGAGAAAAAAGGAAGAGAAGCAACTAAAAGACGGATCGGAGGGCTTTTTTTTTTTTCCTGGCCCAGACGAGGGCTCCAGCCCACTCAGATACACTTAAAAATGCGCCAGGATGTTTAATGCTGCAATCCAAAATTGGTTGGTAGCAGTACCTACTGTCAGTACCACCAGTAGACTTACTTATCACATGGTAAACAGAATGTCACACAGGCCACAGGTAAATTATTTACAGGACTTTCCTTATCAAAGATCATTAAAATTTAGGCCTAAAGGAAAACCTTGCCCCACGGAAATTCCCAAAGGATCAAAAGACACAGAAGTTTTAGTTTGGGAAGAATGTGTGGCCAATAGTGCGGTGATATTACAAAATGATGAATTCAGAACTATTACAGATTGGGCACCTTGAGGTCAATGCTACCACAATTGCACAGGACAAACTCAATTGTGTCCCAGTGCACAAGTGAGTCCAGCTGTTAATAGTGACTTAACAGAAAGTTTAGACAAACAGAAGCACATAAAATTACAGTCTTTCTACCCTTGGGAATGGGGAGAAAAAGGAATCTCTACTCCAAGACCAGAAATATTAAGTCCTGTTTCTGGTCCTGAACATCCAGAATTATGGAGGCTTACTGTGGCCTCATACTGCATTAGAATTTGGTCTGGAAATCAAACTACAGAAACAAGAGATCGTAAGCCATTTTATACTATCGACCTAAATTCCAGTCTAACAGTTCCTTTGCAAAGTTGTGTAAAGCCCTCTTATATGCTAGTGTTAGGAAATATAGTTATTAAACCAGACTCCCAAACTATAACCTGCGAAAACTGCAGATTGTTTACTTGCATTGATTCGACTTTTAATTGGCAACACCATATTCTGCTAGTGAGAGCAAGAGAAGGCGTGTGGATCCCTGTGTCCATGGACCGACTGTGGGAGGCCTCACCATCCATCCATATTTTGACTGAAGTACTAAAAGCCATCTTAAATAGAGCCAAAAAATTCAATTTTACTTTAATTGCAGTGACTATGGGATTAATTGCAGTCACAGCTACGGCCGCTGTGGCAGGAGTTGCATTGTACTCTTCTGTTCAGACAGTAAACTTTGTTAACCATTGGCACAATAATTCTACAAGATTGTGGAATTCACAATCTGGTATTGATAAAAAATTGGCAAATCAAATTAATGATCTTAGACAAACTGTCATTTGGATGGAAGATAGGCTCATGAGCTTAGAACATCGTTTCCAGTTACAGTGTGACTGGAATACGTCGGACTTTTGTATTACACCCCGAGTTTATAATGAGTCTGAGCATCACTGGGACATGGTTAGACGCCACCCACAGGGAAGAGAAGATAATCTCACTTTAGACATTTCCAAATTAAAAGAGCAAATGTTCAAAGCATCAAAAGCCCATTTAAATTTGGTACCAGGAACTGAGGCAATCAGCAGTTCCTGATGGTCTCACAAATCTTAACCCTGTCACTTGGGTTAAGACCATCGGAAGTACTATTATTGTAAATTTCATATTAATCCTTGCATGCCTGTTCTGTCTGTTGCTAGTCTGCAGGTGTACCCAGCAGCTCCGAAGAGACAGCGACCGTCAAGAACGAGCCATGATGATGATGGCAGTTTTGTCAAAAAGAAAAGGGTTATGTGGGGAAAAGAGAGATCAGACTGTTACTGTGTCTATGTAGAAAGAAGTAGACATAAGAGACTCCATTTTGTTCTGTACTAAGAAATATTCTTCTGCCTTGAGATGCTGTTAATCTGTAACCCTAGCCCCAACCCTGTGTCGCAGAGACATGTGCTGTGTTGACTCAAGGTTTAATGGATTTATGGCTATACAGGATGTACTTTGTTAAAAAAAAGTGCTTGAAGGCAGTATGCTTGTTAAAAGTCATCACCATTCTCTAATCTCAACTACCCAGGGACACAATACACTGCGGAAAGCCACAGGGACCTCTGCCTAGCAAAGCCAGATATTGTCCAGGGTTTCTCCCCATGTGATAGCCTGAGATATGGCCTCGTGGGAAGGGAAAGACCTGACCGTCCCCCAGCCTGACACCCGTAAAGGGTCTGTGCTGAGGAGGATTAGTAAAAGAGGAAGGCCTCTTTGCAGTTGTAATAAGAGGAAGGCATCTGTCTCCTGCTCATCCCTGGGCAATGGAATGTCTCGGGTGTAAAACCCGATTGTATGTTCTATTTACTGAGATAGGAGAAAACAGCCTTAGGGCTAGAGCTGAGATGTGCTAGTGGCAATACTGCTCTTTAATGCACCAAGATGTTTGTATACGTGCACATCAAGGCACAGCACCTTTTCTTAACCTTGTTTATGACACAGAGACCTTTGCTCACGTTTTCCTGCTGACCCTCTCCCCACTATTACCCTATTGTCCTGCCACATCCCCCTCTCCGAGATGGCAGAGATAATGATCAATAAATACTGAGGGAACTCAGAGACCAGTGCCAGAGTGGGTCCTCCGTACGCTGAGCGCCGGTCCCCTGGGCCCACTTTTCTTCTATACTTTGTCTCTGTGTCTCTTTCTTTTCTCTGTCTCTCGTCCCACCTGACGAGAAACACCCACAGGTGTGGAGGGGCAGGCCACCCCTTCAATCATTTCACAGTATCTACTGGAACTGATCATATGCACATTCCATGACTCAGCAATTATACACCTGTGTATCTGTCCATCAGAAATGTGGACAGGTGTTCACCAAAAAAGCATACACAAGTGTTCACAGCAGCAGTAGGTGTAAAACAGTAGTCCCCCCTTATTTGAAGGGGATACGCTCCAAGACCCTCAGTGGATGCCTGAAACCTCAGCTAGCACTGACCTCAACACTGTTTTCGCCTATACTGTATGTACATACCTATGATAAGGTTTAATTGATAAATTAGGCACAGTAAGAGATTAACAATAATAAAATAATACAATTAAAACAATATACTGTAGTAAAAGTTATGTGAATGTGGTCTCTTTCTCAAAACATCAGACCGCGGTTGAGTGTGGGTAACTGAAAGCACAGAAAGTGAAACCGCAGATAGGGGGAGCTACTGTAACCCTAAACTGGTTACAGTCTCAAACTCCTGACCTCAAGTAATCCACCTGCCAGAAAAAAAAAATTAAAAATTTTTAAATTTATTTTTATTTGTTTATTTTTGAGACGGAGTCTCGCTCTGTTGCCCAGGCTGGAGTGCAGTGGCATGATCTCGGCTCACTGCAACCTCTGCCTCGTGGGTTCAAGCTATTCTCCTGCCTCAGCCTCCCAAGTAGCTGGGACTAAAGGCGTGTGCCACCATGCCCAGCTAGTTTTTGTATTTTTAGTAGAGATGGGATTTTACTATGTTGGCCAGGCTGGTCTCGAACTCCTGACCTTGTGATCCACCCACCTCGGCCTCCCAAAGTGCTGGAATTACAGGTGTGAGCCACTGCACCTGGCCTATTTTATTTCACTTTTGAGATGGAGTTTTGCTCTTGTTGCCCAGGCTGGAGTGCAATGGTGTGATCTCAGCTCACCGCAACCTCCACCTCCTGGGTGCAAGTGATTCTCCTGCCTCAGCCTCCCAAGTAGCTGGAATTACAGGCATGCGCCACCACGCCCAACTCATTTTGTATTTTTAGTAGAGACAGGGTTTCACCATGTTGGTCAACTGGTCTCAAACTCCTGACCTCAAGTAATCCACCCACCTCAGCCTCCCAAACTGCTGGGATTACAGGTGTGAACCACTGCGCCTAGCCCTAAAATCTCTCTCTTTTTTTTTTTTGAGACAGAGTTTCACTCTGTCGCCCAGGCTGGAGTGCAGTGGCGTGATCTCGGCTCACTGCAAGCTCCTCCTCCCGGGTTCATGCCATTCTCCTGCCTCAGCCTCCCGAGCAGCTGGGACTACAGGTACCTACCACCATGCCCGGCTAATTTTTTGCATTTTTAGTAGAGATGCGGTTTCACCGTGTTAGCCAGGATGGTCTTGATCTCCTGACCTCGTAATCCACCCGCCTCAGCCTCCCAAGTAGTTGGGATTACAGGCATGCGCCACCATGCCCGACTAATTTTGTATTTTTAGTAGAGACGGGGTTTCACCATGTTGGTCAGACTGGTCTCAAACTCCTGGGCTCAAGTGATCCACCCGCCTCAGCCTCCCAAGCTGCTGGGATTACAGGCGTGAGGCACCGTGCCTGGCCCTAAAATCTTTTATACGGCAAAAATACCATAGCAAAAGCAAAATAAAAACAGCAGATTTGGGTTTTTAAATTTTATTTACAGCAGAACATAACCTTAAGGCTCATAAGAAAGAGCCAGGTACAGTGGCTTGTACCTGTAGTTCCTGCTACTCAAGAGGATGAGGTAGGAGGACCACTTGAGCTCAGGAGCTCAAGGCCAGCCTGAGCAACATAGAGAAATCCCATCTATCTATAAAGAATGTTAAAAAAGTAAAAGAAAAAACAATGAGACTGATAAGAAAGGGAAAAAATAATTCAAAGGAAAAAATGAGTGTAGGACAAAACTAGGCAAATTTGTAAAAAGGAAAAACCCATAAACAAATGTAAAATGCTCAAACTCACTGTCAGGGAAGAGCAAATTAAAGTAACAGTGTTACCCTTTACCTGTTAGATAAGGAAGGAGGGTTCTCCCAGTCCCTGCTGGTGGCAGGCCCACCTCTAACATTTGCAAGGGGCCATGGCAACAATACAAATACAACTGGAGGCCCACATACCATATATTTAATATTGGGAAGTTATAAGTATGTTCTATCCTGTTACTGTGGTAAATGTATCTTGAAAAATCGGTATTTTTCTTGTATATATGTTTCACTGTATATAAGGTGAACTTTTTTTTTTTTTTTTGAGACAGTCTTGCTCTGTGGCGCAGGCTGGAGTGCAGTCGTGTGATCTCGGCTCACTGCAACTTCCATCTCCCAGGTTCAAGTGATTCTCCTGCCTCAGCCTCCTGAGTAGCTGGGATTATGGGCATGCACCACCACTCCCGGCTAATTTTTTGTCTTTCAGTAGAGACGGGGTTTCACCATGTTGGCCCCAGGGTGGTCTTCAACTCCTGAGCTCGGGCAGTCTGCCTGTCTTGGCCTCCCAAAGTTCTAGGATTACAGGCATAAGCCACCACACCCAGCCATGAATGTTTTGATATACATAGTGAAATTATGATTACAGTCAACTAGAATAACATACCTATCATCTCACAATTACCTTTCTTTATTTTTTGTGGTAAGAGTACCTAAAATCTACTTTTTAAATTTTTTTGAGATGGAGTCTTGCTCTTTCGCCCAAGCTGAAATGCAGTGGTGCCATCTCAGCTCACAGCAGCCTCTGCCTCCTGGGTTTAAGGAATTCTCTGCTTCAGCCTCTCAAATAGCTGAGATTACAGGTGCGTGCCACCACACCCAGCTAATTTTTCTGTATTTTTAGTAGAGATGAAGTTTCACCATCTTGGCCAGGCTGGTCTTGAACTCCTGACCTCGTGATCCGCCTGTCTTGGCCTCCCAAAGTGCTGGGATTACAGGTGTGAGCCACCGCACCCAGCCTTTTTTTTGTTTTTGAGACGGAGTCTTGCACTGTTGCCCAGGCTGGAGTGCAGTGGCGTGATCTTGGCTCACTGCAACCTCTGCCTCCCAGGTTCAAGTGATTCCCCTGCCTCAGCCTCACGAGTAGCTGGGATTACAGGCGCCCACCACCATGCCCAGCTAATTTTTGTATATTTAGTAGAAGTGGGGTTTCACCATGTTGGCCAGGCTGGTTTCAAACTCCTGATCTCAGGTGATCTGCCCACCTTGGCCTCCCAAAGTGCTGGGATTAGAGGCATGAGCCACTGCATCTGGCCTCTAAAATCTCCTCTTAGCAAATTTCCAGTACACAATATTATTAGCTATAGTCCTAATATTATACTTCTCCAGACATACGCATGCTACATAACAGTAATTTTGTACCCTCTGGCTTACACCTTCCCATTTCTCCCACTCCTGGTAACTACCATTCCATTCATTGTTTCTATGTATTCAATGTTTCTTTCTTTTTTTTTTTTTTTGAGATGGAGTTTTGCTTGTCACCCAGGCTGCAGTGCAACAGCGTGGTCTCGGCTCACTGCAACCTCTGCCTCCTAGGTTCAAGCGATTCCACTGCCTCAGCCTTCCAAGTAGCTAGGATTACAGGCACCCACCACCACGCCCAGCTAATTTTTATATTTTTAGTAGATACGGGGTTTCGCCATGTTGGCCAGGCTGGTCTTGAACTCCTGACCTCAGGTGATCTGCCCGCCTCAGCCTCCCAAAGTGCTGAGATTACAGGCGTGAGCCACCACCACTCCCAGCCTCAATGTTTCTTTTTGTTTTAGATTCCATATTTAAGTGAGATCATGTAGTATCTTTCTGTGACTGGCTTATTTCACTTAGTATCAAGTTGCTGCAAATGGCAGGATCTCCTCCTTTTCCTACCAAGGAATTATATTCCACTGTATATATACATTATACTTTATCCATTCTTCATTGATGGACAGACACTGTAGTTGTTTCAATATCCTGGCTATTTTGAATAATGCTGCAATGAACATGGAAGTGCAGATATCTTTACTAAATGGTGATTTCATTTCCTTTGGGTATATGCCTAGAAGTGGGATTGCTGGGTTATAAGGTAGTTCTATTTTTAATTTCTTTAGGAACCTCCATACTATTTTATCTAGAAAAATATTAAAAAGCTATGGTTTTCACATGACTGAAAGTTGACAAACTACCAGTGACGACTTAACTTAGTTATTATTGTGTATACCAGGGTCATTTGTTAATCGGCTGGTGATGGCAGATGAATGGCAAACACACACACATACACGCACACATGCACGCGCACACACACACATTTAATAAATTATGTATTTATTCCATAAAAATATTTTTTCTTGGCTTCATTCCAGCGAGTACTGATTTTTTTTTTTTTTTTTTTTGAGACGGACTCTTACCCTGTCACCCAGGCTGGAGTGCAGTGGTGTGATCTCAGCTCACTGCAACCTCCGCCTCCTGGGTTCTAGCAATTCTCCTGCCTCAGCCTCCCGAGAAGCTGGGACTACAGGTGCACACTGCCACGCCTGGCTGATTTTTTGTATTTTTTAGTAGAGACGTGGTTTCACCATGTTGCCCAGGCTGGTTGTGAACTCCTGAGCTCAGGCAATCCACCCACCTCGGCCTCCCAAAGTGCTAGGATTACAGGCGTGAACCACTAAGCCCGGCCTGATGATGTTCTTATACTTAACGTGACTTCTATTGACAAAATGGCAAAAAAGACAATCTTTCTTGAGTCAACATAGTTTTTAGCAAGTTTTTAATTAATTTTAATTTAGAGAAGCTTCCTTCTGCTGAAGCAGCAGCAACTGGAATTACCAACAAAATTCTCAAAGCAGTACTTAGATTTAGAAATGAATACTGATTTTTACATGATCACACTCAAATACTATATGGATTTATATATAAATTGTGATTGCAGAGTGCATTAAAATTTTTAACTTGATCATATAAATCACAATCACTTATAGTCTTTTTATAATCTTTTAAACAGTATCTAGGTCTATGCAGATAAATTCTTTTAGGTTTTGATGCTGGTATATTCTGAAGAAAATCAAAAACAGGAGAATGTTATTCAATTTTGTTCAAATCTCTCTTCAGATGATACTATGCTCTGATTTATACTGAACTGAAAAATAGTTTCTATAGAAACTGGTTTAGGGATTATCTCTCTATGAATTTTCTTCAAGCTAGGTAAATATTTTTGTTCCCTTGTTTCAATTTCCCTGGATTTTGTTGGAACATCATTTTTGTTGTATATCTCACATGCAGTTTTGATTTTGTTTCTATAAACTTAAAAAAAATTTAAATCGGCCAGGCATGGTGGTTCACGCCTGTAATCCCAGCACTTTGGGAGGCTGAGGTGGGCAGATCATCAGGTCAGGAGATTGAGACCATCCTGGCTAACATGGTGAAACCCCGTCTCTACTAAAAATACAAAAAATTAGCCGGGCGTGGTGGCGGGCGCCTGTAGTCCCAGCTACTCGGGAGGCTGAGGCAGGAGAATGGCATGCAGGAGAATGGCGTGAACCCTGGAGGCGGAGCTTGCAGTAAGCCGAGATTGTGCTACTGCACTCCAGCCTGGGTGACACAGCAAGACTCTGTCTCAAAAAAAAAAAAAAAAAAAAAAAAAAAAAAAAAAAAAAAAAAAAATTAAATCCTTTAAAGGTGAAGTAGCCACATATATATATTTATATGGATGTGTGTGTGTGTGTGTGTGTGTGTGTGTGTATGTCAGATAAGCAAGTAGATACTCCCAGAAAAAAAATTTAAATTTATATATATAAATTTATATATATAATATATATTATATTTTATATATAACATATAATATATTTTATATAATATATAATATATATTTTATATAATATATATTATATATTTTATATAATATATATTATATATTATATATATTTTATATAATATATAATATATATTTTATATAATATATATTATATATTTTATATAATATATATTATATAAATAATATATGTTATATATTTTATATAATATATATTATATAAATAATATATGTTATATATTTTATATAATATATATTATATATATTTTATATAATATATATATATTTTTGGTTACAGTTTTGTTAAATTTATTAATAGAAATCAGATTTATACTAAATAATACAAGTTCAAAATTAATTTCACTTTTTGTTAAAGTCCATGATTTGCTCTTTGAAGACTTTTTATGGTTTTGCTGAATTCTTCTTATCTAAATTCAATTTAATTACTTCAACAGCATTTCGTTGGTATTCTCATCGTGCACCTGAGACTTGTTATAGGGTGAAATATAAGTTTAGTCAAGATATTCCATCTTTGGGCATATCTAGAAGACACTGCATTTATTCCCTCTATTGTTCCAAAGCACTACCATTAGTGGCACAGTGGAGGTCATGCATCCTAGAAACAAATTTCAAATGATGGGCTGTATATGTCACATAGTATGCTTCTGGATTCTTAGCCAAGCTTCTTGCTTGTACATCTCTCATTTACCAACCACATTTGCTCCATTATCACAGGCTTGCCTTCAACAATCCTTGAAATTAGTGTCTAAAACAGAAAGTTTTCTTTCAATTCTTCACTTAATTCAAAAATCACACTTTAAGGAGGAGATATAAAGCCAATGAAACATGGAATGATTTAGGCTTGTTTTTCTTCAAGCAGTAATGGTCCACTCATGGTACTATCAGTACCACGGTACACTCTAGTTGAACTGAGTAACTATTTTATTAAAAAACTTTGGGCTGGGCACAGTGGCTCACGCCTGTAATCCCAGTACTTTAGGGGGCTGAGGCAGGCAGATCACGAGGTCAGGAGTTTGAGACCAGCCTGGCCAACATGGTGAAACCCCCTCTCTACTAAAAATACAAAAATTAGCCGGGCATGGTGGCATGCGCCTGTAGTCCCAGCTACTCGGGAGGCTGAGGCAGAAGAATCTCTTGAACCTGGGAGGCGGAGGTTGCAGTGAGCCGAGATTGTACCACTGCACTCCAGCCTGTTGACAGAACAAGATTCTGTCTCAAAAAAAAAAAAAAAAAAAAAAAAATTGGCCAGGTTTGGTGGCTCACCAAAGCACTTTGGAAGGCCAAGCAGGAGGGAAGATCCCTTGAGCTCAGGAGCTTAAGACGAGCCTGGGCAACATGGCAAGACCCCGTCTCTACTAAAAATAAAATTAGCCAGGCATGGTGCATGCCTGTAGTCCCACCTACTTGGGAGGCTGAGATGGGAGGATCACTTGAGCCTGGGAGATTGAGGCTGCAGTGAGCTACGACTGTAACACTGCACTCGAGCCTGGGTGACAAAGTAAGACCTTGTCTCAAAAAAACAAAAAAACAAAACCCCACAAAACCAAAAAATTTATTGACAAAAAAATTTTTACAAATGATTTCATGTCTCACTTTATTCTCCATTAAACTCATAATCTGTTGGAATTCTCTATCCTAGGTAATGATCATTACTTTCATTATTTTTGTCTTAATTATATGTTTGGCATTTTACCAAATTTTGAAATCTCTTTTACTGAAACCTAGAAAATTTCCATTGTTTTTTGCACACACTGTACTGACGGTGTCATGAAAAGAATGATTAGGCTTGGCTAAATATTGGATACATTGTATTATTCTTTCAAGAACATTACATCAGTATTTTATATTGTTTTCTGTTTCCGGTAAAATCAATTGTTTATTCGGCCTCTTTCCCTCAATTCCTGTAACAGGGTGTGTGTTTTATTGTGTGTGATTCTTCATGATTAGCAATTAAATCTTCCGTTAGTAAAGAAGGAGGTTGCCATGATTTCATCTGACTTGTTCAAACTGTGGATTTGGTGAGAATAATTTTCTTACTAATTTTAATTGTTTTGATTAATAAGTAGATCTTAATTGAACAAAACCTTTGTAATGTCTTGTTTGTGAATTTTATGTGGGTCACCCTGGAAGAAGACTGCTTGCTTTTACTGCTTCCAGTGTTGGAAAATGCAAGCAGCCTGCTTCTTTGAAGATTTTTACTTTCTTTTTCATTTTTTCTTTTGTGAGCTCCACTTTATAGCATTCTTTTTCTACCAAAATCTTGACTTATACTCATTTTCAATAATCTAAGGGATTAAAAGTGAAATATAATTATATCCAAAGTATAAAAAAATGAGAATGTATTTTCATAAAAAAATAAAGAGCTAATCTAAAAAAATTAAAAAAAAAAAAAGTTGGCCGGGCATGGTGGCTCATACCTATAATCCTAGCACTTTGGGAGGCCGAGGTGGGCGGATCACCTGAGGTCAGGAGTTCGAGACCAGTCTGGCCAACATGGTGAAACCCTCTCTCTACTAAAAATACAAAAATTACCCAGGCGTGGTGGCGCACACCTGTAATACCAGCTACTCAGGAGGCTGAGGAGAACTGCTAGAACCTGGGAGGCAGAGGTTGCAGTAAGCCGAGATCGTGCCACTGCACTCCAGCCTGGGCAACACAGTGTGACTCTGTCTCAAAAACAAACAAAACCAAAAAAAAAAAAAAGAAAAGCAAAAAACAAAAAAAAGAAGTAATTTGCAGATATAATTTCCAAAAAGTTACAAAAGTAATTGTAAAATATACAAAATTTTTATTAATGTTAAAGTTAAAATATGAATTATAATTAGTAAATACAATACATAAAGGCTAAAATTACATGAAAGCTAAAAATTTTACCACTGTATTTTTGAAATTAACTGCATCTTTTAAATATTTTCATCAAAATAAAACCATTCATAATTCTAACAGTCAACATCCATGTAGTTGCTAACACGGAGAGTTAGCAACTACAGGAGCTTTTTGTTTTTCTCTGTTATCAGTTTTTCTCACACAGGTTCTGTCTAGACCTGTGCTGTGCACTTACAGAAGCTGCAGCTCCATGTGGCTACTGAGTGGCTGCTAGCTAAATGTGGCTGTCCTCAGTGAGATGTACTGTAAGTGTAAAACACACCAGATTTTGAAGATTTAGTACAAAAAAAGAGCAAGACATCTTATAATTTCTTATATGCATTACATGTTGAAATATTTTGGATATATTTGGTTAAATAAAATATATTATTAATTTCACTTTTTTTTTTTGAGACAAAGTTTCGCTCTTGTTGCCCAGGCTGGAGTGCAATGGCGCGATCTTGGCTCACTGCAACCTCTGCCTCCTGGGTTCAAGCGATTCTCCTGCCTCAGTCTTCTGAGTAGCTGGGATTACAGGTGCCCACCACCATGCCTGGCTGATTTTTGTATTTTTAGTAGAGACAGGGCTCACCATGTTAGTCAGGCTGGTCTTGAACTCCTGACCTCAGATGTGATCCACTGTGGATGTGGCCACTAGAAAATGTCAAATTACATTTGTGGCTCTCACAGTATTTCTACTGGATGGTGCTGTTCTAGACCTACCCATACACAAACTGAAGAGTAACAGTCCCCATGTGCAACTTCTACAGACACTACACTAACTCATGAAAATCTTCAGAGTCCAGAGTGCTAACCATTACACCACAGAACCCTCTCTGTAACAATCTTCAGAACTAAATATTCCAACATGCAGAGAGGCAAGAAAATGGATACCTAGCACTACAGGGAAATAATACTTTGTGATGCAAGAATCTATTTCATCAGTTAATTAATTTGTCTTTTTCTCTTACCTAAGTCCTTCTGCTGTTCGAATCTTCCCCACACTCCAAAGCAATGTCCATTTCTGATGTCAACAGTGGCACTACCCACAAACTTTGAACTCAGGTGCCTTTTGCTTCCAAGACATAGAGCAACGGATGTGGAGATTTCCTTGATGGCTGAGTGGTGTTAGTCACAAGAGCAATGATTGGGGTTACTGGTCAAGCTGTGCCAATGTTGAGTGACAAAGGGGTCCTATGTGTTCTGGAATAAGTCAATTGTTTTGTGTGTTTATGGTATGAGGGTCCTTTAAAGTGCAGGGACCATGGCAGGAACCCCTCTTGCTTACGTGTAAAGCAGCAGTGGCTGGTGGAGAGGTGTTAATAAATTTCTGGAAAGCAATGTGGTGACATCTTTCAAAATGAACGTAAATCATGCATAAGGCAACCCCACTGCTATGACTCTAGCCCACAGACACAAAAGCACACTCAGTCAGGCTGTCAACAGCTGCCAACATAAGGTCAATCTTTTTTTTTTTTTTTTTTTTCTGAGACGGAGTCTCGCTTTGTTGCCCAGGCTAGAGTGCAATGGTGGGATCTTGGCTCACCGCAACCTCTGCCTCCCGGGTTCAAGCGATTCTCCTGCCTCAGCCTCCCGAGTAGCTGGGATTACAGGCACGCACCATCATGCCTGGCTAATTTTTTGTATCTTTAGTAGAGACGGGGTTTCACCGTGTTGCCTAGGCTGGTCTTGAACTCCTGAGCTGAGGCAATCCGTCCGCCTCGGCCTCCCAAAGTGCTGGGATTACAGGTGTGAGCCACCGCACCCGGCCAAGGCCAATCTTTTAAAACAGACTCTGAACCTGAGGAACACATCAGAATTACCTGGGAACCCTTTTTATAATATACCTGTCTGGCTTCTCCACCTCAGATCTATTTAAATCTGATTCTTCTGGCGGGGTGGCCTAAACATGCATATTTTGAAAAAGCTCCCTAGGTGATACAAGGTATACCTCTGATTAAATATCATTACTCTAAAAAGTATGCGGAGTCAATAGATTTAATTCCATTATAAACTCCCAGGCCATATTCACATTTTACTTTCAAATTTTGCTTTAAATAAGCAGTCCTTTATTTAGGATTTCAAAATCTGTAACAGAAAACTGTAATTCAGAAAATGACTAATTTGAATTTCTAAGAGTTGTGCTGATTTCTCTAAACTATGAAAGAGTACTTAAGTTTATAAGGTACACTAGATCACAGATAACCTGTTTAGTCTATTTAAGATAAACTGATCAAGAAGAATCCAGATAACTGATACATTAATACGTGAAATTCTTCTACTAAATCATGTCAGAGGCTGGGCTCGGTGGCTCATGCCTGTAATCCCTGCACTTTGGGAGGCCGAGGCAGGTGGATCACCTGACGTCAGGAGTTTGAGACCAGCCTGGCCAACACGGCGAAACCCCGCCTCTACTAAAAAAAAAAAAAAAAAAAAAAAAATGAGCCGGGTGCAGTGGTGTGTGCCTGTAGTCCCAGCTACTCAGGAGGCTGAGGCAGGAGAACCGCTTGAGCCTGGGAGGCGGAGGCTGCAGTGAGCCGAGATCGCACCACTGTACTCCAGTCTGGGCAACAGAGAGAGACTCCGTGTCAAACAAAACAAAACAAAACAAAACAAAACAAAACAAAACAAAAGAACTGTAGATAACCAGGTATTTGCCAAACTTTCATATTTTAATAACTCCCAAATAATGCGAGCCACAGGTAAGACTTACTTTTGACAATCTGTTTTCTGAGCACCTTTTTCATGCTTCTCTTTTTCCAGGCGCTTTTTGTTTCTCTCTGTCACCAGTTTTTCTCCAGGAATCTCTGGAACCCCCATAGCTGCTGCAAACTGCGCTGCGCCTTGGTCAGTCAGAAAGCAATGAGGTGTCTGAGCCAGAAAGAAAAGAGAAAATGATTGTTTTTTTGAAAATTTTAAATCTTTTTAACTGTTCCAACTGTGTTGAAATAATTACTTCTCTCTGGGTGCAAAGGATCAAAAATACAAATTCCAGTGGTTTGCTTTTCTGTATGCTGAAAAAAGCCTGACTGAGTTTTTGTATTAAAAAAGAAAAGACCCCAATTGATGGGACATTACTAGAGATGCGATTTACATATACGTTAAATTTAGAGAACTCAATCCATCTTTAACACATGCTATTAAATAGCTGGTCTGGTCAGTTTGTATGTGGTGTGAAGAAAATACAGGAAGATAAAGTAATCATTCACTGGTCAAGTGATTCCTAGTCAAAAATCATGGCTGATTTGAGAAACTCAAATACATTGCATCTGTTTTGTATATATTTTTAGGAGAACAGTGATCTCAAGTATTTCTGCACAGTTGGAGCCCTTATCACTGCAGTATAACAATAACAATTCATTAGGAAAAGGCTGCTTTAGTCACATATACCTTTTCCATGACAAGCCGAGCAAGTTTAATGGGATTTGCTATACACTGGACTGCGGACACTGCTCCTGCAGACAGGTCTTTTCCATCCATGATACTAGCATCCATTTCAACCTCACCATTTGTGTTCAAGACAGACCCACAACCTAAAACCAAAAAGAAGTTGAAAAGCAAGAATTAAGAATTTACGCCCCGTCCGGGAGGGAGGTGGGGGGGTCAGCCCCCCGCCCGGCCAGCCGCCCCATCCGGGAGGTGAGGGGCGCCTCTGCCCGGCTGCCCCTACTGGGAAGTGAGGAGCCCCTCTGCCCCGCCACCACCCTGTCTGGGAGGTGTACCCAACAGCTCATTGAGAACGGGCCATGATGACAATGGCGGTTTTGTGGAATAGAAAGGGGGGAAAGGTGGGGAAAAGATTGAGAAGTCGGATGGTTGCCGTGTCTGTGTAGAAGGAAGTAGACATGGGAGACTTTTCATCTTGTTCTGTACTAAGAAAAATTCTTCTGCCTTGGGATCCTGTTGATCTGTGACCTTACCCCCAACCCTGTGCTCTCTGAAACATGTGCTGTGTCCACTCAGGGTTGAATGGATTAAGGGCGGTGCAAGATGTGCTTTGTTAAACAAATGCTCGAAGGCAGCATGCTCGTTAAGAGTCATCACCACTCCCTAATCTCAAGTACCCAGGGACACAAACACTGCGGAAGGCCGCAGGGTCCTCTGCCTAGGAAAACCAGAGACCTTTGTTCACTTGTTTATCTGCTGACCTTCCCTCCACTATTGTCCTATGACCCTGCCAAATCCCCCTCTGCGAGAAACACCCAAGAATGATCAATGAAAAAAAAAAAAAAAAAGAATTTAGAAATGGCTCCAGATTTTCCTCTAATTTGCCCCCTTTAATCCATCCTCTATTCCATTGCCAGAGGAACATTTTTTTTCAAGAGAGAAATCTTGGCCGGGCACAGCGGCTTATGCCTGTAATTCCAGCACTTTGGGAGGCCGAGGCGGGCAGATCATGAGGTCAGGAGATCGAGATCATCCTGGCTAACATGTGAAACCCCGTCTCTACTAAAAATCCAAAAAATTAGCCAGGCATGGTGGCCCGCACCTGTAGTCACAGCTACTCGGGAGGCTGAGGCAGGAAAATTGCTTGAACTTGGGAGGCGGAGGTTGCCGTGAGCCGAGATTGCACCACTGCACTCCAGCCTGGGCGACAGAGCGAGACTTCATCTCAAAAAAAAAAGAGAGAAATCTTGACTTGGAGGCTGTGTGTGGTGGCTCACGCCTGTAATCCCAGCACTTTGGGAGGCCGAGGCGGATCACTCGAGGTCAGAAGTTTGAGACCAGCTTGGCCAACATGGTGAAACCCTGTCTCTACTAAAAATATAAAAACTAGCCAGGCGTGGTGGTGCGTGCCTGTAATCCCAGCTACTTGGGAGGCTGAGGCAGGAGAATCACTTGAACCCGGGAGGCGGAGGTTGCCATGAGCCAAGGGTGACAGAGTGAGACTCCGTTTCAAAAAAAAAAATAAAAGAAATCTGACTTGGCACTCCATGACCTACAAAATAAAAAAGTACAAAGCCCTTCCTAACCTGGCCTTTGACCTGCTTTTCCAGCTTCATTTTCTTTCCTTGGCTATATTTTACTGAAATAAGGTTTCCCTGAAGATAGTAGTCCCCTTATCCACAGCCTTGCTTCTGAGGTTTCAGTTATCCTCAGTCAACCATGGCCCCAAATTATTAAATGGAAAATTCCAGAAATAAACACTTCTAGCATCATCCCACTCTGTCCTTCAGAGGGACGTGATTCCTCCCTTTCTCCAGCATATCCACACTGTATAGGTTACCTGCCTGTTAGTCACTTAGCAGCCGTCTCGAATACCAAGCAGATCAGCTGCAGTAGCACCTCTCAGTGCTTGTGTTCAAGAAACCCTTATTTTACTTAATAATGGTCTCGAAGCACAAGAGTAGTGATGCTGGCATACTGTTATAATTGTTCTCTTTTATTATCAGTTATTGTTATTAATTTCTTACTGCGGCTAATTAATATATTAAACTTTATCATATGTATGTATGAAAAAAAAACCAGCCGATATAAGGTTGAGTACCATTGGTGGTTTCAGGCACTCACTGGGGGTTTGAAACACATCCCCCATAGATAACGGAGGGCTACTGTATACTAGGAGCCCACGTGTCTCTGTGCCTTTGCACATGCTGTTGTTTTTACCACTAGCACCCTTTCTCTATATTTCTCTGCCCAGATAATGCCTACAAATCTAGCTATGCTTCTCAATCTCTTTGTGCTTGTTTCTTCATGTGTAAAATGGGTAAGAACATCAACCCATTTAATCCTTACAACCATCAATGAGGTAGGTATTGCATATTAAACACTTAGAATAATGTCTAGCATGTGTAGGCAAACAGTAAGTGTTTGCTGCCCTGATTACATGCCAGTTTAACAGGTGGGGAAACCAGAAAAGCAACTTTCCCAATATCAAATGTCTTCTGGGTAAAGAGCAAGGAATCAAATCCAGGTGTGTGGCTTAGACATCTACTTTCTTCTGCCAAAGAAGCTCACATCTTTTCCATCTGGCAATAACAAGGCATCCCTTTACACTGATCAGCGCAGGTTAGAGAAGACCTGATAAAAGATTTATATAAATAATATCCAAAGTCTTAAAACATAATATGCAAAATGTCTAGAATACAACAGAAAGTCACTCATCATATGAAGAACCAAGAACATCTCAACCTAAGGAAAAAGAATTAACAGATGACAATACCAAGATGACACAGATGTTGGAATTACCTGACAGGAATTTTAAAGCAGCCATTGGCCAGGCATGGTGGCTCATACCTGTGCTTTGTAATCCCAGCACTTTGGGAGGCTGAGGCAAGAGGATCTCTTGAGGCCTAGTTCAAGACCAACCTGGACAACACAGCAAGACCCCATCTCTTAAAAAAAAATTAGCTGGGCATAGTAGCACACACCCAAAGGCCTAGCTACTTGGGAGGCTGAGGCAAGAGGATCACTTGAGCCAGGGGTTTGAGGTTGCAGTAAGCTGTGATCACACCACCGTACTCCAGCCTGGGTGACAGACTAAGACCCTGTCCCTTTAAAAAAAAAAAAAAAAGCATCATAAAAATGCTTCAATGAACTTGAAATAACTAAAAAAATTATAAAGTTTCAGCAAAGAAATATAAGATGTAAAGAAAAACCAAATGGAAGTTAGAGCTGAAAAATATAATAATCAAAATAAGAAATCTCAATGGATGGGCTTAACAGCAGAACAGACAAGACAGAAGAATTACTGGACTAAGAAATCACTCAGTCTGAACAACAGAACAGGGCCTGGAAAAAACCAAAATGAACAGAGCCCAGCCAACCAGTGGGACCATAACAAAAGAGCTAACATTCAAGTCATCAGACTCCTAGATGGGAGGAGAAAATGGGTGGGAATGAGAAGTATTCAAAAAAATAATGCCTGAAAATTCCTTGTATTTGGCAAAAAGCATAAATCTACCAATTTAAGAAGGTGAGCAAGCCCTAAATAGGACTAAACACAAAGACATTCACACTAAGACACATCATAACCAAACCACCGCAAACTAAAGACAAAAAAACATTGAAAGTAGCAAGAGAGAAATGACACCTTACCTATAGGGGAGAAACCAGTTTTAATGACAAAGAATTTGTCACCAGAAACCACGGAGGCCAGAAGGAAGAAGAACAGCATTTTTCAAGTGCTGAAGAAAAGAACTATAAATTCAGAATTCTTTATTCCGCAAATATCCTTCAGGAATGAAGGAGAAACCAAGATACTCTCAGATTGTATTAGGAAGGTGCCAAAAAGGGGTAGGTTTCATTCTGAGGCTGCTGCTTTTTCTTTTTTTTAGACACAGTTTCACTCCGTCGCCCAGGCTGGAGTGCCGTGGTGTGATCTCGGCTCACTGCAACATCTGCCTCCTGGGTTGAAGTGATTCTTGTGCCTCAGCTTCCTGAGTAGCTGGGATTACAGGTGCGCCACCATACCCGGCTAATTTTTATATTTTTAGTAGAGACAGGTTTTCACCATGTTGGTCAGGCTGGTCTCAAACTCCTGACCTCAAGTGATCCACCCACCTCGGCCTCCCAAAGTGTTGGGATTACAGGCGTGAGCCACCGTGCCCAGCCTTGAGGCTTCCTCTCTTGGCTTGTAGGTGGTTACTATCTCCCTGTGTGCTCACTGCTCCATGACCTCTTCTTGTGCCCATGAGAGTGGGCAAGCTCTCTGGTGTCTCCTATAAGGACACTAATCCTATTGGTTCAGGACTCCATCCTTATGACCTCACTTAATTTTAATTACTTCCTTGGAGGCCCCATCTCCAAACACAGCCAGATTAGGGCTTCAACACTTAAATTTTGAGGGGGACATAAACATTCAGTCCATAACACAGATAAGGGCAAATGGAAACAATTTGTTGCCAGCAGGCCTAACCTAAAAGAATGGCTAAAAGAAGTTCTTGGCTGGGTGAGGTGGCTCATGCCTGTAATCTCAGCACTTTGGAGGCCAAGGTAAGAGAAGTGCTTGAGCCCATGAGTTTGAGACGACCATGGGCAACACAGGGAGACCCTGTCTCTACAAAACAATAAAAAATTAGCTGGGTGTGGTGGTGCTCACCTGCAGTTCCAGCTTTACTCGGGAGGCTGAGGTGGGAGGATCACTTGAGCCTAGGAAGTCAAGGCTGCAAAGCTCTGATTGTGCCACTGCACTCCAGTCTGGGTGTCAGAGTAAAATTAATACCTTGTCCCCACCCCCACCAAAAAAAACGATTTTTTTTTTTTTTGGAGATGAGTTTCACCCTTGTCGCCTAGGCTGGAGTGCAGTGACACGATCTCTACTCACTGCAACCTCCGCCTCCCAGGTTCAAGTGATTCTCCTGCCTCAGCTTCCTGAGCAGCTGGGATTACAGGCGCCCGCCACCACGCCCAGCTAATTTTTGTATTTTTAGTAGGGACGGCGTTTCACCATGTTGGCCAGGCTGGTCTCGAACTCCTGACTTCAGGTGATCCACCTGTCTCGGCCTCCCAAAGTGCTGGGATTACATGCTTGAGCCACCAGGCTCAGCCAGAAAGGAATCTTGGAACATTGGGAAGGAAGAAAGAATAAAGAAAGGAGAAAAAATTGGTAAATATAATAGACTTTCCTTCTCCTCTTGAATTTTCCAAATTATGTTTGCCAGTTAAAGCAAAATGGTAACATTGTCTGAAGTGGTTCTCAATGCACATAGTGGAAATATTTAAGACAATTATATGATCAGCAGGGGAGGGTAAAGGGACCGTAAAGAAAGGTAAGGTCTCTAGGGTCTGCTTAAATGGTAAAATGTTAACATTTTTAGACTGTGATAAGTTACATGTGTTTATCCATGTACAGCATAATATCTAGAGCAAATAGCTAAAAAATCTATATAAAGAGATACACTCAAAAATACTACAGCTAAAACAAAATGAAATTCTAAAAAATGCTCAAACAACCCATAGGAAGGCAAGAAAAAGAAAGCAAAAATAACAAACAGAACACTAGACATACAATAGCAGGTTTAAATCTCAACATATCAGTAATTATATAACATGTAAATCTTCTAAATATACTAATTAGAAGACAGATATAGGCAAAGTGGATAATTTTATTTTTCTTTTTTGAGACAGAGTCTTGCTCTGTTGCCCAGGCTGGAGTGCAGTGGTATGATCTTGGCTCACTGCAACCTACGTCTCATGGGTTCAAGCAATTCTCCTGCCTCAGCCTCCTGAGTAGCTGGGACTATAGGTATGTGCCACCACGCCCGGCTAATTTTTGTATTTTTAGTAGAGATGAGGTTTCACCATGTTGGCCAGGCTGGTTTTGAACTCCTGGCCTCAAGTGATCCATCTGCCTTGGCCTCCCAAAGTGCTGGCATTACAGGCGTGAGCCACTGTGCCTGGCCTGGATAAAAAATTTGACCAAACTATATGGGGTCTACCATTTGCCCCAGAAATCACATTCCTGGGCATTTATCCCAGAGGTATGGACATTTATGTTCATATAAAAACGTGTTCATGAATGTTCATAGCAGCTTTATTTGTAATAGTCCCAAACTAGAAACAACCAAAATATCCTTTCCCGGGTGAATGTTTAAATAAACTGTGGTACAACTATACTAGAGAATACTACTCAGCAATAAAGAAATAAATGATATGGGCAACAACTTAGATGGATCTCAGGGGCAAAAATGCTGAATGAGAAAAGCCATTTCCAGAAGGTCACATACTGTATGATTCCGTCAGAGACGTTTGAACCAGAGCAACTGCATCTTGAATAGGAGCTGAGTAAAATAAGGCTGAAACCTGCTGGGCGGCAGGCATTCCCAGATGGTTAAGGCATTCTAAGTCACAGGATGAGACACAAGGTCAGCACAAGATACAGGTCGTAAAGACCTTGCTGATAAAACAGGTTACAGTAAAGAAGCCAGCCAAACCCCACCAAACCCAAGATGGCCACGAGAGTGACCTCTGGTCGTCCTCACTGCTCCACTCCCACCGTGACAGCTTACAAACGCCATGACAACGTCAGGAAGTTCCCCTATGTGGTCTAAAAAGGGGAGGCATGAATAATCCACCCCTTGTTTAGCAGATCATCAAGAAATAACCATAAAAATGGGCAACCAGTAGCCCTCGGGGCTGCTCTATGGAGTAGCCATGCTTTATTCCTTTACTTTCCTAATAAACTTGCTTTCATTTTACTCTACGGACTCGTCCTGAAGTCCTTCTTGCGTGAGATCCAAGAACCTTCTCTTGGGGTCTGGATCGGGACCCGTCTGGTAACAACTCCATTTACAGAACATTCTCAAAATAATAGTAATAAGAAAGAGATAGTGATTGCTAGTTGTTAGGGAGGATGTCATACTGTGATTTACAAGGAGAAACACATAGAGCTGTCCCTCAGTATCCGTGGGGAATTGGATGTGGGACCCCTGGAAACATTGAAACTGCCTTTGCAAAAATTATTTCAGTGAGAAAATTATGGCAGTGAAAGAGATCTGAGCTAACATACCACCCCATCTTGCCTTTCCCTTAATTATTCCTGGGCTATTGGGCAGAGCTAACTTTGAGAGACATTTAGGCTATAGTTAAAAGGATAACAGGCCTTGCCCCAAACGCAACTGCTTTTGTAAAGTGAATGAAAGTTCATCAAGGCTGGGCACGGTGGCTCATGCCGGTAATCCCAGCACTCTGGGAGGCTGAGGTGAGAGGATCACGAGGTCAGGAGTTCGAGACCAGCCTGGCCAACATGGTGAAACCCCGTCTCTACTAAAAATACAAAAATTAGTTGGGTGTGGTGGTGCATGCCTGTAATCCCAGCGACTCAGGAGGCTGAGGCAGGAGAATCACTTGAACCTAGGAGGTGGAGGTTGCAGTGAGCCGAGATCGTGCCACTGCACTCCAGCCTGGGCGACAGAGTGAGACTCCATCTCAAAAAACAAAAAAAAACCACAAAAAACCAAAAAAGTTCATCAAGCTGGGGGAGAAGAGGAACCTGATTCTAATGAGGTGTAGACACAGACTGCCAACCATTCCTTTGGGTACCACCACTACTGCAGATTGGCCTTTTGCGATATCTTTTCAGATTTTTATCCATGTCTGACATGCATGGCTCCACCTGGACCTGCCAACCATCTCCCCTGTGGCCTCGCCCAGAAACAATTCAGTGCACAGGAGGACAGTTTTAACCCTTTTACATTTCTTTTTTTTTTTCTTTGAGGAGGAGTCTCGCTCTGTCACCCAGGCTGGAGTGCAGTGGCGCGATCTTGGCTCACTGCAACCTCCATCTCCCAGGTTCAAGTGATTCTCCTGCCTCAGCCTCCTGAGTAGCTGGGATTACTGGCGTGAGACACCACGCCCAGCTAATTTTTGTATTTTTAGTAGAGACGGGGTTTCGCATGTTGGCCAGGCTGGTCTCGATCTCCTGACCTCAGGTGATCCACCTGCCTCGGCCTCCCAAAGTGCTGGGATTACAGGCGTGAGTCACCACGCCCGGCCATGACCCCCTTTCATTTCATCTCTGCCCCAATCAGCAGCAAGCCTTGCCAGTCGCACCCCTTTCCCTAAACTGCTTTTGAAAAACCCCTAACCCAGGAGCTTTGGAAGAGATGATGAGTACTAACTCCATCTCCCACATGGTGTGGCTGGCCATGTGGTCTATTAAATTTTTTCCTTACTACAATGCCACGATCTTTATTTGTGTAGCAGGCAAGAAAAACCCCTTGGGCAGTTACAATATCAAAATCCATGGATGCTCAAGTCCTCTACGTGAAATGGCATAGTATTTGCATATAATCGATGCACATCCTCCTGTATACTTTAAATCATCTCTAAATCACTTATGATACCTGATACAATGTCTACATCACTTATGATACCTGATACAATGTCTACCATATCAGTTTATTAGTGTGGATTCAATGTAGTACTTCGTGTGAGGCAAGTTTTGCTTTTTGGAACTTAAAATTTTGCAAAGGCAATTTTTTTATTTTTTAGATGGAGCCTCATTCTGTCGCCCAGGCTGGAGTGCAGTGGGGTGATCTTGGCTCACTACAACCTCTGCCTCCTGGGTTCAAGCAATTCTCCTGTCTCAGCCTCCCAAGTAGCTGGGACTACAGGAGCCACCATGCCCGGCTAATTTTTGTATTTTTAGTTTCACCATATTGGTCAGGCTGGTCTTGAACTCCTGACCTCATGTGACCCACCCACCTTAGCCTCCCAAAGTGCTGAGATTACGGGCATGAGCCAACACACCTGGCTTGCAAAGGCAGTCTTACACGGTTTTTTTTTTCCCCAAATATTTTCAACCGAAGATTGGGTAAATTCACAGATGTAGAAGGCCTGGACACAAAGTTTGGTCTTCCTGTTTCCTGACACACAGCTCCTAAAGTACTTGGAAGCGCCAAAGTGGTAAGTTATCTTTTTGTATGCCAATGAGATGACTGATGGTTAGGGGCTAGATAGCCTCAAAATGGGGAGCTGGTTGCCAGGGAACCAATCGTGTAATCAGAGGGCCTGAACTTTCAGTCTCACCCCTCTATCTCCGAGGAAGGGGAGAGAGACTGAAGGGTTAGTTGATAACCAATGGCCAACGATTTAATCAATTGTGCCTATGCCATGAAATGTCAACTAGAGAAAAAAAAATTGAGCTTTTAAATAATTAGTTTTATTTAGAAATCTTACTGAGGACTATAGACTGATGACTATAGTCCAGAGGGGTCCTTCAGAGAGGTGCTGTCAAACTGCTTCAAAACTGTGTCTCCCCTTAGAGCTGATATACAGGTTGTGGAGGGTTAGTACATGCTCAAAGGTTACATGAGACTTCCTCAGAAGTTACATTAAAACAGAATCACATCAAAGTTTGGGTGCAAAAGTGCATCTGGCTATAGATGACAGAGGTATGCATAATCGCTAACCTTGTCAGACGTTATTTTTCTTTTTTTTTTTTTTTGAGACGGAGTCTCACTGTCGCCCCAGGCTGGAGTGCAGTGGTGCCATCTCAGCTCACTGCAACCTCTGTCTCTCAGGTTCAAGTGATTCTCGTGCCTCAGGCTCCCAGGTAGCTGGGATTACAGGCACCCACCACCATGCGAGGCTAATTTTTGTAGTTTTAGTAGAGATGGGGTTTCACCATGTTGCTCAGGCAGGTCTCGAACTCCTGACCTCAGGTGATCTGCCTGCCTCGGCCTCCCAAAGTGCTGGGATTACAGGTGTGAGTCACTGCGCCTGACCCAGATGTTATCTTAAGTGTAGGAAAAGGCAAGACTAGGATCATTTATCGTTTAAGACATACAGTGACTCGGGCAAGAGACATGGGGGCTGTGTGCTCTATCCAATTTTGTCTTCAAATCATTCTTCCAGAAAGCGGCACATCTGCACATCGTCACAGAATCAGGGGCTTCATGAAATGATGTTGGCATGAAGAAATTAGCAAACATGGCTTCTTACGTTTGTTACTCAGTCTCACAGAAGCCTCCATAAAAACCTGTAAGGGCTGATGATGGGAGAGCTTTTGGATTGCTAGGTATGTGAAGGTGCCAGGAGGGTGGTGTGCTGAAGAGGGCAGGGAAGGTCCACACCCCTTCCCCCATACCTTGCCCTATGCATCTCTTCATCTCCCTGTCTGTATCCTCCATTATATCCATTATTCATATAATAAACTGGTAAATATATTTCTCTGAGTTCTGTGAGCTACCCTAGCAAATTAACTGAATTCGAGGAGGGAGTCATGGGAACCCCAATTTATAGCTGGTTGGTCGGAAGTAGAAGTGACAAGCTACTACTCAAGATTGGCATCTGAAGTGGGAAGCAGTCTTACGGGACTGAGCCCTGAACCTGTGGGATTGGACTCTGACCCCAGAGAGGCAGCGTCAGAACTGAACTGACCTCACCCTATGCAACTCTTCATCTGTATCCTTTATCATAGGAGTCCCCAACCCCCAGGTACTGGTACTGGTCTGTGGCCTGTTAGGAACTGGGCCCCACAGCAGGAGGTGAGTGGCAGGCGCATGAGCATTACTACCTGAGCTCCGCCTCCTGTCAGATCAGCAGCAGCATTAGATTCTCATAGGAGTGTGAACCCTGTTGTGAACTGTGCCTGCGAGAGTCTCTGTGGAAACACTGTCTTCCATGAAACTGGTCCCTGGTGCCAAAAAGGTTGGGGACCACGGCTTTATCATATTCTTTATAATAAATTGGTAAACATAAATGTTTTCCAGAGTTCTATGAGCCATCATAGTAAATTATCAAGCCTGAGGAGGGGGTCATGGTAACCCTTGATTTGTAGCCACATTGGACAGAAGTGTGCATAACCAGGGGACTTGCAATATGCCTTTTCAACAATTGGTGCTGGGCCACGGGTGGTGGCTCACGTCTGTTATCCCAGTACTTTGGGAGGCTGAGGCTGGTGGATCACTTGAGGTCAGGAGTTCAAGGCCAGTCTGGCCAACATGGTGAAACCTTGTCTCCCCTAAAAATACAAAAATTAGCCAGGCATGGTGGTGGGCGCCTGTAATCCCAGCTACTCGGGAGGCTGAGGCAGGAGAATTACTTGTACTCGGGAGGTGGAGGTTGCAGTGAGCCAAGATCACGCCACTGCACTCCAGGAAAAAAAGCAAAAAACAAAAAACAACCCTGAGTTCCTCAAAAATCTAAGAATACAGCTACCATGTGATACAGCAATCCCACTGCCGGCTACACACCCAAGAGAAAGGAAATCAGTATATGGAGGAGTTATTTGCACTCCTTGCTTGCTGCAGCATTGTTCACAATAGCCAAGATTCGGAAGCTACCTAGATGTTCATCAACAGATGAATAAAGAAATGATACATATACACAATGGAGTACTACTCAGCCATAAAAAAGAATGAGATTCTGTCATTTGCAACAACATGGATGGAACTGGAGGTCATTATGGTAAGTGAAATAAGTCAGGCACAAAAAGAAAACCTTCACATGTTCTCACTTATTTGTGGGAGCTAGAAGTCAAAGCAATTGAACTCATGAAGATAGAGAGTAAAAAGATGGTTAGCAGAGGCTGGGAGATAGTGGGGGTGGGGCAGAAGTGGGGATAAGTAATGGGTACAAAAAATAGAATGAATATGAGTTAGTATTTGATAGCACAACAGTGACTATAGTCGATAATTTAGCTATACATCTTAAAATAACTAAAAGAATATAATTGTTTATAACACAAAGGATAAATGCTTGAAGGGATGAATATCCCATTTACCCTGATTATTATGCATTGCATGTCTGTATCACAATATCTCACGTACTCCCATAAGTAAATACACCTACTATGTAGCCACAAAAAAAAAAAACCAAAAATGGAATCTTGATATATACCTTGCATCGTATACAAAAATTTATTCAAAGTGAATCACAGACCTAAAACTTCTAGAAGACAACACAAGAAAAATGTTTGCAATGCTGGGTTAGGCAAATATTAAGATACAACACAAAAAGCATGACTGGTTTAAAAAAAAACTGATAAACTGGACTTCTGCAAAGTTGAGAACTTCTGCTTTTTGCAATAAAATATTGAGAAAGAAAAGACAAACCACAGACTGAAAGAAAATATCTGCTGATTTTTCTGCATTGACACATCTGATAAAAGCTATATCTAGAATATATAAACAACTCTTAAAACTCAATAGTAAGAAACAACACCAACAAAAAAATCAGCAAGACTTTGATACTTCACTGAAGAAATATGAACGACAGGCCAAGCGCAGTGGCTCACACCTGTAATCCCAGCCCTTTAGGAGGCTGAGGTGTGTGGATCACGAGGTCAGGAGTTCAAGATCAGCCTGGCCAACATGATGAAACCCCATGTCTACTAAAAATACAAAAATTAGCTGGGTGTGGGGTCACATGCCCTGTAATCCTAGCTACTCAGGAGGTGGAGGTTGCGGTGAGCTGAGATCGCGCCATTTCTCTCCAGCCTGGGCAGCAAGAGTGAGACTCCATCTCAAAAAGAAAAAAAAAAAAAAAAAAAAAGAAATGCATGACAAAAAAGCACATGAAAAGATGTTAAATATCACTTCCCATTTAGGGAAATGCAAATCAACATCGTAAGATTCCATTATATGCCTACTAGAATGGCCAAAATAAAAAATGCTGACACTCACTAGTTAGTGCTGGTGAAGATGTGGATTAAGTGGAACTTTTTTTTTTTTTTTTTTTTTGTGGAGCTGGAGTCTTGCTTTGTTGCCCAGACTGGAGTGCAGTGGCGCCATCTTGGCTCACTACAACCTCTGCCTCCCAGGTTCAAGCGATTCTCCTGCCTCAGCATCCCGAGTGGCTGGGACTACAGGCGTGTGCCACCATGCCTGGCTAATTTTTGTATTTTTGGTAGAGACAGGGTTTCACTATGTTGGCCAGGCTGGTCTCAAACCCCTGACCTTGTGATCCACCCATGTCGGCCTCCCAAAGTGCTGGGATTACAGGCATGAGCTGCGCCCAGCCTGTAAGTGGAACTTTCATACATTGCTAGTGGGAATGTTAAAGTTTGGCAGTTCCTTTTTTTTTTTTTTTTTTTGAGACAGGGTCTCACTCTGTCACCCAGGCTGGAGTGCAGTGGCACGATCTCAGCTCACTGCGACCTCTACCTCCCAGGTTCAAGAGATTCTCCTGCCTCAGCTTCCCGAGCAGCTGGGACCACAGGTGCCCACCACTGCACTTGGCTAATTTTTGTATTTTTAGCAGAGACAGGGTTTCACCATGTTGGCCAGGCTGGTCTTGAACTTCTGACCTCAGGTAATCCGCCTGCCTCGGCCTCCCAAAGTGCTGGGATTATAGGAGTGAGCCACCGCGCCCGGCCAGTAGTTTCTACTGAAGTTAAATTCTTGCCATAAGCCAGCAGTCCCACTCCCAGGTACTCACCTAAGGGAGATAAAAACTTATGTTCACATAAACACCCATATGCAAATGTTTACAGTGATTTTATTTATAATGGCCCCAAATGGAACATGTCCTTTAGCTATTACATGGTTAAACCAACTGTGGTATATTCATACAATGGAATACTACTCAATAAAAAGGGAAAAACTACTGATATCCACGTCTACACGGGTAACACTTTAATGTATTATGTTAACCAAAGAATCCAGACTAAGGCTACACATTGTGTGATTCCATTTATGACTTTTTTTTTTTTTGGAGACAGAGTCTCTCTTTGCTGCTCAGGCAGGAGTGCAGTGGCATAATCTTGAGCCACTGCAACCTCCCCCTTCTGGGTTCAAGTGATTCTCATGCCTCAGCCTCCTGAGTAGCTGGGATTGCCAGGTGTGCCATACCATGCCTGGCTAAGTTTTGTATATTTAGCAGAGACAGCATTTTGCCATATTGGACAGGCTGCTCTTGAACTCCTAGTCTCAAATGATCCACCCGCCTCGGCCTCCAAAAGTGCTGCCATTTATGTGTAAAAAGTGAAGTGGAGGTTCCTCTTCAAAGACTTTGCTCCCTAATTAGGAATAAACAGTAACTTCTCTTAGAAGCAAAATTTATTCAAAGACCTGTGCTAACATTCTTAAATATCTGCTAGCCATAATAAACAAATCACTGTACTTTACGTTCTTAGCTCCCACAATTTAGCCTAAATATTTGCCCTGGAAGGCTTATACTGGTCCAAGCAAGCATTAGGTCACAGCCTGTTCCTCTTCCTTATTTAAAGGTGTTTTTACCTATCTCAGCATCCCACAAGTTACTTCCTCCTTCCTTTGTTCTCCTCTACCTTTGCCTCTTTTAAAAAATTCTAAGTTGCGAGCCAATCGAAACAAATAGAAAATGTAAGGTCCCGTTTCAGCCAATAGAAACCGGACACAGCAGTAGGGTAAATGCGTCAGGTTATAAATAACCCTGTCTCCTTTGTTCAGTATACTCTTGGGACAAAACTGCTGACAAGTGTACCCTTTCAACAAAAAATAAAAACGGCCTTACTAAATAAAATAAATTAATGTTCGAATACTATTTCTTTACAGCACCAAAAAACAAACATTTCAAACATACGACATCCTGGAAATGACAAAACTACAGGAATAGTAAACAGATTAGTTGTTGCCAGGGGCTGGGAGTGAATGGAGGCGTGGACTCAAAGGGATGTGGGAGAGTAATGTAACTGGTTTATATCTTGATTGTGGTGGCAGTTACATGACTATATGTCTCTGTCATGGAACTGTATACTAAAAAGGGGATCTTACTATATGCAAATTATACCAACAAACCAACACCAAACCCATTAAAATTGTATGGTATTAGGCTAGTAGATTCTAAACCTGGTTGTATCTCAGAATCACCTGGGAATCTTCAAAACAAAGAAATGAATACCAATTCCTAGACCCCACTACAGATTTTTACCTTATTGATTCTACATTGTAAGTCCAGAAAGAGACTGGATAAATGAAAAAAATCCTGTTTTCAGCCGGGCGTGGTGGCTCACACCTGTAATCCCAGCACTTTGGGAGGCTGAGGTGGGCGGATCATGAAGTCAGGAGATCCAAGACCATCCTGGCTAACACAGTGAAACCCCGTCTCTACTAAAAATACTAAAAATTAGCTGGTCCTGGTGGTGGGTGCCTATAGTCCCAGCTACTCGAGAGGCTGAGGCAGGAGAATCGCTTGAACCTGAGAGGTGGAGCTTGCAGTGAGCCGAAACTGTGCCACTGCACTCCAGCCTGGGTGACAGAGCGAGACTCAGTCTCAAAAAAAAAAAAAAAAAAAATCCTGTTATCTCAAAGATTCTCTAATAGCTTGTAAATTGAATTGTAGAGAGAATATCTCAAGTGCTGTGTAAATATCGCTGAGCTCCAGTGAAAGCAAATGGTCATTTGGTTGCCAATCTAAGTAAGTTTTTAAAGAATATTCCTAGCATTCAAATTTAAAAGTTCAGTCTTTACAGTGTTGGTATCTAAAAATCAACCACTTTTCAATTTGACATAAAGTCAAATGCACACTGAAACAGGAATAGAATGTAAATAAACATAATGTTTTTACAAATGTTCAGGCAAGTTGTGTCATGAATGCTAATTACTGCCACTGAACTCAATACCTACTGGGAGTCAGCTTTTTGTATGAAGTTCCCAAACAGTTATTTATTCTAGAGGATTATAGCAGAGGATGCTGGGAATATTGCTTGCCGGTAGTGACCTTGGCTGGGAAAAGCCAAGGTCCACAGTACGCTGTTAAAAGTCCCACCTTTCCCCCCATAATCTTTGCTTTCCCTCTTTTCAGCTCTACTCTTTTCTTCCTCAATATGCGGAATAGAGGACATTTGAAAGATGAGAGGGCAGACGTTGAGAAGGAAGGCCTCTGGATACAGAGCAAAAAAATGAGAACTAGCTGCTCCAATTCCCTAATCTGTGCTTCCCAATGCATGCAGATGACAAATTGTTAGAATAAGAGATGGTCGGAAACCAGAATGACCCATTTCAAATGAAGGTCCTGTGTAAATAAGTGAGGGTTTGACAGCCCAGGGGGTGCTGAGTGCTAAGAAGCGTAAGGTTTAACAAGTCACCCACAGAAAGAGCTGGCTGCTCCCTCTGCTGGCAAAGTCAGTGCCTATCTGGTAAATTCTGGCTCTACAAATGGAGCCATGAAAGCACACTATTAGGTCTCATTTTAAATTCAGATGAACTTAATTTTATTTTCAGAGACAGAGTCTCACTCTGTCACCCAGGCTGGAGTGCAGTGGCGCAGTCTTGGCTCATTGCAGCCTTGACCTCCTGGGGCTCAAGGAATCTTCCTACCTCAGCTTCCTGAGTAGCGGCGGCTACAGGCTTGTGCCACCACGCTCAGCTGATTTTTGTATTTTTTTTTTTTTGTAGAGATGGGGTTTTGCCATGTTGCCTAGCCTGGCATTGAACTCCTGAGCTCAAGTGATCCGCCCACCTCAGCTTTCCAAAGTGCTGGGATTACAGGCGTGAGCCACTGCACCGGTCTCAGGAAGAATTACACAATTTTTCACAAGTGTTAAAGAGTGCTGCGTAAAGGGGACAGAACAAGAGTAAATATTTGATGATTAATTAAGATTTCCTGAAATTCTTTTCCCTGACAGATGGGTGGTATAATTCCAGGAAGTATTTCAATCTCTAGCCTAGATCTTAGGTTTGCCATTTTAAAACAAAGAGATGAATGTCTTCCACCAAGTTAATCTGTTTATGCCTTAGTCTGATCTGAGAAATGAGGATAATAATTATGCCTAACTTATACCTAACTCATTTAACTCAACTGAGTTTAAGTGATTAACTCATAAGTGAATCATTTAATGTTCATTATGAGTTAACTTGAGTTAGTTTAACACAAGTTAACCAACTTAAGAGAGTTACATGATCAACTCATTTAATGTTCAGATTCAATAAATCAAGCAAATTTCTTAGACCACTGCCTGATACATGGTAGATACTCATATTAGCTATAATGATTAGTATTCCAAAAAAGGGTGGACTGAGTGAAAGAAGCGAAACACAAAGGAATACACTCTGCACTCCAAAGTTAACCTGAAAACTTTGGAACCTTGTCGGGGGAGGTAGGACATGCCTCATTATTCCCTCCTCCCTTTTGGAATTCAGGCCCAGCTGACCAGCACTAACATTAAAACAGATCTTAAGACTGACAAAGCAGACTTTGTAGCAATAAGATACCAAATTCCAGCGGGACTCTAGTATGACATCACATGACAGATAGCAAGCCCTGAAAGTGAAGTATTTTACCCCAAATTACGTTTCTTCGCCATATCTTGAAATAGTCCTGCAAAGCTAAAGCTATCTCTTGTGGGGAAAATCTACATTCTGAAGAGAATCCCCTTCCTTTTCTAGGCCTTTTTCCTGATTCAGGAGAGAATCAACTCTGATAAGAAACATTTACAATTTATTCTCTCAATAGACTGCTACCTGGAGACTTCCTCTGCCTAAGGGAAATCTTGGTCTCCTCAACCTCTTATCTTAATGCAGACATTCCCTTCTTTTTTCAGTTTTTTTTTTTTTTTTTGAGATAGTCTCGCTCTGTCGCCCAGGCTGGAGTGATCTCGGCTCACTGCAACCTCTGCCTCTCAGGTTCAAGCTATTCTCCTGCCTCGGCCTCCCGAGTAGCTGGGGTTACAGGCTCCTAGCACCACGCCTGGCTTTTTTTTTTTTTCTTTTGTATTTTTAGTAGAGGTGGCTTTTCACCTGTTAGCCAGGCTGGTCTCGAACTCCTGACCTCAGGTGATCCACCCGCCTTGGCCTCCCAAAGTGCTGGGATTACAGGCGTGAGCCACCGTGCTAAACCGCCTTCTATTAATTCTATCTGCAGCCACAAGTCCTTATATAATCCAGACATTCCCTTCTGTGGATTCCAGGTGTTTGGACAAAACTTTAAATCAATTGTTCATCAGAAAATCTTTGAATCTTAACTATGACCTGGAAACCACTCCCCCTCCCCCAGTAGTCTCACCTCTCCAGATGGAACCAATGTATGTCTTGTATGTACTGATTGACATCTTATGTCTCTCCAGAAGCACACATTCTCAGGATTTCCCAAGAGCTGTATCAGAGGCCATTGGTCACTCATATTTGCCTCAGTATAAATCTCTACAAATATTTTAGCGTTTGACTCTTTTCAGCACAGGTAGAAAAATTAAATATTGTTTCTTTTTTACATACTTAGTTTCACCCCAAAGCTCATTAGATTCCCTAACACTATGTAGGTTCTATTTATTCTGAAGAAGGAGCTTGACCTGACTCACATTATTTACTAGCTGAAAGGCACATTTACCTGCGTTGAACTCGGGATCGTCTTCCAGGGCGACGACAGCTCCCTCTACGGCATCCACGGCGCTCCCGCCCTCCCGGAGGATGCCGTAGCCCACGGTGGCGGCTCTGACCATGCCCTGGTGCACTCGCTCCTTCCGATCCTTGGAGATGGGACCGGCTCCGCCGCCGTGGACCACTACGATGGGATTCATGTCGGCGGATCCTAGGCAGCAGGAAGGCGAAAGCGTCGTCCAAAGCCAGCCCAAGGAAGCCGCGCGGGTACAAGGTCCTCGGGAGACCCTGTGGGGACAATGCCCAGTCTCTGTTCTGAACGGCTGGGTTCGCAGCTGGGGGTGGGTAGGGGCGGCTCGGTCGAGCTTGGTACGAAAAGCCCAGGGGCCCGGCGCCCTCCCGCGTTCCTCTCCGCCCCCGGCCCGGACCTGCTGGGGGTCTCAGTTTCCCCGGGGACGTTAACCCGCGCCCACCGCCGCCCGCCTCCAAGCCCCGGCGCCGAAGGAGGATGTCTATTTCGCCTTCGGGAAAATGTCTATTTTCGTTTATTTCATTCGCCCTCCCGCGTCTCGGGCGGCTGCTCCGGGAGGGCCGCCGACTTACCCAGGGCACCGCAGGACGCGGACGCCGAGACCTCAAGCTGGGTCGAGCCAGCCCCGCAGCCGCCCGGTACCGCCGCTCCCCGACGCCGGCTCGAAACCGCTCAGCCCGCAACCGCTCTGGTCACAACGGTTCTGCGCCTGCGCACGAGGGCGGGACCGCCGCACGGCCCAGTTCCCATAAAGCCCCGAAGGCCGGCTGGCGCGCACCTGTCTCACTCCTCTCAAGAGTCTACGCTCTTGGCCGGCCCGAGCTTCCTGGTGGCACGCGGGGAACCTCCTGCTCCTGACCAGGCTAGGGGCTGGGTGGTTGGGTTGGTGGCGAGAAGCGTGAAGTGGCATGCCACGATTTTGTAATTGCAGATTGAAAAGCAACGCTAGGCTGTGCGCAGTGGCTCATGCCTTGTAATCCCAGCACTTTGAGAGGCCGAGGCGGACGGATCACCTGAGGTCGGGAGTTCGAGACCAGCCTGACCAACACGGAGAAACCCTGTCCCTACTAAAAACACAAAATTAGCTGGGCGTGGTGGCGCATGCCTGTAATCCCAGCTACTCTGGAGGCTAAGGCACGAGAATCGTTTGAACCTGGGAGGCGGAGGTTGCGGTGAGTGGAAATCGCGCCATTGCACTCCAGCCTGGGCAACAAGAGTGAAACTCCGAATCAAAAGAAAAAAAAATTATACTGGGACAATGGGCATAAACAGGGACAGATCCAGGCAAACTGTGATTGATCTCCTGTGGATAGGAGAGTCCTTTCCCTTCTTGTTTACCCACAACTGATAACATATTTTACCACTCTTGGGAATTCCCTTTACTCCTGTTTTACCTTCGTTTCCTGCCTTAAGGCCCAGTTTAAATGAACCCCTCCTGCAAAGCCTTCTCCCTGGCACCCCACTAAGGATCAGTCATTCCCTTTCTAGTGACCTATTGTTAGAGATTACCACAAATTTATTGGCTTCAAACAACACACATTATCTTACAGTTCTGGTGGTCAGAAATTCAAACTGGGTCTGCAGGGTTGAGTTCCTTCGGGAAGCTCCAGAAGAGAATCTGTCTTTTCTTGCTTCTACAAGCTGCCTGTATCCTTGGCTCATGGCCTCATCCTCCATTGCCAAAGCCAACAGCCTAGCATCTTTAACTCTCTCTCCCTCTGGCCTGTTTCTGCTGCTACGTCACTTCTCTCTCTGTCACCATCATCACGATTTTCTTTTCTGACTCTGACTCTCCTGCCTCCTTCTTAAAGGAAGTCCCTTGGGATGACATTGGGCCCACCCAGATAACCCAGGATAATCTCCCTTTCTTACAATTTCTATTCTCATCTGCAAAGTCCCTTTTGCCATGTGAGGAGTGTTCACAGGTGGAGATTCGGATGTGACACCTTTGAGGGCCGTTATTCTGTCTCCCACACTCACCTCTTGGAAGAGGGTTATTTTAGCACGTCTCAACTGGTCGTGAGCCTAGTTGTGTCATCATAATACAGCTCACCATCATTTGGTTTCAGCTATTTATAGGAACCTGAACCCTACCCTATGCCTAGCCCTAACTCAAACCCCATCTCTACTGTTTTTCCTGATTGATCTGGAATTCAGTGATCTGGCTGAGGCTGGGGAAGGTGGCTGGTGGCCCAAGCAGGTAGAATGTTGGTTTCCATTTGATCCTCCCATCTCAGCCTCATGCGTTTATCTACTTCTCTGATGGGCTTCGTATTCCCCATCCCAATCCAAAGTCTCTTAGATAAATTCTCTAGAAAATAAACTTCTGGTCTTTGAGGAGGAAAGAGGAAGCATCTTTTTGTCCGGCTCTGTGGGATAGGAGAAGGAATCTGGCTAACTCCTCTGTAGACGATGTTCCATCAACAATCATTTTATGGATTAAGGATTGTATTCAACTGTCCCTGACGAAACGTGACCACAGTGGTTTAACCAGATAACTGTTGATTTGAAAACAACAATAACAACAACAACAACAACAACAACAACAAGACATCTAGTGGTTGCTGCCCAGGCTGGTGCAGCAGCTCCAAGGTGACACAGATGTCCCATCTCCTTCTCTTCCCTTCAGCATGTGGCTTTCACATTTATGGTGCTCCTAGGCACCTTGATCACTATTGGGGCAGAAGGAATGGGGAAGGGCAAAGGGAAGAAGGCTTTTGCCAGCTCCCCTTTGTTCCTTTAATTCAGGAAAGCTCTCTAGCTTTCCTAGAAGTCCTCCAAGTGGACTTTTATTGGCCAGAACTGGATTGGGGGGCTGCCCCTAGTGGCAAGAGAGTCTGAGTTTTTATTTTAGCAGGGTACATCATGGCCCTGGATAAAATCAAGGTCTCTTGGCAAGAAGGAAGGGTGACAGGCTATTGGAGAGACAACTGGGAACACCTGCCACTCCTGCCTCCCCATCTTTGAGATTCCTGTGTGTCTAAGCCCTGAGTCTCTCAAGCGTTCTCCAGAACAAATGGATTCACCTCTCAAGTAGATTACAACTTCCTTTAATCTGCCATTTGTTATTCATCTTCCAAAGTGACCTTTTTTACCTGCCATTGTCATCTCTCCCATTCTTCCTGTCTTTGTGGGTAGTATTCTTTTTAAGATTGTTTACTATCATTTTAGAGGGATTTTTGAAGGGAGGAGTAACCCATTTGTGTGACTGGGGAGGTTGACTAGAGCCCCAAGGAAGTGATTCTAACTACAGTGGCTCTGGATGTTCTAGGAGGAGGAGGGTTGGGTTAGGGAATGCCAGAGTTGGGGAGAGGAGGTGGGACCAGAAAAGGAGGGACTGGGCAGGGACTGGGCATTTCTGGGTCAGAAATGAAGGAGGCATATTAGAGAGATTGACGAAGAAGAAATGGGGGTGGGAGGGAGGAAGAGAAGAAAAAAAGAAAGAAGCAACTAACATTTCCTTCCTTTCCTTCCCTTCCTTCCCTTTCTTTCCTTTCTTTCTTTCTTCTTTGAGACGGAGTCTCGCTCTGTTGCCCAGGCTGGAGTATAGTGGTGCGATCTTGGCTGACTATAATCTCCATCTCCCGAGGCTCAGACATGATTCTCCTGCTTCAGCCACCCAAGTATCTGGGATTACAGGCATGCACCACCACGCCCAGCTAATTTTTGTATTTTTAGTAGGGATGGGATTTCAACATCTTGGCTACGCTGGTCTCGAACTCCTGACCTCAAGCGATTTGCCCACCTTGGCCTCCCAAAGTGCTGGGATTACAGGTGTGAGCCACTACACCTGGCCGCAACTAACATTTTCTGAAGGTCCACTGGGGAACTGGCAGGCTGCCTTTACTACGTTCTTACTGCCTAGCAACTTCCCATCCCCACCAGTCTCAGCTACATGAGGAAAAGGCTTTTGGCTGACCCCACTGGGGGCAGGATGGGAATCTGTGAGACTCCCTCCAAATTCTAGAATGTGTAACAGTATCTTGAGCCTGCCACCTTCCTATCTTGAGCTTCGCTTTCAAACAAGAAGCGGGACACATACGTTTCAACTCTGAGATCCCTGAGCTTATTTAGGAGATTTAGTACCCATGAATTTGTTCAGGAACGGGGCCTGAGGCTGTTTTTAGGAAGCCCACATCAGCATTTTGTGCAATAGCACTTCTTTCTAACTTTCTTCTCCTCTCTGACCACAGAATTGTAATTCAGTTAGTGATATGGGATGGGGGCAGGGAAGTGCTGGGTAGAGAAGGGCATGGTCCCTGGCTAGGGCTCCACCCCTGGGCCTGTGCCCATGGACCTAGGTGAGGACAGGCACTCCTGCCTTCAGGCCTAAATGTTGCATTTTCCAAGACCACTCTGGCCCACCACGCCCCCATCCTGTGCCCATAAAAACCTCGAGACCCAGCCGCGCGCGGTGGCTCAAGTCTGAAATCCCAGCACTTTGGGAGGCCGAGGCGGGTGGATCATGAGGTCAGGAGATCGAGACCATCCTGGCTACCACGGTGAAACTCTGTCTCTACTAAAAAGACAAAAAATTAGCCGGGGGTGGTGGCACGTGCCTGTAATCCCAGCTATTCAAGAGGCTGAGGCAGGAGGATGCTTGAACCCGGGAGGTGGAGGTTGCAGTGAGCTGAGATCATGCCAATGCACTCCAGCCTGAATGACAGAGCGAGACTCCATCTCAAAAACAAAACAAAACAAAACAAAACAAAACAAAACAAAAAAACACCTCAAGATCTTAGGGGGCAGGCACACAAGCGGCTGGACGCCGAGAGGAGCACGTTGGTGGAAGAGCACACTGACAGGTGCCAACAGATGCCGGCAGGCCATCGAGCAGTGGAGCCATGGTGGAGTTTGGCCGGGGCAGTCGGAGGAGAGCCTGGCCACTGGGCAGCCCGGCTCGGCAGGGAAAACCACCTTTCCACTCCATCCCCCTTCTGGCCTCGCTGAGAGCTACTCCTCAGTAAAAAACCTTGCACTCATTCTCTAAGCCCATGTGTGATCCGATACTTCTGGTACACCAAGGCAGGAACCCAGGGATACAGAAAGCCCTCTGTCCTTGTGATAAGGCAGAAGGTCTAATAGAGGTGATTAACACAAGCTGCCTGTGGATGGCAAAACTAAAAGAGCACCCTGTAACACACGCCCACTGGGGCTTCGGGAGCTGTAAGCATTCACCCCAGGTGCTGCCGAGGGGTCAGAGCCCCACAATCTGCCCATCTGTATGCTTCCCCTGGAGGTTTGAGCAGTGGGGCACTGATGAAGCGAGCCACTCCCCCTGTTGCATGCCCTGCAAGGGGGATAAGGAACTTTTCCCGTTTCATTAGGGTGGAACATGTATGGGTGCTTGAATTTGGATTCCTATAAATATTTTGATTTATATCTGGGCTGTCTCTTTTAAACTCAAAATCAATGGCTGGACATAGTGGTTCATGCCTGTAATCCCAGCACTTTGGGAAACAGAGGCAGGTGGATTTCCTGACCTCAGGAGTTCAAGACCAGCCTGGGCAACCTGGCAAAACCCCATCTCTACCAAAAACACAAAAAAATTAGCCGGACGTGGTGGCATACACCTGTAATTCCAGCTATTCAGGAGGCTGAGGTGGGAGGATTGCTTGAGTCTGGGAGGTAGAGGTTGCATGAGCTGAGATCACACCACTGGGCTCCAACCTGGGTGACAGAGTTGGACCCTGTCTCAAAAACAAAACAAAACAAAAAAACCACACACACAAAACTGAAGTCTGGAAGTCTCATTGGGAGGAGAGTCATGATATGAAGAGAAATACAGGAGAGAGGAAAAGCACATAATTTTATTCCATTGCATATAGTTAAAAAATGAAATGGCACAAAATAATTTAAAATGAAAGGTATAGTCTTCTCTCCCCCATCACCACTCCCTACTCCCCCCACCTCCCAGTGCTGGCATTTCTACCTAGGGGCAGCCACTTTACAACTTTTGGTTATATCTTCTGGGAGATTGCACCACATCTCTCTCTCTCTCTCTTTTTTTACTTTATTAAAATACTGAATTTTATTTCACATGTATGTTTTTGTCTCCCCACCATTTCCATGTCTGACCACCGCTACTACTTAGTCCTATCATAACATTCCATACCTACTTAAAACCAAGCAAAGGGTGGAGTTCCATCTTTAAAAACTAAACAGACATTTTCAACAACACATTCTTGGCAATGGAACCTGGACAACATTTATCAAACACGGTAGGGAAAGTTCTCACTCTGCATTACAAAAAGGACAGCCAGATATCAACTGTTACCAAAATGAAATAAGATGGAAAATTTTTAACAAACTGTTTAGACTATTTTCTTAAAGAGACTTCCTCCACTGTCAGAGATCTTGAATAGCAGTCATCCGGAAGCAGTTCTTCACATAATTGATGAACTTGGCTTCCACTTTGGGAAGAGAACCACCTTTTTCTATCCTTGCTTGCATGTTTGCTTTAACGTCTTCTACAGAACTAGGTCCTTTTGGTATTTTAGGAGTTTTTTCCTGTTTTTTGAAGGATTCTTGTCTTTTTGATCTTGGTGTTGACGATGGCTTTGAGTCTTTTCCATTCTGATTTGACTTTTGTGCATTTTTGGCTGGAGTATCTCATATAGATTGCTTCACTGGTGCTTTTTCTTTGGTTTCCTTATCATCAAAATCATCATCATCATCATCATCTTCATCATCATCATCATCTTCATAATCATCATCTTCATCGGCAGCAAGTTTTACTTTTTTCTGTGGAACCTTGCTACCACCTCCAGGGGCTGATCGCTTTCCAGATACACTTAAGAGTTTCACATCCTCCTCCTCTTCATCTTTTCTTGCATCTTCCTCCACAGCTACTAAGTGCTGTCCACTAATATGCCCTAGCCCTAAGCCACACGTCAACCGTAAGACACTGGTGGTGTTATTTCAAAGCCCCCAAGGGAAACCATTGGCTGTACAGACATTTTCAAAGTTGCCAGTGTTACTTTAATTGGACTGCCTTCGTAATTCATTGCCTCTGCTTCAACAGTGTGCCATTCATCCTTTGCACCAGCCCTAAACTGACCATTCTTAAAGATAGCTGGTGCTCATCTTCATCATTATCCACCTTAAAGTGATCATCTTTGTTGGCCTTTAAGTTCACAACTGAAAAGATAGTTCTGGGGTCTCAGGGGGCTCATGTCCATGTCCATCGAATCTTCCATCGGGTGGTGGCACGCACTTAGGTGGGAGAGAATGTGGATGGAGATAAACGACCACTGCTCAAGAGAACAGCCACACAGGTTGGAATGACACCAGGGAAAAGCTGCACCACATCTTTTACAGATAAATGTATACACCCACAATTCCCTGATTTAACATTACTTACTGACTTCTTGGTTGGCTAGATGCAGATTGGCTCATTTACTGCTTCTCCTTTTCTGCTTTATTCTTTTTTTTTTTTTTTTTTTTGAGACGGAATCTTGCTGTGTCACCAAGGCTGGAGTGCAGTGGCACGATCTTGGCTCACTGCAACCTCCTCCTCCTGGGTTCAAGCGATTCTTCTGCCTCAGCCTCCCTGTAGCTGCTTTGGGAGGCCTCAGCACCTCAGTGCCTGTAGCTAATTTTTGTATTTTTAGTAGAGACGGGGTTTCACCGTGTTAGCCAGGATTGTCTCAATCTCCTGACCACATGATCCACCCGCCTTGGCCTCCCACAGTGCTGGGATTACAGGCATGAGCCACTGTGCCCGGCCTATCATTGGAAATTTAAGTAATAAACTTACTCTTAATTTCTAGTTCTATCAACTAGAAACAATATCTCTTGCCTTTCCACATTGTAAGAGCAGGATATTGGTGTTGTTTCCTTCCCTTCATTTCTTTCCCCTTTATATGGAACTCTTTCCTCCTTGGATATGGAACTACTGTACAGTTAAGTCTTATGTGATTGGGCCATAGGTGGACTCTAGAAGTCAGAGATAAATAACTTGTGTTTGCACTATTGAGACTGTGTAAAATGCATGCACTGCAGATTCAGATCATCCATGATGATGATAGTTTTTGTTGGGCGTAGTGTTTCCCCATCCCTGGGTTCTGTTCATTTTTTTTCTTTTTTAAAAAATTTCTTTCTTTTCACCTGATTCTTTGTAAGTGTGCAATGTTTCTTTTCTTCTTTCATTATCTGCCTTATCAGATCTTTAATTTTTTTTTTTTTTTTTTGAGACAAGGTTTGGCTCTATCACCCAGACTGGAGCACAGTGGCGTGATCACGGCTCAATGCAACCTCCGCCTCCTGGGTTCAAGCCATCCTCCCACCCCAGCCTCCTGAGTACCTGGGACTACAGGTGCACACCATCACACCCGGCTAATTTTTGTGTTTTTTGTAGGGATAGAGTTTTGCCATGCTGCCCAGGCTGGTCTTGAACTCGTGAGCTCAAAGCAATCTGCCCGCCTTGGCCTCCCAAAGCAGGTCTTTAATTTGTTGCCATTCCCGAGTGTAGTAGAAAATGGCCAGGGTCCTCTCCTTTCCTTGGATTCCTTCTCTTTTCTTTCCATGTTCATATTATTGATTGTTCCCCAGGTCTGTTGACTACTCTCTCCTGAAGACCTCTCCTCATTTTTCTTAACAGTTGGATCCAGCACCTTCTGGATTGGTTCTCCAGCTTGAAGAGGGCATATGGAGGGATTTCTCAGCTTCCACAATCACGTGAGCCCATTCCCATAATAAATCTCTTATGTATCTATGTATATATCCTATTGGTTCTGTTTCTCTGGGAACCCTGACTAACACACGAATTTTTTTGTTGTTTTTGTTTTTTTTGAGATGGAGTCCCACTCTGTGGCCCAGGCCAGAGTGCAGTGGTGTGATCTTGGCTCACTGCAACCTCTGCCTCCTGGGCTCAAGCCATTCTCCTGCCTCAGCCTCCTGAGTAGCTGGGGTTACAGGTACATGCCACCATTCCCGGCTAATTTTTGTATTTTTAGTAGAGATGGGGGTTTCACCTTGTTGGTCAGGCTGATCTTGAACTCCTGACTTTGTGATCTATCCGCTTTGGTCTCCCAAAGTGCTGGGATTACAGGTGTGAGCCACCATGCCCAGCCAACACATGAATCTTACATTTTTGATTTACTTCATCATTTTGCTGGAGAATGTCCTCAAGTGACTCCCTAACAGAATAATTGTTCTATGCTTTAGCACATGCCTGAGCGTGTGCTAATTTTGTTCGAAAGCCTTCTATAATTTCTGACTATCTCTAGAATAAAACTCATATAAAAAAGGAGCGCTCAGAGCCCTCCTAGGTTTAGCCTTAAGTACCTTTCCATACTTTTCTTCCATTGCCTCCCTCTCCCCTCTGTGTACTTTATGTTCTTGCCACACTGATTTGACATCCATTCTTCTGAGGGACCATGTGTGGCTTCTCCTCTAGGCCTTTACTTTGCTGGGAACCGCTTTCTCCCAAGATCATAGTTCATCTGTTCCAAGAGGCCTAACTCAGTTCCTACTGAGTCAAAATCATAGCTCCTTTAGCGCTTTTTTCAGTACTTCCTTCCTTTCTTTTTTTTTTTTTTTTTTGAGATGGAGTTTCGCTTTTGTTGCCCAGGCTGGAGTGCAGTGGCACAATCTTGGATCGCTGCAACCTCCCCCTCCCAGGTTCAAGCCATTCTCCTGCCTCACCCTCTTGAGTAGCTGGGACTACAGGCGCCCGCCACCACGCCTGGCTAATTTTTATAGTTTTAATAGAGATGGGGTTTCACTATGTTGGGCAGGCTGGTCTGGAACTCCTGACCTCAGGTGATCCATGCGTCTCAGCCTCCCAAGTGCTGGAATTACAGGCATGAGCCACCGTGCCTGGCCCAGCACTTTCCACATAACTGTTGTTATAGACTTCACTAGTCATTCTTTTGTTGTTGTTATTGTGAAGCATTATTTATTAATAATGACATTTCTATATAGCTTGGACTATAAATCCTCACACTTTGTGCCTGGCAATAATTAGTATGAAACAAATGACAACATGTGCAAAAGGAGACTTTCTATCATTCTGTCTACACTGATTATATAGGATTCTCTAAAGAATTATTTTAAAAAAGCTTCTTTAATCATATAAAACATTAAGTGTAATAAAGTAATTCATATGAATTCAAATTTTCTTTTTTTTTCTCTCTCTCTGTCTTTTTTTTTTTTTTGAGTTGGAGTCTTACTCTGTTGCCCAGGCTGGAGTGCAGTGGCGCCATCTCAGCTCACTGCAACCTCCGCGTCCCGGGTTCAAGTGATTCTCCTGCCTCAGCCTCCTGAGTAGCTGAGATTACAGGCCCCTGCCACCACACCCAACTAATTTTTGTATTTTTTAGCGGAGACAGAGTTTCGCCATGTTGGCCAGGCTGGTCTTGAACTCCTTATCTCAGGTGACCCGCCCGCCTTGGCCTCCGCCCGCCGTGGCCTCCCAAAGTGTTGGGATTACAGGCGTGAGCTGCTGTGCCCGGCCCAAATTTTCTTGATAATGATGGTTCTCTTCCAGAGAACTGTCACTTTTCATTCGCCTATTTTGCTATGATGTTGCCTGTGCTGTTTTCTTCAGAAAAACGTGCTTGGATTAAGTGAAGAACTGAAAGGGTGGCCTGCCCCTCCACACCTGTTGGTGTTTCTCATCGGGTGGAATGAAAGACTTGAGAAAAGAAAGAGACACAGAGACAAAGTATAGAGAAAGAAAAGTGGGCCCAGGGAACTGGCACTCAGCATACGGAGGACCCGCGCTGGCACCAGTCTCTGAGTTCCCTTAGTATTTATTGATCATTATTGGGCATTTCTTGGAGAGGGGAATGTGGCAGGACAATAGGGTAATAGTGGAGAGAAGGTCAGCAGGAAAACCTGTGAACAGATGTCTCTGCATCATAAACAAGGTAAAGAAAAAAGTGCTGTGCTTTTGATGTGCGTATACATAAACATCTCAATGCCTTAAAGAGCAGTATTGCTGCCAGCATGTGCCAACTCCAGCCCTAAGGCAGTTTTCTCCTATCTCAGTAGATGGAATATACAATTGGGTTTTACACCGAGACATTCCATTGCCCAGGGACGAGCTGGAGACAGATGCCTTCCTCTTATCTCAACTGCAAAGAGGCCTTCCTCTTTTACTAATCCTCCTCAGCACAGACGCTTTACAGGTGTCAGGCTGGGGTACGGTCAGGTCTTTCCCTTCCCATGAGGCCATATTTCAGACTATCACGTGGAAAGAAACCTTGGACAATACCTGGCCTTCCTAGGCAGAGGTCCCTGTGGCCTTCCGCAGTGTATTGTGTCCCTGGGTACTTGAGATTAGGGAGTGGTGATGACTCTTAACAAGCGTGCTGCCTTCAAGCATTTGTTTAACAAAGCACACCCTGCACAGCCCTTAATCCATTTAACCTTGAGTTGACACAGCACATGTTTCAGGGAGCACAGGGTTGGGGGTAGGGTTACAGATTAACAGCATCTCAAGGCAGAAGAATTTTTCTTAGTACAGAACAAAATGGAGTCTCTTATGTCTACTTCTTTCTCCATAGACACAGTAACAGTCTCATCTCTCTTTTCCCCACAAAGAACCTTCTAAGTAAAATTCTCAAAGTACTTAATATATTTAAAAAATCATGTTCAGATTTTAAAGGGCTAGTTCTAATGTACCTTTTTTGTTTTTAACTTTTATTTTAAGTTCAGGGGTACAACTGCAGGTTTGTCACACAAGTAAACTTGTGTCATAGGGGTTTGTTGTACAGATTATCTCATCACCTAGTTCTCAAACCTTTTACTAGTCATTTTTGTTTTAGAGATAATTTCATAAACATCTGACTTCCTGACTTACCCCACTTAGTTCCTGGAGGATGATTAATATCAGTTTTAATATTAGTCTTGAGTATCATACCAAGAGGTTTTGTAGCAGGACGAGCCGCAGACAAAACCTCTTAGATACCGAGTAGTAGAAGGAAGGGCTTTATTCAGCTGGGAGCATCGGCAAGCTACTGCCTTAAAATCTGAGCTCCCCGATGCACAATTTCTGTCCCTTTTAAGGGCTCACAACACTAAAGATTTCACATGAAAGGGTCGTGATTGATTTGAGCAAGCAGGTGGTACATGACAGGGGCTGCATGCACCGGTGGTCAGAGAGAAAGAGAACAGGGCAGGGAGTGTCACAGTGTTCTTCTATACAATGTCTGGAATCTATGAATAACATCAGTTTCTAAGTTGTGAGTTGATTTTTAACTACTGGGTTTAGGCCAGGCAGGCCCAGGACTGGTTTTGGGCCTGGCGCCGGGCTGCCTGTCTTTGGTTTTACTTCCTTGTCATTTTTTCTTAAAACAGGTACTGAGTATAAAACAGTATAAAACAATATGAGAGGGTCTCTCTCTTCCCTCAGTTTGAGTTGATTGTATAGAGAGGTTTTCACCTAGAGTTTGGTGCCCCCAAAACTCCAGGTCAAAGGGCAGTGAAGAGTCATACCAAGTGTGAAGTGAGAGGGCCAGGGATGGAATTCTGTCCTTCCTTCTCCAAGCCTCGTGCTCTCCCTGTCCCTAAATGATTTGACATCCTCTGCAGTTTCATATTGTAACTCACAATTTTTTTTGGAAAGAACTAAGATGTAAGTAATAAATCAGTTCCTGTTTGTTCTAGTAATTTATTACCAACCCTATACTATGGATTTGTAAATACTTATATCTTTTTATCTATCTACTCTCTATAACTGTTTCCTCATCCTAGACTGCAGGTTCTCCTTGGCAGAGATTGTGTCTGAAGCCCATAAGACACAATCCTCTTGGGCACAGGAGTTTTGCCAAGCAGCTTCTCAATAGCTTGTGCTGTGGCTAACCCTGATGATGAAAAGGCAATATGGTGATAGCAAGATTTGAATCTCTGTTCTTTTCTGATGGGATAAACGAAACAGCCAAAGAGACTTCTTTTAGAGCACCATCATTTCTTAGCGTCTTCACCAGGGGTCGGTGAGATGAAGCAGCCACCCTCCAAGGCGGCCTCAGCCATCCTGACACCTCCAATGCGGAGGTGTGGGGTGCAGATACAGCGCTCTGGCCCCAAGGAGGCGCTGTTTCCCCAGGGATCGGCTGGCGGAGGCTTTGCAATGATGAAGTTGGCCTGTGGTGGGAGCCTCCTCCGTCTGTGGCCACCCTTCTTTGATACAAATAGTGTGCGCCTTGCGTAATGTCCTGGGTGACCTGTAATTTCCTCTTCTCACTCAGTAGTATATCTTGGACACCATTCTGTCTCAGCGCTATCGGTGGTTGTTTAGATTGTTTGCGATCTTAGCAAATGTAAACATATTTGTGATGGTCATGACGGTACCCACATTGCCCGGAGCCAGGGCTGTTTATAGAAATCACTCTTCATCTAGCCATAGGAGGCAGTCCTCACCTTCTCAGAAGGAGAACTGACTTACCTGGCTCTGGAAGTGGGCAGCGGGCTAGAGGGCACGTAAAGCTTTGCCTCTTCTTGGCTCTCCCAGCGGCTGGCCTGCCTTCAGGGTTAAGTCTTTTCCTCCTGCGACCTCTGGGGTATAATCTGCTGCAATTGTTAGAGCACTGCTGAAGGTAGGTAAGAGAGTTATTCTCATTTTCCACGTGCATGCATCCTCTGCTCTGCCCTCTGCACGTTTTTGTTTGTTTGTTTTGTTTTTTGTTTTTTTGACGGAGTTTCACTCTTGTCGCTCAGGCTGGAGTGCAATGGCGTGATCTCGGCTCACTGCAACCTTCGCCTCCTGGGTTCAAGTGATTCTCCTGCCTCAGCCTCCCGAGTAGCTGGGATTACAGGCGCCCGCCACCACGCCCAGATATTTTTTGTATTTTTAGTAAAGACAGGGTTTCACCAGGTTGGCCAGGCTGGTCTCGAACTCCTGACCTTGTGATCCACCCGCCTCGGCCTCCCAAAGTGCTGGGATTACAGGCGTGAGCCACCGCGCCCGGCCCTGGATTTTATATTTTTAAATGGTTAAAAAAATCAAAAGAAGAACAGTACTTTCTGACACATGGAAATTATGTGAAATCAAATTTCAGGGTTCAGAAATAAAGTCTTCTTGGGAAACAAACATATTTATATGAAAGGAAATCCAGGATGGAAATGGCTATGTCAGAGGCATCTAAAAAGTTGGTGGGTGGGTAGGAAGAGTTGGACCCAGGCCTATACACACCCAGACAGAATGTCACCTGTGGAACTGGGCCAAACTGTAAACATCCTGAAGAAGCAGGTACATTTAGTTTAACCTATTTATATTGGGCCTGATCACAAATCTCCTGGGGAGAGAGCTGTGCCAACATAAGCTGATCATCAGCTAGAGACATTCTAAGCTGTCAATCAATCACCATTAATCATAGACCATGCTAAGTTGTCCCACTTGTGTAAATTTACAGTAAACCTCTAAAACTCCTGCTCAACCTCACTTGGAGGGAACATGATTTAGCTGCTTGCTAGATTTGTGTCTCCCGCATTGCAATTCCTCTCTTGTTTGCTGCCCTGCAGGGTTTTTTTTTTTTTTTTGGTCGGGGGAGACGGAGTCTCGCTTTGTCCTCAGGCTGGAGTGCAGTGGCATGATCTAGGCTCACTGCAATCTCTGCCTCCTGGGTTCAAGTGATTTCCCTGCCTTAGCCTCTTGAGTAGCTGGGACTACAGGCGTGCACCACCATGCCCAGCTAATTTTTTGTATTTTAGTAGAGACAGGGTTTCACCATGTTGGCCAGGATGGTCTCGATCTCCTGACCTCATGATCCACCAGCCTCAGCCTCCCAAATTGTTGGGATTACAGGCATGAGCCACCATGTCCAGCCCTTATTTCTCATTAGTTGACACTCATTTGTTTGTTACATATTGTCTCTGGCTGCTTTCACCCTAGAGTGGCAGGGTTGAGTAGCTGGAACAGACGATGGTGGCCTACAAAGCCTCACATATTTTCTTCCTGGCCCATTGCAGAAAGTTTGTTGATCCTGAGTTAGGCGATTGACACTTTTCTTTCTTCTACACTTATTAGCCTTTCCAGAAGTATGTGTAATGAGAGGAGGATTCTCTCCTTTGCATGTTGGTCTAGCTAGTTGATTAGCTATTTGATCTAGCTAATGGTGTAGCTAATTAGAGATGGCAGGTAGTTAGCAAACATTTTACTTAGATTATCATTTAGACCTCCATTACTGTAGAGCTGTGTAGAGCAGTGTATTAGTTGGGGTTCTCTAGAGAGACAGAACCAATAGGAGATTATATATAACTATATGTTTGTATAAATATATAGGGGGATTTGTTAGGGGAATTGGCTTATGTGAGGATGGAGGCTGAGAAGTCCCATGGCAGGCCAGCTGCAAGCTGGAGAACCAGGGAAGCCTGAAGCGTGTCTCAGTCCAAGCCCAAAGGCCTGAGAACCAGACAAGTTGATATTGTGAAATGGAAGTCTGAGGCTGAAGGCCTGAGAAACTGGGAGGCAGCTGATGTATGTTCCAGAGTCCAAAGGCCAGAGAACCTGAAGTTCCTATTGCCTAGGGCAGGAGAAGAAGGGTGTCCCAGCTCCAGCAGAGAGACAGCAAGAGCAAATTCACCCTTTGTCTGCCTTTCTGTTCTACGTGGGCCCTCAGCTGATTGGGCCCACACTGGGTGAGGGTGGATCTTCCCAGTGATTCAAATGCCAACCTCTTCTGAATACACCCTCACAGACACACCCACAGATAGTGGTTTACCAGCTATCTGGGTATCCCTTAATCCAGTCAAGCTGACACCTGAAATTAACCTTCACAAGCAGGGAAAGCTTAAAATGAAGCCTGAGTGTTCCATTCCTGTGCATCTTAGGGTCAAGGGCCCGTGCTGAAATTCCTGTGCCGAGTGTCTGCCTGGGGTGACCCTGGCAGCCTCACTTGCTTCTTCTGAGCTGGACTAACATTGTTATCCTCCCTATGCTCAAATAAATCTAGACCATTCTCTTCCAGGAGCCACTCTAGAATATGTTCCTTTCAATTGATTAATGAGAAGAAATAATGTATGTGAAAGTACTTTATGAGATGTAGAATAGAATAATATATTGGACATGATTATTATTTTATAAAATAGTCTTGGCTGAGTTCATTTAATTTGCCTGACACACCCTGGAGCAGCCTTTCCAGCCACCAGCTGATGTCTTCCTCCAGGTTATCCTGGGCTCCTTCTCTGCTGCTCGTGTTGTGTTCTGCCCTTTGGACAAAGAAGGGTGTGCTTGCTGACCCAGAGCTGCCTTTCCTTGTTGGCATTCCTGTTGTTTTATTTTTGTTTTTGTTTGTGTTTCTTTGTGAGATGGAATTTTGCTCTTGTTGCCCAGGCTGGAGTGCAATGGTGCGATCTCGGCTTAACTGCAACCTCTGCCTCCCGGGTTCAAGCAATTCTCCCACCTCAGCTTCCCAAGTAGCTGGGATTACTGGCATGTGCCACCATGTCCAGCTGATTTTGTATTTTTAGTAGCGATGGGGTTTCACCATGTTGGTCAGGCTGGTCTCGAACTCCTGACTTCAGGTGATCCACCCGCCTTGGCCTCCCAAATGTTTTACTTTTGTTAACCGAGGTCATCCTCTTTTTCTGATGGCAAACCCAGCTTCCTCCTGCCAATGTACGATGACCCAAGGAGTTGCTGTGCCTTTCGGAAAAGTGGGGAGGGGATGCAACAGAAGCTGGAGTGTCAGCAACAGAATCCTAGGCTCCTCCCCTCCTATAGGCAGGTTAACTGCAGAGCCTCCGGGAGCATGTCCAAGTATCCCGGAGGAGTCATCCTATATACCCTTTTTGGTTTCGGATTTTCTCATCACTGCTCCAGGCAATTCTGCCCGTCACTCCTTTTGTCAAGTTTACCCAGGGCTGATAACCACAGGTCCCTGACTCGAAAGCCAGAACCATCAGCTTTCAGTGGGAGCTATAAAGGTCAGTGTTGCCTTAGCCTCAGATGAACAGACACTCTCCTCAGAAGCACGGGCAAGTGGGAGTTTCACACTGGCCTGTTTTATACGTGGGCAGCTGAGGCTTTGTGCCTAAATTCAGGAATTTGCATGATCCCTATGCCCATTGTTTTTTTGAGACCCCAAATTTATAATGACTTCATCCCACAAGGCAATGCCTTGATAGGCTCTAGAGAATCTGCCAACTGTGTTATCTTCTCTCCAAAAACTTCTTCTCTCCCTGTGTCCCCATCCCACCACCCACTCACTCCTCACCCCACTCCATTCCTGCCACCAGCACACTTGTCATCCAAACTCTTCCCTCCAAGGTCAACCTGTCTGCTCAAACATTACATTTAAACAATTTTTTTTTTTTGAGACTGTCGCCCAGGCTGGAATGCAGTGGTGCGATCTTGGCTCACTGTAACCTCCGCCTCCTGGGTTCAAGCGATTCTCCCGCCTTAGCCTCCTGAGTAGCTGGAACTACAGACACCCACCACTACACCCGGCTAATTTTTGTATTTTTAGTAGAGTTGGGGTTTTTCATGTTGGCCAGGCTGATCTCGAACTCCTGACCTCAAGTGATCCATCTGCCTTGGCCTCCCAAAGTGCTGGGATTATAGGTGTGAGCCACTGTGCCTGGCTACATTTAAACAATTTTATAGGAAAAAATAATAATAATCTGATTAAAAGTGGGTCAAAGATCTGAATAGGCATTTCTCAAAAGAAGACATACAAATGGCAAACAGGCAAATGAAAAGGTGCTCAACATCATTGATCATCCAAGAAATACAAATCAAAACTACAATGAAATATCACCTCACCTTAGTTAAGATGGCTTTTATCCAAAAGACAGGCAATAACAAATGCTGGGGAGGATGTGGAGAAAAGAGAACCCTTGTACACTGTTGGTGGGAGTGCAAATTAGTACAACCACTATGGAGAACAGTTTGGAGGTTCCTCAAAAAACTAAAAGTAGAGCTACCATACGATCCAGCAATCCCATTGCTAAGTGTATACCCAAGAGAAAGGAAATCAGGATTTTGAAGAGATATCTAACTCCAAGGTTTACTGCAGCACCATTCACAATAGCCAAGATTTGTTAGCAACCTAAGTGTCTATCAAAGATAAATGGATAAAGAAAGTGTGGTACATATACACAAGGGAGTATTATCCAGCCATAAAAAGAATGAGATCCTGCCATTTGCAGCAACATAGGTGGAACTAGAGGTCATTATGTTAAGTGAAACAAGCCGGGCACCGAAAGACAAACTTTGCATGTTCTCACTTAATTATGGAAGCTAAAAATTAAAACGATTGAACTCATAATGATAGAGAGTAGGTTGGGCGCGGTGGCTCACACCTGTAATCCCAGCACTTTGGGAGGCCAAGACAGGTGGATCACGAGGTCAGGAGATTGAGTCCATCCAGGCCAACATGGTGAAACTCTGTCTCTACTAAAAATACAAAAGTTAACTGGGTGTGGTGGTGTGTACCTGTAATCCCAGCTACTCTGGAGGCTGAGGCAGGAGAATCACTTGAACTTGGGAGGCGGTGATTGCAGTGAGCTGAGATTGTGCCACTGCACTCCAGCCTGGCGAAAGAGTGAGACTCCATCTCAAAAGCAAAAAAAAAAAAAAAAAAAAAAAAGAAAAGAAAAGATAGAGAGTAGAAGGATGGTTCCAAGAGGCTGGGGAGGGTAGTAGGGGGTGGTGGTGGGAGGAAATGGGGATGGTTAATGGGTACAAAAAATAGTTAGAATAAATAAGACCTAGTATTTGATAGCCCAACAGGGTGACTATAGTCAATAATAATTCAGTTGTACATTTAAAAATAATTAAAGAGTATAATGGGATTGTTTATAACACAAAGGGTAAATGCTTGAGGTGATGGATTCCCCATTTACACTGATGTGATTATTATACATTGTATGCCTGTATTAAAATATCTCATGTAACTCATAAATTATATATATACCTACTGTGTACCCACAAAAATTAAAAATAAAAAATTTTAAAAAGGCACTACATTTAAAATACACTTTGTAATTCTTGTCTTGCTTGGTCTCATAATAGCATTTGAATCTTTTTACCGCTCTGTCCTCCAAATTTCCTCTTCCTTTCTCTGTGGCCTCTCACTGTCTTAGGCCTCTTCCTCCCTCCTTCTCTGGATCTTCCTTCTCAGTTTCCATTATAAGCCCCACCTGACCTATTGGGTGTTTTTCAGGGCTCCAGCCTAGACTGGCTTTTTTTTTTCTTTTAACTCTAATCTTTCTCCCTAGACCCACTACTTCCCTGGCTTCAGTTGTTATCTGTACACTGACAACTCCCAGGTATTTACCTGTAGTCAGACCTTTTATCTCACTTGCAAATCCACATATATCACTTGTTCCTTAATATCTTATCCATTCATTCCATGGCTATTGAGCTTCCATTATGTTCCAGGCCATGTTTTAAGTACTTACAGGACATCATTGAACAAGACAGGGTTGGTCCCCCCACCTACATGGACCGGCTTACATTCTGGGTAAAATTAGGGTGTCAACAGACAGACACAAACGAGTGTACGGGATAATTTCAGAGAGCAAAAGGCATTCGAAGAAAATAAAACAGGGTGATAGGATATGAATACCTCTTATAGTTAGGAAAGCTCTTTCTGACGAGAGGACGTTTAGGTTTAAATGTGAATAGTAAGAAAGAATCAGCTGTGCAAAATCCAGAGGTAAGTCTGTCCAGGCAAGGAGGAGCAGGCTTGGTGTGCTCAAGAAAGAGAGAGAAGGTTGCTGTGGGTGGACCACAGTAAGAGAGAGAGAAACATGAGATGAGGCTGTGCTAGTCAGTAAGGTCCACCACCCCGAAAGCCTTGGTAAAGAGTGTGGCTTCGTGGCCGGGCACGGTGGCTCATGCCTGTAATCCCAGCACTTCGGGAGGCCGAGGCGGGCAGATCACGAGGTTGGGAGTTTGAGACCAGCCTGACCAACATAGTGAAACCCCGTCTGTACTAAAAATACAAAAATTAGCCGGGCATCATGGTGTGTGCCTGTAATCCCAGCTACTCAGGAGGCTGAGGCAGGAGAATCACTTGAACCTGGGAGGCAGAGGTTGCAGTGAGCCAAGATCATGCCACTGCACTCCAGCCTGGGCGACAAAGCCAGACTCTGTCTCAAAAAAAAAAAAAAAAAAAAAGGTGTGGCTTCTATACTAAGTGTGGCTTCCATCTTAAATGTGGCTTCCACTGCCAAGCCACTGGAAGGTTCTATGGAACAATTTTTTTTTGAGATTGAGTCTTGCTCTGTCACCCATTGTGGAGTGTAGTGGCATGATCTCGGCTCACTGCAGCCTCCATCTCCTGGGTTCAAGTGATTCTCCTGCCTCAGCCTCTGAGTAGCTGGGATTACAGGAACGCACCACCACACCTGGCTAATTTTTGTGTTTTTAGTGCAGACGAGGTTTCACCATGTTGGCCAGGCTGGTTTCGAACTCCTGACCTCAGGTGATCCACCTGCCTCGGCCTCCCAAAGAGGGATTACAGGTGTGAGCCACCGCGTCCAGCCTCTATGGAACAATTTAAATGATCACTTTGGCTTCTCTGATGTCCTCTAGGCATCTCAAGCTCAGCATATCCCAAGCCAAACTTAATATCCTTCCTCTAAACCTTTTCTGTCTCCAGGATTCCCCACCTCATAAACAGCACCGTCATGTTCCCAGTTGCTAAGTCGGAATTTCTGGTTTTTCTTTACCCACTCGCATGTCCATTTTTCTATCATGTTTATTTTACTTCATCTTTTATGTCTAGGTTTCTGGGAAAGGATATAGCAGTCCCTTCAGGCCAGGATAGGTCCCTGTAAGATGCGCTCATAGAACCCCTATTTCTCCCTTGGAGAGTCTTCCCCAGCTGAAATTAGTAACTGAGTAGCTGGAGTCTATGATTTCTCTCCCCTGCTGCATTGTCAGCTGTGTGGCTCTCCGGCTGTCTTGTGTATCCATGGGGCCTGGCACAGGCAGGGGTGGATTTTGATTCACCTCCTGAAGACGCATCCATTTTGACTTTTTTGTTTGTTTTGTTTTTTGAGATGGAGTCTCTGTCACCCAGGCTGGAGCGCAGTGACATGATCGTGGCTCACTGCAACCTCCGCCTCCCAGGTTCAAGCGATTCTTTTGACTCAGCCTCCTGAGTAGCTGGGATTATAGGCATGCGCCGGCACGCTCAGCTAGTTTTTGTATTTTTAGTAGAGATGGGGTTTCCCCATGTTGGTCAGGCTGGTCTGGAACTCCTGACCTCCAGTGATCTGCTTGCCTCAGCCTCCGAAAGTGCTGGGATTCCAGGCGTGAGCCACTGCGCCCAGCCTCATTTTGACTTTTGTTTCTCTCACTCACTCGATATTCACTTTCTCCTGCATGTCTCCTGTGGACACAGACTTTTGTTCAGATCCCATCTTCCTTTCGGTTCTGCACCTCATCTATTCCCAGGCTGGAGGCTGCAGGAGGCGACCCCCCATGTGGCACATTATAGGCATCATACCATGGACCTCACATGGGCCCTGTCTTTTGGGACCTGCCTCTCTAAAAGTGACCACACAGAATGTTGCAAAGTGCTAATCCCTAGGTTAATGGACCACATCTTTGAAGGACACAAGTACCCCCCAAACACAAAGGCCATGAAACTGTGAACTCCAGGAGGACAGGGGCCTTATCCGATCCGTCTTCTTCACTGTTATAGCCTCAGAGTTTAGTATAGAATCTGGCCATAGTGGACAGTGTTCATTGACTGGAAAAAGGCGGAAATACTTTACATGAAAACTAAGGCGGCCATGGCTTTGACATCGTGGCAGTTACAAGCTGTTCATTGGAAAGAATACTGAAAACAAAGGTCACACCTGCGACTTTACCTCTGTCTTGTTTTTCTTTATGATTTATGATCTAGAGCTTTTATGATGCTCGCCAGGCTTTGCAAAACAATTTGAATAATTGTTTTAAAAAATTTGAACACCTCCTTAACAGTAAGCAAAATCAAACTACCTGAGGCTGCAAAAGAGGCATCCATCAAGATAATTAGGGTTTCTAATTTATAAGCAGGGCGCTATTTCTACTAAATGGATGAACGGTAGGCACTAAATAATTTTCCATGATGCCAGATGCTTTCCAATGATCATAGGGCACTGTTCATCCTAATTACTTTCCAGTGTACTACTACCAACAATTCGTCAACGAGCATTTGTCAAATATTAATAGCATGCCCAACCCTGGGATTTGTAGACATTGTGGAGGATACAAAAGGAATATGACATTTCTGCAAGACACTTTCAGTCTAGTGTGGGTTGCAAGTATATGTGCCCAAATGTATGAGGTTGGGAAGAATTGGCGAGTGCAGTGGTTCTAGATCTTTGTTCTGACTTCACAGGGTTCACATGGGCCACAGGTCCCCATCAGGAAGATTCTGTTACACACAGTGGTCCTCACTAAGCATCTGGAAAGAATGGGGAGAAGAGGGCTCCCTGCAGTCATAATTATAACGGTAATTTACTGTTTACTAAGGGCCAGAAACTGTGATAGGTAGTTTCCAGGCACATCTCAGCTGATCCTTACAACAACTATATGAAGTATGTATTATTTCCTCTATTTTACAAATGAGGAAATCAAGATTAGATAGGTTGAGTAACTTGTTCATGGTGACACAGCAAGGGTCTGGGATCAAGAGTCAATGGATGTCTGAGCCTGTGCTTTTCACCACAGCTCAAATTGCCCCTGTCAACTTCTTAACATCTCCTTAGGGGAGCAAGCTGCCTCTCCCAAAACCTTCCCAGTAAAGAGTCTGTAGGCCAGAAAATTAAGGGAACTCAGCATGGAAAGATCATGTTGAGGTGTGAGAGTTTTTTGATAAGGAGGCTCCATAGATTATTCTTGAAGGGATCTGCAATTTTTCTGGCAGAGGGAGAGAGAGATTCAAGGAGAGGGTGTGAAGACAAGACCAAAGACCAGTATGACCGAAGTCCAGCCCCTCACCCTGGGGAGCTCCATGTGCTGCCCTTACTGTGCCAAGAAGCCATCAGTGACCCCGTTAGTGGGATGTGAGCTGCAGAACCTTGCCCTCTGGGTGCCTGAAAGGCCCCTGCCTCTGCAGCTTTCCAACTGCAGTGCTCGTGGTGGGACCAGGTACCAGCAACCAAGAGAATGTCAAGGGGCTCCCAACACCCTGCTGCTGGGCCAGTCTCCAAGAGGATCTGCGAAGGTTTCCGCTGGAGGGAAAGGGCTGGGGTTGGAGAAACTTCTACTGTGTCCTTGCCTTACTTTGCAAGCCAGCCACAAACAGCTCTGTGCTTGGGTCAGAAACATCAAGGGAATGGCTAAGATCTGTGGAAACAGCTTCACCTGAAATACCAATGCAGGTGTAACCAGAATATTCAAATTCTGTTAAAGGAAAAATATCCATAGGTGGCCTGAGCACAGTGTCCTGTGTCTCCTTTGGTCACTGCCTTTTCCGTCTGAAGCTGGTTACTCTTGATCTTTCCAGACTGAATATTCCCACCCAAAGTATTAATAAATGGAGATAGCACCAGAAACACCTGGGTGTATACATTTGTGTATGTGCATGTGTGCGTGTGTGTATGTGTGTGTGTGGTGTGTATCTATATACTATTGAGTATATAGATATAAAACTGTAATAATATATTACTGTTTATACATAACAATAATTATGTATTAATTATGTAATAATTTAGTTATATTTGTATGATAGATTATTATATACATAACTAGCTATGTATATATAGTTATGTAATTATAATGATATATAATAATATAATATATAACTATATATCTTTATATATAATGTATTATTATACTAATAGTTATACTAATAGTATAACTAATAATTATGTATATAATAATCTATCATACAAATATATTATTACATAATTAATATATAATTATTTTTATGTATAAACAGTAATATATTATCACTCATATATACTCTGTATACTATAGTGTACATACCATTATATATACTAATAGTATAGTATATATAATATATAGTATAGCATGTATATATAGGATATATATAGTATCTATAGTTACATTGGCAACAGCCCCCAGTTGGTCTCCCACTTCCTCACTCTTGCCAGAAGGCTCTTTTCCAAGTCATGTTTCCCTTTGATTTCCTTGACAGAAATGCTCCTTAGTAAGTGTAACAAGTTGCAAAAATTTAACCTAGATCACAACTTAGAAATATAGAAAAAGTATAATTAAAAATCTTTTTATTGTAACTTGTCTGGCCTTCCTCCTAAGTCCCCTACCTACTAGTTACAAAAAACAAAACAAAACAAAACATTTCACTAAATGTCCAATCCAGTTAAAAACTTAGGATCTGATTAGCAAATCACCTTTAGGCAGGGTTCACCCTCTTTTTGATAAAATTGTTCTACTTTCAGCTGGCCTGCACCCTGCCCCTGCTTCTCTCTCTGAGATGCTGTCCCACGTGTGGGAGGGGTGGGGTATGGTTTGCATGACCTCACCTGGTGAAGATGAGCTGGGTGGCCTGAGGACAGTGTCCTGTTCCTTCTTTGGTCACTGTTTTTTCCTTCTAAAGCTGGTTACTCTTGGCCTTCCCAGGATGACTATTCCCAGAAGTTTGTATTTTTGTTGAGGTATAAAGTAAAATCATTCATGTTTCAAGGTTAGTGGGAGGGACTCAGCCAATTAGCTACCAAGGGGACTTAGCCAACCACCTAGCAATCAATATGATTTTGCTTGTATGGTAAATAAAAATTTAGGGTCAAAAGACATAACCCTTGTGAATATCATCTCTGTAAATTAGGTTGGGAAAACTTCGGTAGAGGACTGTCCTGCTTGGGATTAGTTTGTGATGATTCTTTTCCTCGGCAAGAAAAGCTCTAGGTTTTTGCAGCGCATCCTGGTATAGAAAACCACCTTGAAACCACTGCCACCGAAGGTAACTGTATTAGGCTCCTGGCAGGAGAGAGCACACTCAGATCGAGGAGAAATACACAGGGGGACTCTTTACAAAGGTGTGGGCAGGAGGTAGGAAGCACAAGGGATAGAACAGTACCCTAGGACCAGAGCGACAGGGCTCTGTGACCACTCCTAGCCCTGAAGATATAAGGGAAATAAGCAGTTACCAGAACCTGGGGACAGAAAGAGCTCTGCAGAGGATGCTGCTTGATATGAGCTGTGGCCTTTGGTCAAGGGATGCTGCCACCTTACAAGGGGGGAGGTGGGGGAATAAAGACTTGATCTCTTTCTCCTCTCTCCCTCATCTCTCTCTCTCTTTCTGTCTGCCTGCCTGTCTGTCTCTCTCTCTCTTTTTTGAGACAGAGTAATGCTCTGTTGCCCAGGCTGGAGTACAGTGGCACGATCTTGGCTCACCGCAACCTCTGTCTCCTGGGTTCAAGCAATTCTCCCTGCCTCGGCCTCCCAAGTAGCTGACATTACAGGCACACCCACCACCCAGGCTAATTTTTGTATTTTTAGTAGAGACTAGGTTTTGCCATGTTGGTCAGGCTGGTCTCAAACTCCTGGACCTCAGGTGATCCGCCTGCGTTGGCCTCCCAAAGTGTTGGTATTACAGGTGTGAGCCATCGGGCCCAGGCTCTCTCCCTTATCTCTTGCCAGTGCTTCTCATTGGCCAAATCCAATTGGAATCCAGAGGGCAAAGGGGTCTGTCTTTGTAGAACACGCAGGTTAGCCCACCAGGTCCTGGAGCAAGATAGAGAATTATAAATTATGATGATAGGTGGGGTGGGTACCAATGCAAGACCTCCATCACAGTAGCCATCCTTGGAAACACAGAAGTAGGGAAGGAGGCCCCGTGCATCTGAGGAGAAGACTATGATAAGACTCTATGTATTTTGAGGGCTTAAATGATAAATGATTTCATTCTGGGGTGGGGGGCTGGTTACTGAGGAGGCAAGAAGGGTAGTTCTGGGTTCATGAGGTGGGAGGTGCTAGTCTTATTCTGGGCTGGCCTGGAAGGTAGAGTGTAGGGATTGGAAAGAATTAGTTGCCCTGAATTAAGACTTAACAGCCAGGCTGGATGTGGTGGCTCGTGTGTGTAATCCCAGCACTCTGGGAGTCCGAAGTGGGTGGATTGCTTGAGCCAGGAGTTTGAGATGAGGCTGGGCAACATGATGAGACCCCGTCTCTACAAAAAATACAAAAATTAGCCAGGTGTGGTGGCACACGCCTGTTGTCCCAGCTACTTGGAAGGCTGAGGTGGGAGAATCACCTGAGCCCGGTGAGGTTGAGGCTGCAGTGAGTTGTGATTGTGCCACTGCACTCCAGCAGGGATGACAGAATGAGACTCTATCTACAAAAAAAGAAAAGAAAAGAAATGAAACGAAAAGAAAAGAATTAAGGTCTTGCGATTGAGCATAAAATGGGGAATTACCCTGCCCCGAAAATGCTATCAAGGGCTACATGCCTCCTTCTACAGTACCAGCCGGAGCAGAGGACCCAGCGCGCTGTGGCACTTCCTCAGAGCAGAGCACACAGCCCGCTGCGGCACTTCCTTGTAATGTCCTTTTTTTTTTTTTTTTTTTTTTTTTTTTGATACGAAGTCTCGCTCTTGTCCCCCAGGTTGGAGTGCGATGGTGCGATCTTGGCTCACTGTAACTTCTGCCTCCCGGGTTCAAGCGATTCTCTTGCCTCAGCCTTCCAAGTAGCTGGGATTACAGGCACCTGCCACCACGCCCGGCTAATTTTTGTATTTTTAGTAGAGACGGAGTGTTCACCATGTTGACCTGGTTGGTCTCGAACTCCTGACTTCAGTTGATCTGCCCGCCTCGGCTTCCTAAAGTGCTGGGATTACAGGTGTGAGCAACCACGCCCAGCCCCGCAGGAGAGGCTCCACTTGATCTTGACCGGAGGAGTTCCAGCCACGGCAGGGATGCCGAGCAGTCTCCTGACCAGCAGGTGGTGCTGTGGCGCAGCGGCAGAGAGCACCGCGGGCCGGTCCTGTTGAATGTCTCTGGGGCTGCCTCATGTTTGTGGGTAACAGAGGCAGAGGAACTTCAACCTGAAAGCCCTGGACTTCATTGCCACACACAGAGTGGGATGCCCATTTCCTGAAGATTAACTTTCACGGGGAAAAAGCTACTGCAGCCGGTGGCCAGGACTCGGCCAGAGACTCAGATGAGCTACTGTGTGGTGAATGTGTAACTCTCCAGGACAACTTCTGCTCTGCTGGCAGCCCTCACCCACCCGGCCCAGGCAGCGCATCTGGATGGGAAATGTGCCCCTTGCTCTCCCTCTCTTTCTCCTTGTCCCTTCCCAGAACATGGACATGATGATTGGAGCTCTGGCATTCTTAGAATATGAGGCCACCTTGAGTATTGAAACCATAAACTGAGTAGGGTAAAATTCAGACACAGAAAAAAGAGCCTGGAGCCTGGGAAATTGATTATTATGGGGTCAGTGTACCAACTTTACACTGCCTACTCCCAGATTTCTTTTAAATAAAAGAAGAGAAACCGGCTGGGCGCGGTGGCTCACGCCTGAAATCCCAGCACTTTGGGAGGCCGAAGCAAGTGGATCACCTGAGGTTGGGAGTTTGAGACCAGCCTGGCCAACATGGTGAAACCCCATCTCTATTAAAAATACAAAGTTAGCCAGCCATGGTGGCATGTGCCTGCAATACCAGCTACTCTGGAGGCTGAGGCAGGAGAATGGCTTGAACCCTGGAGGTGGAGGTTGCAGTGAGCCGAGATCGCACGATTGGACTCCAGCCTGGGCAACAAGGGCAAAACTCCGTCTCAAACAAAACAAAACAAAACAAAACAAAACAAAACAAAAACAAAAAAGAAACCACTATCTTGTTTATGTCAGTCATTTGGGTGTTATTTGTAGCCAAACATATTTCTAACTGATACACGTAGCCTGATGCGGTTTGGATCTGTGTCCCAACCCAAATCTCATATTGAAATGTAATCCCCAGGGCTGAAGGTGGGGCCTGGTAGGAGGTGATTGGATCATAGGGGTGGTTTCTCATGGTTTAACGTCATTTCCCCTTGGTGCTGTTGTCACAATAGTGAGTTCTCCTGAGATCTAGTCGTTTAAAAGTGTGTGGCCCCTCCCCCCAACTTGGTCCTGCTCTTGCCATGTAAGATGCCTGTTCCCACTTTGGCTTCCGCCACGTCTAAAAGCTCCCTGAAACCTCGAAGCAGATGCCACCAGCTTCCTGTGCAGCCTGCAGAACTGTAAGTCAATTAAACCTCTTTCCTTTATAAATTACCCAGTCTCAGGTATTTCTTCACAGCAGTGTGAAAATGGACTAATACACAGCCTAATACGACTTGTCACACAAAACCTTTCTGTGGACAGAATCTTAAAGAAAGAACTTCAGTAAGAAGAGAAATAAAACCAGAATGCTGATATGAGAGGTGTGGGAAAGCAAATATTTTAGTAAAGTTTATTGTTTTCCAAGAAAACAAGAACTAATAAAAGAGAAAGTGAACTGAGATGACCGGGGATTAATTTTAGATGTCGTGAAATGTTGAGGATGGAGGTATAACGTAGGAGTGATTGAAGGGAGGTGAGACTGAGCTAGTGCACTTATTTTATTTGGGGAACAACACAGGTACTAATAAGTTAAAGGATTGATGGAAAAATTATACCTATATATAGGTCAGTAAGTAAGGGACAATCACCAGAACAGCAAAAATACAATGCATAACTTTCGAACCAGCAGAATGAAATTAGTCCATAGTAGGAACATTTAAAAAGTGCTGGAAGTAGAAAATGTAAAGTGGCAGAATTAAACTCTAATGTAAGCAAGAAAGTTAGAAAAAAGTATAGGAAACAGAAAACAAAATGAGGTGAGAGAAAGGTGCTCAACACCACTGATCATCAGAGAAATGCAAATCAAAAGCTGCAATGAGATATCATCTCATCCCAGTTAAAATGGCTTATATCTAGAAGACAGACAATAACAAATGCTGGAGGGGATGTGGAGAAAAGGAGACCCTCATACACTGTAGGCATGAGTGTAAATTAGCACAACTATTATGGAGAAGAGTTTGATGGTTCCTCAAAAAACTAAAAATAGAGCTACTATATGATTCAGCAATCCCACTTCTAAGTATATACCCAAAAGAAAGGAATTGTTATATTGAAAAGATATCTGCACTCCCATGTTTGTTGCAGCACTGTTCACAATACCCAAGATTTGGAAGCAACCTAAGTGTTCATCAACAGAAGAATGGGTAAAGAAAATGTGGTACATATACACAATGGATACTATTTAACCATTAAAAAGATGAGATCCTGTCATTTGCAACAACATAGATGAAATTGGATATCGTTACATTAAGTAAAATAAACCAGGCACAAAAAGACAAATATTTCATGTTGTCACTTGTTTGTGGGATTTAAAATCAAAACAATTGAACTAATGGAGATAAGAGAGTAGAAGGAATGGTAGTAGAGGAGTGGGTGGGGGGAAGTGAGGATGGTTAATGGGTACAAAACAATAGAAAGAATGAATAAGACCTACTACTTGATAGCACACAGGGTGACCATAGTCAATAATAATTTAACCAAACTTAAAAATAACTAAAATAGGCTGGGCGCGGTGGCTCACGCCTGTAATCCCAGCACTTTGGGAGGCTGAGGCAGGTGGATCATGAGGTCAGGAGATTGACACCATCCTGGCTAACACAGTGAAACCCCATCTCTACTAAAAATACAAAAAATTAGCCGGGCGTGGTGGCAGGCGCCTGTAGTCCCAGCTACTGGGGAGGCTGAGGGACGAGAATGGTGTGAACCCAGGAGATGGAGCTTGCAGTGAGCCGAGATGGCGCCACTGCACTCCAGCCTGGGTGACAGAGCGAGACTCCATCTCAAAACAAACAAACAAACAAACAAACAAAAAAACTAAAATAGTATAATTGGATTGTTTGTAACACAAAGGATAAGCACTTGAGAGGATAAATACCCCATTTTCCTTTATGTGATTATTATGAATTGGATGCCTATATCAAAACATCTAATGTGTCCTATAAATATATATACCTACTATGTACCCACAAAAATAAAAAACCAAAAATAAAGTGAGAGAAATAAGCACTAATGTAACAGTAATGAAAATAAATATAAATGAGTTAAACTCATCCTGTCAAATGGCAGAGACTCTGAGATTAAATAATAAAACCTGGTAATCTCTTGTTTATAAGAAACATTGAAAACAAAAGAATATGGAAAGTTTTGGGATATGACATCAATGTAAAAAATCAGTAGTATTTCTATACACCAATAATGTCCAAACTGAGAGTTAAATCAAGAATGCAATCCCAGGGCAGGCACAGTGGCTCATGCCTGTAACCCCAGCACTTTGGGAGGCCTTGGCAATGATTTAAAGAAGTCTCCAAAAGCAATTGCAAAAAACAAAAATAGACAAGTAGGACCTAATTAAACTAAAAAGCTTCTGCACAGCAAAAGACTATCAACAAAGTAAACAGACAACCTACAGAATGGGAGAAAATATTTGCATACTATGCATCTGACAAAGGTCTAATATCCAGCATCTATAAGGATAAGGAACTATAAGGAACTAAAACAAATCAACAAGCAAAATACAAACAACCACATTAAAAAATGGGCAAGAGACATGAACAGACACTTCTCAGAAGAAGATATACCAAAGAGATACCATCTCACACCAGTCATAATGACTATTATTAAAACATCAGGAAATAACAGATGTTGGCAAGGTTTCAGAGAAGAGAGAATGCTTATACACTGCTGGTGAGACTGCAAATTAGTTGAGCCACTGTGGAAAGCAGTTTGGAGATTTCTCAAAGAACTGAAAATAGAATTACCATTCAATCCCACAATCCCATTACTGGGTATATATCCGAAAGAAAACAAACTATTCTATGAGTGTATGACACACACAGAACCGTTCATTGCAGCACTTTTCACAATAGCAAAATCATGGAATAACCTAGGTGCCCATAATTGGTGGACTGGATAAAGAAAATGGGGATTTATAACCACACATTTTCTATGTAACTTTTTGTATCAGAAAAATCTCTACAGGTGACCTCATATATGATGGTGGGTGAATGAATGGGTAGAGCTCTCTGGAGGGAGATTTTGCATGATCCAATATTGTAAATGTATACATGAGAGGCTGGCAGGATGGCTGAACAGGAACAGCTCCAGTCTGCAGCTCCCAGTGAGATCAACACAGAAGGTAGGTGATTTCTGCATTTCCAATGAGGTGCCCAGCTCATCTCATTGGGATTGGTTAGACAGTGGGTGCAGCCCATGGAGGGTGAGCTGAAGTAGGGTGGGGCATTGCCTCACCAGGGAAGCATAAGGCATCAGGGAACTCCCTCCTCTAGCCAAGGGAAGCTGTGAGGGACTCTGCTGTGAGGAATGGTGCACTCTGGCCCAGATATTATGCTTTTCCCATGGTCTTCACAACCCACAGACCAGGAGATTCCTTTGGGTGCTTATGCCACCAGGGCCCTGGGTTTCCAGCACAAAACTGGGCAGCTGTTTGGGCAGACACTGAGCTAGCTGCAGGAATCTTTTTTTTTTTTCGTACCCCATTGGCACCTGGAATGCCAGTGAGACAGAACCATTCAATCCCCTGGGAAAGGGGCTGAAGCCAGGGAGCCAAGTGGTCTAGCTCAGCGGATCCCACCCCCATGGAACCCAGCAAGCTAAGTTTCACTGGCTTGAAATTCTCTCTGCCAGCAGAGCAGTCTGCAGTAGATCTCGGATGCTTGAGCTTGGTGGGGGGAGGGGCATCTATGATTACTGAGGCTTGAGTAGGCGGTTTTCCCCTCACAAAGTAAACTAAGCCACGGGGAAGTTTCAACTGAGCGGGGCCCTTCACAGCTCAGCGAGGCCACTGCAGCAGACTGCCTCTTTAGATTCCTCCTCTCTGGGCAGGGCATCTCTGAAAAAAAGGCAGCAGCCCCAGTCAGGGGTTTATAGATAAAATCCCCATCTCCTTGGGACAGAGCACCTGGGGTAAGGGGCAGCTGTGGGCATAGATTCAGCAGACTTATATGTCCCTGCCTACCGGTTCTGAAGACAGCAGTGGATCTGCCAACACAGCGTTCGAGCTCTGCTAAGGGTCAGACTGCCTCTTCAAGTGGGTCTCTGACCCCCGAGTCTCCTGACTGGGAGACATCTCCCAGCAGGGGCTGACAGACACCTCATACAGGAGAGCTCTGGTTGGCATCTGGTGGGTGCCCTTCTGGGACGAAGCTTCCAGAGGAAGGAACAGGCAGGAATCTTTGCTGTTCTGCAGCCTCTGCTGGTGATACCCAGGCAAACAGAGTCTGCAGTGGACCTCCAGCAAACTCCAGCAGACCTGCAGCAGAGGGGCCTGACAGTTAGAAGGAAAACTAACAAAAAGGAAGAGCATCAGCATCAACTAAAAGGACATCCACTCAGAAACCGTGTCTGAAGGTCATCAACATCAAAGACCAAATGTGGATAAATACATGAAGATGGGGAGAAACCAGCACAAAAAGTCTGACAATTCCAAAAACCAGAATGCCTCTTCTCCTCCAAAGGATCACGACTTCTTGCCAGCAAGGGAACAAAACTGGACAGAGAATGAGTTTGATGAATTGACAGAAGTAGGCTTCAGAAGGTGGGTAATAACACACTCCTCTTAGCTAAAGGAACATGTTCTAACCCAACGCAAGGAAGCTAAGAACCTTGAAAAAAGGTTAGAGGAAAAAACAGAAGGTTAGAGGAATTGCTAACTAGAATAACCAGTTTAAAGAAGAACATAAATGACCTGATGGAGCTGAAAAACACAGCATGAGAACTCTATGAAGCATACACAAGTGTCAGTAGATGAATCGATCAAACAGAAGAAAGGATATCAGAGACTGAAGATCAACTTAATGAAATAAAGCATGAAGACAAGATTAGAGAAAAAAGAATGAAAAAGAATGAACAATGCCTCCAAGAATTATAGGACTATGTGAAAAGACCAAGCCTACATTTGATTGGTGTACCTGAAAGTGACAGGGAGAATGGAACCAAGTTGGAAAACATTCTTCAGGATATTATCCAGGAGAACTTCCCCAACCTAGCAAGACAGGCCAACATTCAAATTTAGGAAATACAGAGAACACCACAAAGATACTCCTCAAGAAGAGCAACCCCAAGACACATAATTATCAGATTCACCAAGGTTGAAAGGAAGAAATGTTAAGGGCAGCCAGAGAGAAACGTTGGGTTACCCACAAAGGGAAGCCCATCAGACTAACAGAGGATGTCTCTGCAGAAACCCTACAAGCCAGAAGAGAGTGGGGGCCAATATTCAACATTCTTAAAGAAAAGAATTTTCAAGCCAGAATTTCATATCCGGCCAAACTAAGCTTCAAGTGAAGGAGAAATAAAATCCTTTACAAACAAGCAAACGCTGAGAGATTTTTGTCACCACCAGGCCTGCCTTACAAGGGCCCTGAAGGAAGCACTGAACAGGGAAAGGAACGACCGGAAGCAGCCATGGCAAAAACATACCAAATTGTAAAGCCCATTGACACTATGAAGAAACTGCATCAACTAATGAGCAAAATAACCAGCTAACATCATAATGACAGGATCAAATTCACACATAACAATATTAACCTTAAATATAAACAAGCTAAATGCCCCAGTTAAAAGACATGAACTGGAAAATTGGATAGAGTCAAGACCCATCGGTATGCTGTATTTCAGGAGACCCATCTCATGTGCAAAGACACACATAGACTTAAAATAAAGGGATGGAGGAATATTTACCAAGCAAATGGGAAGCAAAAAAAAGCAGGCATTGCTATCCTGGTATCTGATAAAACAGACTTTAAGCCAACAAAGATCAAAAGAGACAAGGAGGGGATTACATTATGTAATGTAACAAGAAGAGCTAACTATCCTAAATATATATGCACCCAATACAGGAGCACCCAGATTCATAAAGCAAGTTCTTAGAGACCTACATAGAGACTTAGACTCCCACACAATAATAGTGGGAGATTTTAACCCCTCACTGTTAATATTAGACAGATCAACAAGACAGAAGGTTAACAAGGATATTCAGGACTTGAACGCAGCTCTGGACCAAGTGGACCTAACAGACATCTACAGAACTCTCCACCCCAAATCAACAGAATATACATTCTTCTCAGCACCACAATGCACTTATTCTAAAATTGACCACATAATTGGAAGTAAAACACTCGTCAGCAAATGCAAAAGAATGGAAATCATAACAAACAGTCTCTCAGATCACAGTGCGATCAAATTAGAACTCACGATTAAGAAACTCACTCAAAACCTGCACAACTACATGGAAACTGGACAACCTGCTCCTGAATGACTACTGGGTAAATAATGAAATTAAGGCAGAAAATAATAAGTTATTTGAAACCAATGAGAACAAAGACACAATGTACCAGAATCTCTGGGACACATTCAAAGCAGTGTTTAGAGGGAAATTTACAGTGCTAAATGCCCGTAAGAGAAAGCAGGAAAGATCTAAAATCGACAGTATAACACCACAATTAAAAGAACTAGAGAAGCAAGAGTGAACAAATTCAAAAGCTAGCAGAGAATGAGAAATAACTAAGATCAGAGCAGAACTGAAGGAGATAGAGACACGAAAAACCCTTCAAAAAATCAATGAATCCAGGAGCTGGTTTTTTGAAAAGATCAACAAGATAGGTAGACCGGTAGCCAGACTAATAAAGAAGAAAAGAGAGAAGAATCAAATAGGCACAATAAAAAATGATAAAGGGGATATAAGCACTGATCCCACAGAACTTCAAACTACCATTAGAGAATACTATAAACACCTCTATGCAAATAAACTAGAAAACCTAGAAGAAATGGATAAATTCCTGGACACATACACCTTCCCAAGATGAAAGGAAGAAGTTGAATCCCTGAATAGACCAATAACAAGTTCTGAAATTGAGGCAATAATTAATAGCCTACCAACCAAAAAAGTCCAGGAATGGACAGATTCACAGCCGAATTCTACCAGAGGTCCAAAGAGGAGCTGGTGCCATTCCTTCTGAAACTATTCCAAACAATAGAAAAAGAGGGAATCCTCTCTAACCCGTATTATGAGGCCAATATCATCCCGATGCCAAAACCTGGCAGAGACACAACAAAAAAAGAAAATTTCAGGCTAATCTCCCGGATGAACATCGATGAGAAAATCCTCAATAAAATACTGGCAAATTGAATCCAGCAGCACATAAAAAAAGCTATCCACCACGATCAAGTCAGCTTCATCCCTGGGATGAAAGGCGGGTTGAACATATGCAAATCAATAAATATAATCCATCACATAAACAGAACCAATGACAAAAACCACATGATAATCTCAATAGATGCAGAAAAGGCCTTTGATAAAATTCAACAGCCCTTCATGCTAAAAACTCTCAATAAACTAGGTATTGATGGAACATATCTCAAAATAATAAGAGCTATTTATGACAAGCCCACAGCCAATATCATATGAATGGGCAAAAGCTGGAAGCATTCCCTTTGAAAACTGGCACAAGACAAGGATGCCCTCTCTCACCACTCCTATTCAACACAGTATTGGAAGTTCTGGCCAGGGCAATCAGGCAAGAGAAAGAAATAAAGGGTATTCAAATAGGAAAAGAGGAAATCCAATTGTCTCTGTTTGCAGATGACATGATTGTATATTTAGAAAACACCATCAACTGACAAAGAAGTGTATTTATCTCTGTGGTTTACAATAACTTTACCCTTCACCTTTTATTTTTGGTGAAAAACCTGGTTAGTAAGCAATTTTAATTATGTTCCAGCTGTGGATCCTAGGACCCAGACAGAAGTGCAGATAAAGTCTGACTTTTCAGCTTCTAGCTCCATGAGTCCCAGGCCTTACCTATGTGTAAAGCAGGCAGTATATGACCTTGCAACATTTAGCAAACCTGGTATCTAAATTATATGATTTAGACAACCTATTTGCATTTTGATGACACTTGCCTTTTACTAATAATCCTTCAGACTATTTTTATTTCTTCAAGTCATGTGAACTAAAACATTTGATTGAAGCACTTATTTTTCTTTAAGCCAATCAATCAGAGCTCTTTTTATAGACATCACACACAGCACATATATAGCAACACTAAGAAACAGAAGATTCAGCACTTGTAAGATTTTTCACTTGGTAGTCTCTTAATTGGATTACTGGCTTTAGGGTGGAGCCCTTGAAGGAACAGGGCTATGTAGCATACCTAATAAACAGACGCAGCTGAAGGCAAAGGCAGATCCCTAAAATTAAGGGTGCCATTTTATACCTGATCTTGGGTCCCTAAAAGGAGGGAGATACTATGGGAGAAGACAGTGTAGTGGTTCTATCACGTATTTCACTGCAAGGGAACCCAAAGCCAATTGGCTTATTCTGTAATGAGCCCATTCCCCATGGGAGTCTCGTCTCTTAGTTGGGGGTGAGGATGTTGCCATATCTTTCAGGTGGCCAAGAGCACGCTTCTTTGATTATAACTACTATTAGCCATCCCTAACATTGAATTTTCTATCTAGTTATTACACACCGAAGCTCTCTCATAGTGTGAAGTAATTTGACACCCCCAAAACTCAAAATGGTAGATTACACAATACATAACAGAACAGAGCCTTTGATTTTGAGAAGTAACTGCTTTTAATTTTGGGGGTTTCATGAGGAAAACAGTTTTTTTTTTTTCCCCAAAATGGGGTCTGTGGTGCCTCCTCTGTTTTTCCCAAGGAGTCCCATGCTACCAGAAGTTATCTTAGGGCTTCTCATGCTTGCATTAAGAATGGTAAGATGAAAAATGGAGAAAAATAATTCAGTTGATTGAAAAGAAAAGAGCCTTTTTCCCAAAAAACAAGATTCAACAAGAGAAAAGCATAAAGACCTTTTCAATATACCTATAACTTGAACATATCCACTTTTAATTAAGCTGAGCACTTTTAAAGAAAATCCTTTTAAATTCCTTGTTACTTGAGATTGCTGCAAATGAGAGGTGCATGGTTCCAGCAGAGTCTATGAAGGGGAGTATTGAACAAGTCATCGGGGTCAGGCAACGATGTCCATGGATGGAAAGAATAAACTAAAATCTTGAGTCAATTGTGTAAAAAGGAGGGAGCCATAAAAAGCATCAATGATGAAAACAAAAAAACCCTGCATAGGTGTTAATCGTGGTAGGACTAATAAAAGTATACGCAAACAATCCTCTGTCAGAGATACACATGCTCCCCAATGGACTGTACAGATGACAAGGTGAATGTCAAGCCTGAGTGAGGATAAACTCTCATCCACAAAAAGGGTGGATGCTTCACAGACCTGTCTACTGCAAAAGAGGCCTCAGTCCTGAAGCCCATATTCATGGGTTTGCAGCCTCCAAGACCATGAGCTGGGTTTCCTTTTCCATTTATGTCAAAGAGAAATGGTGTATCTAGGTGTCCGTGTAGTTCTGCAAGTAGGTGATTTAGTGGATTTTGGCTGTGCTCTAAACTAGGAACTACTGGCAAACCATGACATATATGACAAATGGGACAAGATAATGGCAGTTTACATTGAGAACTACTATGTACCAGAACTTGGTATATTTTAAACACACACACACCCATGAACACACTCATTTGATCATCTATCAACCCAATGATGTAGGCACCATTAGTAGCCTACTTTGACAAATGAGAAAACTGGGGTTACATAAACTGAATAATTTTCCTAAGGTCCAGGAGCCCATAAATGAGGATCTGAACCCTCATAGCTGTAAACCTCACCACCAACCCTCCCCCTCCTTGGTGGCAGCAGGGCTGATTCAGGGACTCCGTCGTCATCCTGTGTGATGAAAGTGAGATCCACTGTTGCCCTCAGCTTGGACTCAACTAAATCTGTCAATGTGTCTTTGATGACAAAACCCGTAAGGTCCCCTTCCTTCTTAAAGGTTTTCCTGGCTGGATCTCAGCCCTGCTGTCTGTGAGAAACACCAGAGCAGTTTAAACAGTACAGAAAGGAGGGATTCACCCCAATGCTACTGAATCAAAATCGCCAGAGAGAGAAGCCTGTGGGGTCAGTATGTTTTAAAAGCTCCAAGTGATTTGACTACATAGCTGAGAATGGAAAGCTATGGCCTGGGCTGTGACTCCTCTCAAATGTAAGTTTATTTAAGAGAAAAATTTCTGGTGATTAAACTCACACCACATGAAGGCACGGCAATGGGAGGGAAGGCGGGTGTGTATTGCTTTGTCTGGGGGCTTCCTTCACTTTCCCTTAAAAATGGGATTGGCCCAGGCAGCACAGATAGGTTTGAAGTGGAAAACTTGAGCCTAGGGGTTAGGGGGAAGTGACCACCCACCCTGTTCCTCTGTCTCTTCCCTTCTATTATCTTCCCAGCCTAGAGCCCCACTGATGTATGATTGGCTCTGAACACTCCAAAAGCTCTTGAGAAAAAGAGTTAGGTTATTTAATCTTCAGATCAGCCCTAAGATAAGACGTGGGTGGCTACACATCACAGAAAGCTTGCTTTTTATAGATAGAAAATGTGAATCTTGGCCATATATATAACTGCACGTATAAACAAGATTCAGGTTTGGGAGTGAGGCAGGCTAGAGAACAGGTGCAGCAGATGTTTTTCCTCAGCATATCTTCTACAGGTGGGATGTATTCAACTATGTTTTCAGTACCTATGCAGTGAACATGGTGGTGATGGAAGGGGCTGAGGGGAAGGATTAGACTTTCCCAATGTGCAACTGAAACAAGCCTGCTTGTTGTCAGACATGCAGGGGGATCAAAGCAGGGTCTCCTTATGTCCCTGCTCTCCCATAAAGAGAACACAGCCTTCCAGCTTCCTGTGCCTTGTGAAGCCATAATTCACCTGTGCCCCTGCACTGCTACAAAGATAAAAAGAACTAATCAGCAAAAGCTCATAAGGAAATTGAGGATCCCAGGAACATTTCCAGATGTACCTGAACACTCACCTGGAGCACAGAGCAGAGTTCTCACAAGGCTGCTGTCTTGTGCTCCGCCCCACTCAGATGCAGAGATTCCTAAGGAGGTGACATTGATGGACGGCAGCAGCCCTGGCTTGGAAGGGCGGGCTGGGAGCCAGGCCTCATGACCTACCAGGTGCCCCGGTAGGTAGGACCAGCCAGGCTCCCTAGGTACAAATAGCCCTGGCCTCCATGACTACACAGGCTCCTGGAGTCGAATCCAAATCACTCATTGTGAAAGCTGAGCTCACAGCCGAATAAGCCACCATGAGGCTGTCAGTGTGTCTCCTGATGGTCTCGCTGGCCCTTTGCTGCTACCAGGGTGAGTACATCAGTCATGAGTCCAGCACCAGCCCCTGGGATGCACCCTCTTCTGAGCACAAGATCACCTATTTGTGCTTTGGGTTGGGGTCTGCACAAAACCAAACAAAATTCCAAACCCTTTTCTGTGCTTGTTGAATAAGATTCATAAAGGTTAGAGCTATTTCTTCTTTCTTCTTCCTTTTTTTTTTTTTTTTTTTGAGAAGTTTTGCTCTTGTTGCCCAGGCTGGAGTGCAGTGGCATGATCTTGGCTCACTGCAACCTCTGCCTCCGGGGTTCAAGTGATTCTCCTGCCTCAGCCTTCCTGAGCAGCTGGGATTACAGGCATGGGCCACCACAGCTGGCTAATTTTGTATTTTTAGTAGAGATGGGGTTTCTCCATGTTGGTCAGGCTGGTCTCGAACTCCCGACCTCAGATGATCTGCCCGCCTCGGCCTCCTAAAGTGCTGGGATAACAGGCATGAGCTACTGCGCCTGGCTGCTTAGAGCTATTTCTTCTAATCCCCAGTATCTAAGAAGTTTTATAGAAAAATCAGTTCAGGCAAATGTTAGGAATTCTTCTGCCTGAGCTTCACTTCTGAATGGGATCTGTGTCAGATGATGTAATGTGAGGTCTGGGGTGAACCTGGGCTTCGACACTTCCCACCCCTTGATCTTGGGCACAATGCTCACCCTCCTTGAGCCTCCTCTTATCACTGGTGGTTAAAGCTTCTGCCAGGAGTGGCTATGAGAATGAAGTAAGGTTATGGTTGTCAAGAGTCAAGCTGTGGGCCAGGCATGGTGTCTCATTCCTGTAATCTTAGCACTTTGGGAGGCCACAGTGGGCAGATCACTTGAGCTCAGGAGTTCAGCACCAGCCTGGGCAACATGGCGAAACCCCATCTCTACAAAAAAAAAAAACAAAACAAAACACACACACACACACACACACACACACACACACACAAAAGCGGGCATGGTGGCAGGCACTGGTAGTCTCAGCTACTTTGGGGGCTGAGGGAGGATCGCTTGAGCCCAAGACATTCAGGCTGCAGTGAGCCGAGATTGTGCCACTGCATTCCAGTCTGGGTGAACCTATCTCAAAAAAAAGAAAAAGAAGTCTAGCTGAGGATATGAAGCTCTTCCCTTTGTTGTGTGACCCGGAGAAAGTCACACCTGGAGTTTCTGGTATTGTCATCAGCACAATAATGGTATAGAAACATAGAACCCAGGGGATCCTGTCTGGTGTAACCTCAGGGAGCCATGAGAGAAAAATCGACTTTCCTAACATCAACAATATTTTTATTTTTGTGCTGCAGCCCATGCTCTTGTCTGCCCAGCTGTTGCTTCTGAGATCACAGTCTTCTTATTCTTAAGTGACGCTGCGGTAAACCTCCAAGTTGCCAAACTTAATCCACCTCCAGAAGCTCTTGCAGCCAAGTTGGAAGTGAAGCACTGCACCGATCAGATATCTTTTAAGAAACGACTCTCATTGAAAAAGTCCTGGTAATTTCTTTCTCCTTTATGCAGAGGCAGAATTCAACTCAGCTGCACACAGCCTCCTGCATGTTTCTTGTCAGGTCACCTGCCTGGATGCTGTGTCCCCAGAGTGTGCTGAGGACATGGGGAGTGAGCTAGGGCCAAGGCAGGGATGGTGAAGGGCCAAGCACGGCCGCCTCCCTGCTGGGATCTTTCCTGAGGTCAACCTACCCTCACGCAGTGGACACGGTCACTATGGGATGTCCCAGGGAGTGTGGGAGATTTGAACAGGGAGAGGAGGCTTGAGGGGACCTAGAGCTGGGCCTCCCACAGACAGGGTGCTGGTGAACTGGGCTCCTGTGCAGCTTCTGCAGAGCCAGGAGCCCCTTGCAGCTCCTCAGGGCCCACTATCCACTCCTCATCCATGACACTCTCCTGACCACAGCCAGTGGGCCAAGACTTTTTCGCTGCTCTACCTACTGCAACGCCACACAAGTGGGATGTTCTCACTATGTCTTTCTCAAGAAATCAGAGATTCCAGGGCCCTCTCAGCCTGGCTGCCTCTGGATTGTTGTCCTGAGGTTTGGCTGCAAATACCCATAGAAGCTGCAGGGTCAGGGCTGATAAGACCCCTGGCCGTTAGGCAGAATTCTCCCATGGGAAGACTGGAGTCTCCTGGAAGGTGTGTTTCCCAGAAGCCCTCCCTGCCCTGCCTGGCTTCAGAGCCCTGGGTCCCCCATTACAGGGATCAGGAGACTCCACAGACCTGGGACAGCCCAGACAACAACCTCTTGCTGCACTGTCAACCCCTCCCCTCCTCCTCCATGAAAACCCTGGGCCTAACTCCTGGGTCTTCCCAGGTCTATTGGTCTGGTGGGGAAAGGCTGCTTTCTCACCAGAATGGGTGTTGTAAGGCCACCAGGTCTAGGCCTCAGTTTCCCAAACTGAATTCTTGCCTCTGCCTTTCCAATTGCCATTGGGGCAAAATCCCATTGGCCTCTTTGATGTTAGCCTATCATCACCAGCAGCAGCATGACTGACCTCACCTTTCTTTCTTTCTTTCTTTTTTTTGATTTCAGGTGGAAATAGTGAAAAAATGTGGTGTGTGACATGTAAAAATGCTCAACCTGGTTTCCAAAGTCTTTCAACGACACCCTGATCTTCACTAAAAATTGTAAAGGTTTCAACACGTTGCTTTAATAAATCACTTGCCCTGCACATCTCCACTGGTCTTGTTATGATCCTGCAGTCTCGGGCCTTGAATCGAGGGTGGTTTCCATAGGGGAGTGGACTTTTGCTGTGGCTGATAATCAACTCTAGAGTAACCAGCATTCTGTTACTAATGGGGCCTGAATGCAAGCATCCCAGAAGGAAATATTTGCAGAAATCATCCTGGATTCCTTACAGATTTCCCATCCTGCGTTCGCGAATGAAAACCATGGCAATAGAAAACAGCAATTACAGTGGTCCTGCTGGTCTTGGACTGAGGGATCTCCCAGCCTGCCTTGGTGTCCAGGCACGTGGTTCCCACTAGCAGCAGCCCTAGCCCTAGTTTGTTGTCCCCTCAGATGCACAGCCAGCCTGCTTGGTGCTCTCTCTGCACCAAGTCATGTCCAGTATACTTTATTTTCCATTTATCACAATTTGAGGGCATCTCCAGGTTTCAACCTGGAGTTCACATTGTTTTACTCCCCACACTCAGAGCACTCCTCAGTGTCCGCCTCACTCACCAGCACCTGAGGCAAATGCTTCCTTCCTCAAGCTCTCTCAAGAGCTCCAGAGACCAGCACCCCTTGCCAACTGGACAGCTCCCAGTGCACACTCCACAGTCATTTCAGGAGCAGGATGTAAAACTGAGCACAGGGTCTGCCCCCAGCCTGCTCTCCCTTCCATAAGCCCATCCAGGCTAATGCACCCAACCTAGCAAGCCCCCTGACCAGGACATAGGGAGACGCCACAGGTTCCTGGCTTGGTGTCCTGTGGCTGCTGCAAGAAACCTCCGAAAGCTTGGTGGCTTAAAACAACGGATTCTCTTGTACCTCTGAAGGTCAGAAGCCCAACACTGGTATCACTGTGGGGAGGTCAGGGGGCAGCAGGGCTCTGTTCCTTCTGGGGGCTCTCCGGGCGAGTTCACTAAGGGCTGCTGACCATGCTGGTCCTGTGGCCACATCACTCCAACCTCTGCCTCCATGATACATTCCCATCTCCTTTCCTTTCCGTGTCAAATCCCTCTCTGACTTTTAATTACAAAATACAGAGGTTGGGGTTAGGAAGCACCAGATTATTCAGAATAATGTCCCTATCTCAAGATCCTTAACTGAATCATGTCTACATAATGCTTTTTCATCTTGCAATGGGCCATTCACAGATTCCAGGGATTAGAATGTGTATATCTTTTGGGAGATGGAGGCATAAATCAGCCAACTACAGCTTCCCTCCCTCCTGACTCCTCACCGTACCCTAAGTTCTGTTTACTCCATGGCCACAGTGTCACCTCCACGAGTCCCTTCCTTTCCATCACACAGCCACCTAACAGTCTTATCCGAGTCCTTCCAAACTCAACTCAGATTAATGTCTCCTAAATTGTCTCCCAGCCTCTGTGAGCCCTTCCTGTGATAAACCCTCCTTGTTCATGCCAATGCGAGCCTCCCAAAACTGAAACATGGTCCTATCCTCCAACAACCCTAAATGACCAGAGGGCACATGTTCTCAAGGGTTTCAAGTAAGAGAAGTCATTTTTTACCTAAACTCATATTTATATAATAATAGCTATTATTATACAACTGAGAAAATAGTAGATAACAGTAGTTATTATTATACATTGCTTTTAAAAGAAATTTGTATTTTAATAACACCAGAAAATATTGACACTTAAAAAAATAGAACCCAAGTGTGTGAAACTCATGACCAGTTTAGCCTACACATTGCGCATGGACAGACACAAGGATTCACAGACAGACACAAGGATTCCCAGAGCTCAGGCTACATTCTGAGAACCCCAGAGAGGAACCACTGCTGGAGAAACACATCCACAGCCTTGTGTTCCACATGAGGACTTCCAAGACCCTGCTCCTGGGAGCCCTGTCTCCTCATCTTCTGTTTTCCTGGGTGCTCTGTCCTCAGCCGTAGTTGTTGTATCTCATTTCTTATACATCACATGAGTCACATCCTTGCACCAGGCCATATAGGTTTTCCTTTGCCTTTATAGACTTACCTGCCTCTGACATTTGACCATCCCCAACCATAGAATGCACTTCACATGTCTCCTTCTCTGTAAGGCCCCCATGGATGCCCACACCTTACATTACATCTTTATACACACATGCACCCACATGCATAGACATCCTTTTTAATCATTCACTTATTTTCCTGTGAAATAGAATGCATGTCATAGCATTGTTGTGAGAACACATTAGATAAATTAATACTATAAAGCACTCAACATATCTTAGAAATTATTACTCAAATGCTTACAATTGATAAAAATTTCTATTTATTGAACACCCCAGTATGCATTTTGCTGGAACATTTTTCCTTTGTTTTTTAGTCCTCACTAGTACCCAGGAAGGTCCAAGATTGTTTCCACTAATGAACATGAGAATGAGAAATGCTTACCCAGGGCGCCTTAATCCTGGCTCTGTTTTGGAATCCACTGGGAAGCTGTCAAAAGCAGGTGATGCCCAGGCTCTGTCTGGAACACACGAATCTGTGTATAAGTAGACCCCATGCAGTCCTCATTCTCTTACCTCTCTCTTCTATAGGTGCAGTCATCCAGTGACCTGGGGAGGCAGTAGCTGGCACAGGAGTCCCCCATGATACTCACAGGACTCCTGACATCAGCAGGGCTGTCACTTAGGGCTGCTGCCTTAGCTACTTCCATAGCCTTTGAAGCCTGGGGGTCGCAAGGTGCTCACTCTTCTCAACGTTCAAAGCTGATCACATTCATGTCACATACGGTAACATTTTCCTTCCAGAGATGCTGTTAAAAGAGTGTGAAGTGGGATCCAGCAAGACCGCTCAGGCTGGGACAGGGAGAAGAGGGTATCAAAGTCATTGTTAAGAAGTACAGGGTTTCTGTTTGGAATGAGAATTTCCTAGAAATGTATAGTGCGACAACATCAAGAATACACTGAAGGCCACATAATTGTACACTTAAAAATGATTGAAATGAAAAGTTTCATGAAATGACAATACAATAAAAGAATGCAAGGACTGCTGCTCTCTGAGGGGGAGGAGGAATGTAACTGCAGGGGAGCTGGGCTTGTATTTTACCCCTAGAAACGCCTTCCTAGACCTGCCAGCATCTCATAGTCAGCTTTCTTGGTGTTCATGTGCTCATTGATTGACATCCTGGATGTCTTCTTTGCTAATGATATTACTAATTTTGAAGAACATCTAGTTCAAAAACCTGAGAATGAGGTTTACCAAGTGTGTAGGATTGACTCATGCAGGGTCTCTTGACTTTATTTCTTCAGGCATCTCTCATGACCACTGAGCTAAGTGGAGTCTCATAATTTGCTCTCTGGACAAATATTATTGGTCTCTGCCTAGGCACTTTTTCTCCAGTGTCTTCTCCCCATGATCCATCTTACACTTTATGACAAGCTCAGTATTCTGAATCCAAAGTTTTGATTTAGTCATCGCTTATTTATTTATTTATTTATCTATTTATTTATTATACTTTAAGTTCTAGGGTACATGTGCACAATGTGCAGGTTTGTTATGTATGTATACATGTGCCATGTTGGTGTGCTGCACCCATTAACTCGTCATTTGGCATTAGGCATATCTCCTAATGCTATCACTCCCCTCTCCCGCCACCCCACAACAGGCCCCAGTGTGTGATGCTCCCCTTCCTGTGTCCATGTGTTCTCATTGTTCAATTCCCTCCTATGAGTGAGAGCATGTGGTGTTTGGTTTTTTGTTCTTGCGATAGTTTGCTGAGAATGATGGCTTCCAGCTTCATCCATGTCCCTACAAAGGACATGAGCTCATCATTTTTTATGGCTGCATAGTATTCCATGGTGTATATGTGCCACATTTTCTTAATCCAATCTATCATTGTTGGACATTTGGGTTGGTTCCAAGTCTTTGCTATTGTGAATAGTGCTGCAATAAACATACATGTGCATGTGTCTTTATAGCAGCATGATTTATAATCCTTTGGGCATATACCCAGTATTGGGATGGCTGGGTCAAATGGTATTTCTAGTTCTAGATCCCTGAGGAATCGCCACACTGACTTCCACAATGGTTGAACTAGTTTACAGTCCCACCAACAGTGTAAAAGTGTTCCTATTTCTGCACATCCTCTCCAGCACCTGTTGTTTCCTGACTTTTTAATGATGGCCATTCTAACTGGTGTGGGATGGTATCTCATTTTGGTTTTGATTTGCATTTCTCTGATGGCCAGTGATGATGAGCATTTTTTCATGTGTCTGTTGGCTGCATAAATGTCTTCTTTTGAGAAGTGTCTGTTCATATCCTTTGCCCACTTGTTGATGGGGTTGTTTGTTTTCTTCTTGCAAATTTGTTGGAGTTCACTGTAGATTCTGGATATTAGCCCTTTGTCAGATGAGTAGATTACAAAAATTTTCTCCCACTCTGTAGGTTGCCTGTTCACTCTGATGGTAGTTTCTTTTGCTGTGCAGAAGCTCTTTAGTTTAATTAGATCCCATTTGTCAATTTTGGCTTTTGTTGCCATTGCTTTTGGTGTTTTAGACATGAAGTCCTTGCCCATGCCTATGTCCTGAATGGTATTGCCTAGGTTTTCTTCTAGGGTTTTTACAGTTTTAGGTCTAACATTTAAGTCTTTAATCCATCTTGAATTAATTTTTGTATAAGGTGTAAGGAAGGGATCCAGTTTCAGCTTTCTACATATGGCTAGCCAGTTTTCCCAGCACCATTTATTAAATAGGGAATCCTTTCCCCATTGCTTGTTTTTGTCAGGTTTGTCAAAGATCAGATAGTTGTAGATATGTGGTATTATTTCTGAGGGCTGTGTTCTGTTCCATTGGTCTATATCTCTGTTTTGGTACCAGTACCATGCTGTTTTGGTTACCGTAGCCTTGTAGTATAGTTTGAAGTCAGGTAGTGTGATGCCTCCAGCTTTGTTCTTTTGGCTTAGGATTGACTTGGCAATGCAGGCTCTTTTTTGGTTCCAAATGAAATTTAAAGTAGTTTTTTCCAATTGTGTGAAGAAAGTCATTGGTAGCTTGATGGGGATGGCATTGAATCTATAAATTACCTTGGGCAGTATGGCCATTTTCACGATATTGATTCTTCCTACCCATGAGGATGGAATGTTCTTCCATTTGTTTGTATCCTCTTTTATTTCATTGAGCAGTGGTTTGTAGTTCTCCTTGAAGAGGTCCTTCACATCCCTTGTAAGTTGGATTCCTAGGTATTTTACTCTCTTTGAAGCAATTGTGAATGGGAGTTCACTCATGATTTGGCTCTCTGTCTGTTATTGGTATATAAGAATGCTTGTTATTTTTGCACATTGATTTTGTATCCTGAGACTTTGTTGAAGTTGCCTATCAGCTTAAGGAGATTTTGGGCTGAGACGATGGGGTTTTCTAGATATACAATCATGTCATCTGCAAACAGGGACAATTTGACTTCCTCTTTTCCTAATTGAATACCCTTTATTTCCTTCTCCTGCCTGAATGCCCTGGCCAGAACTTCCGACACTATGTTGAATAGGAGTGGTGAGAGAGGGCATCCCTGTCTTGTGCCAGTTTTCAAAGGGAATGCTTCCAGTTTTAGTCCATTCAGTATGATATTGGCTGTGTGTTTGTCATAGATAGCTCTTATTATTTTATATACGTCCCATCAATACCTAATTTATTCAGAGTCTTTAGCATGAAGAGTTGTTGAATTTTGTCAAAGGCCTTTTCTGCATCTATTGAGATAATCATGTGGTTTTTGTCTTTGGTTCTGTTTATATGCTGGATTACATTTATTGATTTGCATATGTTGAACCAGCCTTGCATCCCAGGGATGAAGCCCACTTGATCGTGGTGCATAAGCTTTTTGATGTGCTGCTGGATTCGGCTTGCCAGTATTTTATTGAGGATTTTTGCATTGATGTTCATCAGGGATATTGGCCTAAAATTCTCTTTTTTTGTTGTGTCTCTGCCAGGCTTTGCTATCAGGATGATGCTGGCCTCATAAAATGAGTTAGGGAGGATTCCCTCCATTTCTATTGATTGGAATAGTTTCAGAAGGAATGGTACCAGCTCCTCCTTTTACCTCTGGTAGAATTCAGCTGTGAATCCATCTGGTCCTGGACTTTTTTTGGTTGGCAAGCTATTAATTATTGCCTCAATTTCACAGCCTGTTATTGGTCTCTTCAGAGATTCAACTTCTTCCTGGTTTAGTCTTGGGAGGGTGTATGTGTCCAGGAATTTATCCATGTCTTCTAGATTTTCTGGTTTATTTGAGTAGAGGTGTTTATAGTATTCTCTGATGGTAGTTTGTATTTCTGTGGGCTCGATGGTGATATCCCCTTTATCATTTTTTATTGCGTATATTTGATTCTTCTCTCTTTTCTTCTTTATTAGTCTTTCTAGCGGTCTATCGATTTTGTTGATCTTTTCAAAAAACCAGCTCCTGGATTTATTGATTTTTTGAAGGGTTTTTTGTGTCTCTATTTCCTTCAGTTCTGCTCTGATCTTAGTTGTTTCTTGCCTTCTGCTAGCTTTTGAATGTGTTTGCTCTTGCTTCTCTAGTTCTTTTAATTGTGATGTTAGGGTGTCAATTTTAGATCTTTCCTGCTTTCTCTAGTGGGCATTTAGTGCTGTAAATTTCCCTCTACACACTGCTTTGAATGTGTCCCAGAGATTCTGGTATGTTGTGTGTTTGTTCTCGTTGGTTTCAAAGAACATCTTTATTTCTGCCTTCATTTCGTTATGTACCCAGTAGTCATTTAGGAGTAGGTTGTTCAGTTTCCATGTAGTTGAGCGGTTTTGAGTGAGTTTCTTAATCCTGAGTTCTAGTTTGATTGCACTGTGGTCTGAGAGACACTTTGTTATAATTTCTGTTCTTTTACATTTGCTGACGAGTGTTTTACTTCCAACTCTGTGGTCAATTTTGGAATAGGTGTGTTGTGGTGCTGAAAACAATGTACATTCTGTTGATTTGGGGTGGAGAGTTCTGTAGATGTCTATTAGGTCCACTTGGTGCAGAGTTGAGTTCAGTTCCTGGATATCCTTGTTAACTTTCTGTCTAGTTGATCTGTCTAATGTTGACAGTGGGGTGTTAAAGTCTCCAATTATTATTGTGGGGGAGTCTAAGTCTCTTTGTATGTCTCTAAGGACTTGCTTTATGAATCTGGGTGCTGCTGTATTGAATGCATATATACTTAGGAGGGTTAGCTCCTCTTGTTGAATTGATCCCTTTACCATTATGTAATGGCCTTCTTTGTCTCTTTTGATCTTTGTTGGTTTAAAGTCTGTTTTATCAGAGACTAGGATTGCAACCCCTGCCTTTTTTTGTTTTCCATTTGCTTGGTAGATCTTCCTCCATCTCTTTATTTTGAGCCTATGCGGCTGTTGTTGTGTATTTGTGTGTTTCTGTTTTTGTTGTTGTTTTGGTATTTTTCCCATTGGGTTTAGCCAACTCTATTAGACTTGATCAAATCCAAATGAAAGTTCCAAATCACAAAAAAAAAAAAAACGGTCTCTGAATTGGCTAAATTCCTGCAGCTGAAAGAACAAAAAAGATCAGCCAAATGGGAGAAAAAGAAAAAAAAACTTGATTTTGACTACTTGAGGGTCTTTATTTACAGAACAAGGACAACTTTTTGCTTGCCAAGCCAAACTGAGAAAGCAATGGCCATCCCCCAGGCTTAGCTCAGTAGCTAAGATAGCTAAGGTTCTGCCCCTTTTTTTTTTCACCATGAGAACCTGGCTTTGGTTCCTAAATCAAGTTTTTTTCTGGTTTGATATTTGTGGTACCTTTAAGCTATCACTGTGAAAGGAAAATAACTCTTGAGACTCCCAAATCACTAAACTAAAGGAAAAGGTCAAGCTGGGAACTGCGTAGGGCAAGCCCTGCCTCCCATTCTATTCAAAGTTATCCCTCTGAGTCTCACCTGAGACAAATGCATGTCTGATTTCTTCCTCTACCCTATCATTTATGTAAAAATGCAGGTTTACTGAGCCATACTAAATTGTGTATTCAGTAGAAGGCTAATCAAGGACTCAAAAGAATGCAACCTTTTGTCTCTTATCTACTTCTAACCAGAAAGCCCCAACTTCCAGTTGTCACACATTATTGGACTGAGCCAATGTACATCTTACACATACTGATGGATGTCTTATGTCTCCCTAAAATGTATATAAGCAAACCATACCCCCAACAACCTTGGGCACATGTCTCAGGACTCCTTGAGGGTGTGTCATGGGTGCATCCTTAACCTTGGCAAAATAAACTTTCTAAATTAACTAAGACCTGTCTCAGATATTTTGCATTCAGAATTGGTAACAACAAAGGGATTCTGAGTGGAGGTATCTCTGAGCTTTGACAAAGTTCCTATGGGTGTGTGGTACCAGCTTGAGCTTCTTTATGGCTCAAACCAATAGGAAAATTTGCTGAGGCCTGGAAGCTCTCCCTCTGGAGAATCCCTGATCTCCCAAAATTTGGTTGAGATCTAAAGTTTAACTCCTTTTATTTTTTGGAGTTTTACTTTCTTCCAACAGGGAAGGCAAGTTTTTCTGCTTCCATGATGATTTCAAACAGGTAATTCCTTTCTGGACTTTGAGCTCACTTTCAACAAGGAAGAGAGTTTGAGTTTTTTCTGCACCTCAGATGGTAGAGAGCAGTCTTCAGCCTGAGATCCATCCCTAGATAAGTAGCTGAATTGGAATTTTGTCTTGGCTAAAGTTAAGATTAACAACCAGCTGGTCTTAATTTCTCCTTACCATTAGAGAGCTCAGTAATCATATAAACTGTGCAATAATCTGCTTGTTTTGCTTAACCATTTCTTTGTTGTTTGTTTGTTTCCATTTTTCTTGTTGTTTCTTTTTCCCATTGAGTTTGACCAACTTTATCTGACTTGATCAAATCCAAAGGAAAGTTTCAATTTATGAGAACAAGGCTTCTAAAGTTACTAAATTCCTGCAAAAAACAAAAAAAAAATTGGGGGAGATTTTTTATTTTGAATACTTGAGGGGCTTTATTTACATAATAAGGCCACCTTTTTGCTAGCCAGGCCAAACTGAAAGAGCATTGGCTGTCACCCCATGCTGCAGTTCCATAGCTAAAGTTCTGTCGTCTTTTTTTCTTCACCACGACAAGCAGGGTTTGGTTCCTATATCAAGCCGTTTCTAATTTCATGCTTATTACTTCTGAAATATCAGCATTTTTTCCTACCTAAAATATAGATTCGATTTTTAAATATTTTTCGAAGGAGCTCAATGGATAAAGGTCAGTTTAATTAACATCCAAAATGTGTACGTGTACATGTGTGTGTTTTATTCAATGTTCTTTACGTTATCTTTTTTTCTCCTAGGACCTTTTCTTTTCTGAGCAAAAGTTTTTCTTTTCTTCTTGAGAGGAGAGAAAGACCCTCTCACTTTGTTTTATATTGTTTCATATTCAGTAAAAACAACAACGAAGTAAAACCAAAGACAGGCAGCCCAGCGCCAGGCCTGAAACCAGGCCTGGGCCCGCCTGGCCTAAACCCAGTAGTTAAAAATCAACTTATGATTTAGAAGCCGATGTTATTCATAGATTCCTTACATTGTATAGAAGAACATTGTGAAACTCCCTGTCCTGTTCTGTTCCTCCCTGACCACTGGTGCATGCAGCCCCTGTCACATACCTCTTGTTTGCTCAAATCAATCACGACACTTTCATGTGAAATCTTTAGTGTTGTGAGCCCTTAAAAGGGACAGAAATTATGCACTCAGGGAGCTTGGATTTTAAGGCAGTAGCTTGCTGATGCTCCCAGCTGAATAAAGCCCTACCTTCTACAACTCGGTGTCTGAGAGGTTTTATCTGTGGCTCGTCCTGCTACATTCTCAATTGACTAAATTCTGTTTTCTTCATTTACTTCTGCTGTCTTTCCTTTCTCATTACACTCTCTGCTGCATGAGGAACCTAAAATAGTTTATAATAGCCTGGGATTCCTGAAAACAAAACAAAACAAGAAAACAGAGAAGTCACCAGACACACCTTTGGAGAGAAACCTCTGTTTTTCTTTATGAAACCATAAAAGTGTAAACAAACAAGTTTCTCTCAGATCTTAACTGCTTGCTTTTGTATCATGTTGCCTGATTTTTTGACTAAAATAGTTTTTATAACAGAGGCTACTCTTGGTGTTGGGAATAACACTCAAAATCCTAAGGAGATTGAACACTCAAAGAAAGGATTCTTAGCAAAGTAATTTTACTTCTGTGCAGAGGGGTGCTTCTCCTTGGCCAGTCACCATGACAGCACACCTGAACGCAAGGGCAGGAGAGTCTTTATTCCTGATGCAAGTCCTGCCTCTGTACCCTTTCCCCATTGGCTGGGGTCGGGTCACACAATCTGAACTAATCCCGCTTGGCTAGACATTTGAAATTTCTTTAGATAAGGTGGGCACGAAGAGAAGAGAGGGGAAAAGGGGAAGGGGTGTCTGCAATGAGCTAGAGAGATAGTCTTCTTTCCAAATAATGAAAGGAAAATGCCTGGTACTGTGGCGTGTCCGGGCATGTAACAAAGGCAGAAAGGAAAAAAAGAGAAAAAGGAAAAAGGGGTGGTGTTTGTGGGGTACTATGAATTAAATAATAAAGGATCGATCAGGCTATTTGAAGAGAAACCTCATCACATCCCAAACTTAGGTTTTTAAGGAAGAGTGTAATTTAGACACTTAGAAATGTCTTTGTTTACAGAAATCCTCTTTCAAGTGCACTGTAAAAACACCATATGGTCTAGCCTCATAATAATTCTCCCATTTTAAAGACCCAGGATGAATCCTGAAGCATAGGCTCTGCTCAGAGCTCAGAGATCCAGTTAAGAGATAGGTAGTCCCTCTCTAAATAAAATTGGTCTTCTTACACAATCCTTTGGTAGAGTTCTATCATTTCATGTTTAATTTGGCATCCATTTTTAATCTCCCTGTAGCACCACCAGACTCTATCTGTACTTTGAGATGTAAATTTTGTTATCTGATTTTTCACCTCAGAATTTCTTTAACATGCAAATTTAGGGCTATCTCACTGACAATTGTCTAGGGTAATAAAATCAGTTATTAAGAAATTGGAAGTCTAAAATAAAAGAATTCATAGAGGTCTATGAATCTATAAGATCTACTTATATCTATGTGTCTAATATGCCTATGTACTTACATGTTATGTATATGTTTCACTACTAAAAATATATAAAAGAGCTCTAATTGATTGGCTTTAAAAAATCACTTAAATCAAATACTTTATTGGAATATAGAGACTTTAAGCCAAACTCTCTTTCAAGTTCAAGTGATTTAAGTAAATATTTAATAAGTAAGCGGATTTTAAAAAATTAGGTGAAATACAAAACAGTGAAGTCCTTAGTTATTGGCAAAGAAAAATCACAAAAACCCCACTTATCTAAACTTAACGTTCTTACTTAGAAAAGCCTGAAATTCACAGGCTATCAAAATGGTTAGCAAGGAAATAACTTCAAATAACTATCAGAGTTTTCATAAGTAATCTGGGTAAACTATTTTAAAAATTAATGAATTAGGTAACTATAATGGAATGGATGCTTGTAGATAATCTTGTCATATAATTTATAATCTAAAGTTTTACTAAGCTAAACAAGAAATATGCATTAAATGGGTCATTTCTAATTTTTTTAATTATAGAAAAACATTTTTCTTAAAAATACATATGTGTTCTTACTAGAAAGAAAATATTTTACTAATTCAGATTTACATAAAAGTTATTTGTTAAATTAGATAAAGGCAATTAGTGAATTAGAACAATGTAAAGAAAGTTATAATGAGGTAGTTTTGATAAGAAAAATTGAAAGGAAAATAATTTTATATGAGAAAGAATCTTAAGTGGCAGAATTTTGCCCTCAAATAAATTAATGATTTAAGAAAGAGTAATGTCTAGGATAAAACAGGAAGTCCAAGCATGTCATAAGTGATTTGTATCAAGTTGTCTATAATTAAAGGGAAATTATTTATAATAGTTGTTCTAGAGTTCAGGCATTGCTAAAAACAAAAACTAAAACATACACTGAAGTATTGGTTAGAACAGGGCTTTGGCTCTTCAGTCTAAAAAGGACAGCAAGTCCTGCTAAATCTTACACACTGATCACTTAAATTAAACCCTCATCTTCAGACCCCATAGAAGATGCCAATCAAAATAAACTGCATTTGTGAGACACAGGGCCAGAAATTTCTACAGTTTGGATCTAAATCTTGAAAATAAATATTAATTTGAGGGCCCCCAAATTTATTTTCCTCTCACATTTCCCTCCTTTTCTTTTAAAAATCTTTCAGAGAAAGCATTTTAGAAGAAAATGAGTATCTGATCTCGGGAGTCATCTGATCTCTCATGGCTAGGACAATTTATTCCTCAATGGGTAGGTCTACATTATTAGGAAAGCCCATTTTTTAGAAGGTTGTGAGGTCTCATGCCCTACAAACATAAAATAGGAAGAAGAAGGGAGGAAAATAACAACAAACAAAAGAACAATATGGAAAAATCAATATAGACCATATTACTTTGAAATCCATACATCAGGAGGCAGGTAGGAAAGTGGTATGTAAATAGGTTGCTGTTATTTTCTTCTGAAGTTGAAGTTGTCTAGCTTCAGTTTGCAAGGCTTTGAGAAAGCACAGCCTAGTTTTCCATGTCAGATTTTAAAACATGGGTGGAAAAAAGAAAAGAAGGAAAGAAAAAATTGAAAACATTACTTTGGAGACGTGTAGCCAGGAAAAACTAGAATTTAGTCCAAACTGTAGAAAATAATAAAAATTGAAAAATATAAGGCAAGACTAGAATCTAACAACAGGTGCACTGTAGTTTTTTGAAACATAATTTTTCTCTCTTCAGTCTCCCATTTTTATTAAAAACAAATTATAATGGGGCCAATTTGTTTGAAAAAATAAACTTTAGTAACATACTTGGCCTAATGATTTGTTTAAAGCAGAGCAACAATAATTAATTTTCACATAGGCTTTTTAAATTGGCTTTAATGAAGTGCTGTTCCATAAGGAATCTCCAATAAGACTTTTTTAAAGCTGAGCCTAGCCATGGATTTGTACCGTCAAATATCAATGAGCTAGGTAAATTTCTCCTCTCTTGAGGTCAAAAGATAACTTGGGGCTCCTGGGCCAATCAGAAAGTGACACTCTATACTTACCACTGGTCAGGAACCCTGCAGAGAAACTGTGTAGACAAGGTTCAAGGCCAGTTTTCCCCAGGGGGTTTTATTGGCACTATAAGTAAAGTTTGATTACTTAAAGTAAAGCACACCATTTTAGTCAAAGCCTTGGTAAAATAAACAGTTGGTCTGATGGTTTCCTGTTGCAAAAGAAAACAGATTATTATTGCACTTATGAAAATAACTATATTGCCGTAAGTTAAGAATACTCACAAATTCTGGAGAAATCAGGTAGAGAGAAACAAATATGCTCCAAATTTTTTTCACGGGAGTATACTTTACTTAATTGCTACAAGCTGTAAATAGCTCAAAAGAAAAGCTTCTTCACTCTGAAAAACAAAACAAAGGAGTAGCAATGTTTTAAGCAAAAACGTCAAAAGATTATTTCAGTCTCCTATTAGTTCAGTCCATGCAGTTAACTCCTGTTCTGCATGATATTCATGAACATTCCAGCTCTCCATGAGAGTTCTGAGAGTTTTTCCTCTTTCAAATGTCACAATCTTGACAATTAACAGAAGCCTGCATTAGAAAATACCTGTTAGAGTTTTATAGCTGATTATAAAACCACCTTATAAAGAGGACCAAAACAACAATTGACTGTGAATGACAAAAAGTTTCAGGGTAGCCATAGTCAAAGACACAATTGACAACGAAATGTTACCTCTGTTGCAAACAATAATTTAACATAACAATTATAATTATTACTGGTAATGTACACTAAGTCCTAGCAGAATTATAGGAGTTTCACATAATTTTGGAACACATACCAATAAAATATTTATAGAAATATAGCCCAAAAAAGCCTAACAACATTCCATATTTGATAATGCTTCCTGTGTGATTTTTATATCCCATAAGCCAAATATGTCATTTTTGGACTTTAGGAAACCTAATATCTTCAAGAATTAATTAGGCCAGAAAAAGACATAATTTATTATTTGATTTTGGAAAGCTTGTTGAATATCAAAGGTTTAAGCACTTTTTGGAAAATGGGATCACAGGTCATTGTAAAATAAATATTCGTTTAACCAAAGGAATAACTCAAGGATTTCAAAAAAGGTAAAAACCATTATTTGAGAAAGGAGACATAACTTTCCAAACAATAAACTCTAATAAAAACAGCATGAAGCCTATTAAATTTGTTTTTTAAAATTTTATAATCTATAAAGTGTAATCATCTTGACCATAAGATATAATTTCCATAAGCCTTTTCTGACCTTTACCATGGAGTTTGTTAATGCTTCAAGAAAATCTCATTATTCTGACACAGGGGTCCATAGGCTGGTTTTGCATTAGTGTGCCTTTGACAATAATGGTTAATTCATAGAGAAACAACTTATTTATCTCTCCAAATCAGCCCTTACAATCTCAAATGCCCACCTCTTTCATAACAGTTCCCAGGCCTTGACTAGGGCCTTGAATAGATTTAATTTCTGGCCCTGGGCCTCATGAACACAGTTTACTTTGATTGGCATCTTCTATGGGGTCTGAAGATGAGGCTTTAAGTGCTGTGAGTGTTAAGATTTAGCAGGACTTGGTGTCCTTTTAGACTCATGAGTCAAAGTCCTGTAACTTAATGACACAATGACTTTACAAACACATACAGAAAGTTACAGGGATGTAGTACCCTGAATTTAAAAAATTAACATTTTTGAGATGGAGTCTCTCTCTGTCACCCAGGCTGGAGTGCAGTGGTGTGATCTCAGCTCACTGCAACCTCTGCCTCCTAGGTTCAAGCAATTCTCCTGCCTCTGCCTCCTGAGGAGTTGGGACTACAGGCACACACCACCATGCCTGGCTAATTTTTGTATTTTTAGTAGAGATGGGGTTTCACCATATTGGTCAGGCTGGTCTTGAACTCTTGACCTCAGGTGATCCATCCACCTCGGCCTCCCAAATTGCTGGGATTGTAGGTATGAGCCACCACATCTAGCCAAATGAATGTTTTTTTCTAAGCAAACAAAACTTAGTAATAATGATAGGAATTATTTCAATAAGGCATAAAATCTGTTTATTAGGCCAGTTACCCAAGGCGAAAGGAAAGACCTTCTGCAGTGTGACTGCTATTCCTTATGAGGAATATTAGGTTAAAAGGAAACATTTCCTTTAGCTCTTTAAGATAAAGCTTTTTTTAAAGCATCAGGCCACAAGCTAGAACCTTAAGGAAAAAAGAAACTTACAGAAACTGAAAATGAGTTGAAGAATAGAGTTATTACTTTGGGCCTTTTAAAAAAGGAGAGAAAGCTGAAAACAGATACAATAAAAGTTGAACTTTGCAGAAAACAAAAATTATAATGCCTTGTAATTTATTAAGAGTAAAGCAGTACCTTAAGAAAACTTCATAGTTGGAAACAATTCTTTACTAAGTATTTTTTAAATCAAAACCTAATTTCTAGAAAGACCATTATAATTTCCTTTAATTATAGGCAACTAGATCATATAGAAATTTTTTTCTTAAAATAAATTATCTTATTATAACTTAGACAGGTCATTTATGACATGTTTGGACTTTCTTGTTTGTCCTGAACATCCCTCTTTCTTAAACAACCAGTCATTTCATTTTAGGACAACATTTACCATATGATTCTTTCTCAGATAAAATTATTTCTCTTTAAGCTTTCCTACAAAAAAATACATCTTGGTAGACAGCAGAAGTAAATAAAGAAAACAGAATTCAGTCAACTGAGAAAAAAAAACTTGCTCAAAAAATCAAGTTTCTAGGAGGAAAAACAAAAACAAAAACATGAAGTCCTTTTAAATACATACACACACATCTTGGATGTTAGCTTTTTTTTATTTTATTTTATTTATTTATTTATTTATTTTTTTTAATTTATTTTTTTATTGATAATTCTTGGGTGTTTCTCACAGAGGGGGATTTGGCAGGGTCATGGGACAATAGTGGAGGGAAGGTCAGCAGATAAACAAGTGAACAAAGGTCTCTGGTTTTCCTAGGCAGAGGACCCTGCGGCCTTCCGCAGTGTTTGTGTCCCTGATTACTTGAGATTAGGGATTGGTGATGACTCTTAACGAGCATGCTGCCTTCAAGCATCTGTTTAACAAAGCACATCTTGCACCGCCCTTAATCCATTTAACCCTGAGTGGACACAGCACATGTTTCAGAGAGCACAGGGTTGGGGGTAAGGTCACAGATCAACAGGATCCCAAGACAGAGGAATTTTTCTTAGTGCAGAACAAAATGAAAAGTCTCCCATGTCTACTTCTTTCTACACAGACACGGCAACCATCCGATTTCTCAATCTTTTCCCCGCCTTTCCCGCCTTTCTATTCCACAAGGCCGCCATTGTCATCCTGGCCCGTTCTCAATGAGCTGTTGGGCACACCTCCCAGACGGGGTGGTGGCTGGGCAGAGGCGCCCCTCACCTCCCGGACGGGGCGGCTGGCCGGGCGGGGGGGGCTGACCCCCCCCACCTCCCTCCTGGACGGGGCGGCTGGCCGGGCGGGGGGCTGACACCCCCACCTCCCTCCCGGACGGGGCGGCTGGCCGGGCAGAGGGGCTCCTCACTTCCCAGTAGGGGCGGCCGGGCAGAGGCGCCCCTCACCTCCCGGACGGGGCCACTGGCCGGGCAGGGGGGCTGACCCCCCCCACCTCCCTCCCGGACGGGGCGGCTGGCCGGGCGGGGGGCTGACCCCCCCACCTCCCTCCCGGACGAGGCGGCTGGCTGGGCGTGGGGCTGACACCCCCACCTCCCTCCCGGACAGGGCGGCTGGCCGGGCGGGGGGCTGACCCCCCCACCTCCCTCCCGGATGGGGCGGCTGGTCGGGCGGGGGGCCGACCCCCCCACCTCCCTCCCGGACGGGGCGGCTGGCCGGGCAGAGGGGCTCCTCACTTCCCAGTAGGGGCGGCCGGGCAGAGGCGCCCCTCACCTCCCAGACGGGGCGGCTGGCCGGGCGGAGGGCTGACCCCCCCACCTCCCTCCCGGACAGGGCGGCTGGCCGGGCGGGGGGCTGACCCCCCCACCTCCCTCCCGGACGGGGCGGCTGGCCAGGCGGGGGGCTGACCCCCCCACCTCCCTCCCGGACGGGGCGGCTGGCCGGGTGGGGGGGCTGACCCCCCCATCTCCCTCCCGGACGGGGTGGCTGGCCGGGCTGAGGGGCTCCTCACTTCCCAGTAGGGGCGGCCGGGCAGAGGCGCCCCTCACCTCCCGGACGGGGCGGCTGGCCGGGCGGGGGGCTGACCCCCCCACCTCCCTCCCGGATGGCACAGCTGGCCGGGCGGGGGGGCTGACCCCCCACCTCCCTCCCGGATGGGGCGGCTGGCCGGGTGGGGGGCTGACCCCCCCCCACCTCCCTCCCGGACGGGGTGGCTGCTGGGCGGAGATGCTCCTCACTTCCCAGATGGGGTGGCTGCCGGGCGGAGAGGCTCCTCACTTCTCAGACGGGGCAGCTGCCGGGCGGAGGGGCTCCTCACTTCTCAGACGGGGTGGTTGCCAGGCAGAGGGTCTCCTCACTTCTCAGACGGGGCGGCCGGGCAGAGACGCTCCTCACCTCCCAGACGGGGTCTCGGCCGGGCAGAGGCGCTCCTCACATCCCAGATGGGGCGGCGGGGCAGAGGCGCTCCCCACATCTCAGACGATGGGCGGCCGGGCAGAGACGCTCCTCACTTCCTAGATGTGATGGCGGCTGGGAAGAGGTGCTCCTCACTTCCTAGATGGGATGGCAGCCGGGCGGAGACGCTCCTCACTTTCCAGACTGGGCAGCCAGGCAGAGGGGCTCCTCACATCCCAGACGATGGGCGGCCAGGCAGAGACACTCCTCACTTCCCAGACGGGGTGGCGGCCGGGCAGAGGCTGCAATCTCGGCACTTTGGGAGGCCAAGGCAGGCGGCTGGGAGGTGTAGGTTGTAGTGAGCCGAGATCACGCCACTGCACTCCAGCATGGGCACCATTGAGCACTGAGTGAACGAGACTCCGTCTGCAATCCCGGCACCTCGGGAGGCCGAGGTTGGCGGATCACTCGCGGTTAGGGGCTGGAGACCGGCCCGGCCAACACAGCGAAACCCTGTCTCCACCAAAACCAGTCAGGCGTGGCGGCGCGTGCCTGCAATCGCAGGCACTCGGCAGACTGAGGCAGGAGAATCAGGCAGGGAGGATGCAGTGAGCCGAGATGGCAGCAGTACAGTCCAGCTTCGGCTCCGCATGAGAGGGAGACCGTGGGGAGAGGGAGAGCGAGAGGGAGACGGAGAGCGAGAGGGAGACGGAGACGGAGAGCGAGAGGGAGAGGGAGAGGGGGAGGGGGAGGGGGAGGGGGAGGGGGAGGGAGAGGGAGAGGGCTGAGGTGTGTTTTTAAAAGGATGTTAGCTTTTAATTAAGCTGACTTTTAACCACTGAGCTCCTTTAAAAATCTCTTTATAATTCTCATTACCATATTTCAACTAGGACAAATTGCAGCTATTTCAGAACTGCCAAGTATTAAGCCAGAAAAAAACTTGATTTAGGAACTAACCCAGGTTGTAAACTGCTTTTTGGGTTTTGAGAACTGTCTGTGTTGATTGCTTCAAAATTGGTAGGGCCTGGGGACATAGGGAACTAACCACACCCTTAATTAAGAAGGTAAACCTTGGCTGCACTTAGCACACAATTAAAGCAACTTACCAGATTTTACCTTAACAGTAACAATTTGTAGGAGTTACTATTATATCATGTAATTGAAACTACTGAAAATAGATTTTCATGCAAGGTGTTTAAAAACAGTAAAATGTGTTCTCTAGTAAAAGATTACAAGAAGGCGTGGAAATGTAAACTGTTGCCTAGGGTTAAAGAATAGTTTTTCTTTTTTTTGTTTCTTTTTTTTTTTGAGACGGAGTCTTGCTCTGTTGCCAGGCTGGAGTGCAGTGGTGCAATCTCAGCTTACTGCAATCTCCACCTTCTGAGTCCAAGCGATTCTCCTGCTTCAGCCTCCTGAGTACCTGGGATTACAGGTGTGCTTCACCACACCCAGCTAATTTTTGTATTTTTAGTAGAGATGGGGTTTCACCATGTTGACCAGGATGGTCTTGATCTCCTGACCTTGTGATCTGCTCGCCTTGGCCTCCCAAAGTGCTGGGATCACAGATGTGAGCCACTGCACCCAGCTGATAGTTTTAAATTAGATAGGAAAAATCTGAAGGTTCAAAGAAGTGGTGGAAGAATTGTGGAAATTAATTTTGCATAAGAGGTTCTCTATGTAAAAATATTGACTAAATTTAAAAAATGGGTTATTTTATGGTTTTTCTGTAAATTGAGCATTGAAATAAAAGCATAACAAGGTCTTCCTAAGACACTAATCTGCTCTTTGGCAAAATCTGTAAAGGGCAATAAAAGGTTTTTGCTTCTTTAAAATTTCTGAATCATGATTTTGGAAACATAAAAAACTTATAATAATCTGCAATTCTATTTTATAATATCAAGTGTTTTAAACCTCGAACATTTAACAGCCTTCCCAAAATCAAACTTCAGTTTCAAAATTGTCTTCCCTTGCACTTAGCTTTTTGAATACTTCAGAAGGCCCCTGAAGTGTCCAGAAAAGAGAGGCAAACAGGATTATTTGACATTCCTCTAGGAAGCAAAAGAGCATTGTCCCCAACCATCCCAGCAGGAGGCAGGAGTAGAGAAGGGTTTATCCACTGTCCCTGCTTGCCCATACCTCACAACCCAGGGCTGGACACAGACACTAACGACAATTTCAATAAGTATTTAATGACTCATTATCATTTAGCAGCAGGGAGTTTAATTTTCAGTGATTGGCGAATTTCTTGTCATTCGGCTCTTGATTTTTCATTGGACTCAATTATGGTCACAGAACAGGGTTTGTATGATCTGTATTTTCAAACTGCTAACACAGATGATGCAACTCCAGCCGCTTGGAGTCCTGGACCCGCACAACCTCACTCAGTGGTCTCTAGACACCACATCCAGCCCCTGACGTTGAGGTTGGGCCCTGGGCTGGTCTCTACGTAGGTGCCCGGCTCCTCCCACAGCTCTCCACACAGTCAGTGCTGAGACCAGAGCCATTGATGACTGGTGTCTCTGCCAGGTACCACTCCTGTCTTCAGTCTCCAGGCCTCTTCATTAAGCCCTGCCTCAGTGCCTCAGCATCCACCCTACAGGATGTTGAAAATTTTCATCCCATTGAGGAATTACCCAGGAGATAGTCCCTCAAATAATATCTTGTCAAATAATGTCCAGGAGTGATTTCCTCTGAACAGTGCTCTGAATGTTCAGTTTTTCCCTACATGGGAAAACACTGACAAGCCCCTACACTGTTGAAGCCAATCTGCTCCTCCTAGGCACCACCTCCGAAAAAGCTGAACTCATCGCCCTCACTTAAGCTCTCACTCTAGCAACCAGACAACAGATGAATATACATTCAAATTCTCATTATGTGTTCCACGTAGTGCTCACACTCATCCATCTGGAAAGAATGGGGTTTCCTAACTGCAAAAAGCACTCCTGTCATAAATGGCTCTCTCATCAGCAAGCTCCTTCAAGCTTCCAAGCTCCCACAGAAAGTTGCCATCATTCATTGCAGAGGCCACCAAACCCCAGACAATCCTATATCGGCTGGAAATGAGCCAGCAGATCAGGTAGCCAAAAAAGTAGCCCTACATCCCATGCAAGGCCAGTTTCTGTCCTTGTCCTTGTTCTCTTCTCTTTACTCCTCACAAGAAAAGGAGGACTTCCAAGCCCCAAACCTTCAAAAGCAATGACCATGGTATGTCAAGGAAGGGTGCTTCACTCTCCCTCACTCTCAAAGCCTTCCTCACCTCCAAACCTCCACAAATATTTCCATGTCAGTTACAAACCTCTCCTGCAACTTCTCTGCCCTATCCTCACTTCTCCTCACCTTTCCAGCTGTGTTCAAGAGATTACCCAGTCCTGCTGTATCTGCCTCTCAGTGTCACCCCAAGGTTCTTTCTGGCCACTGCCTTTTCCTACCCACCAAGCCTGAGGCCAGGTACCCGGGCAAGATTGGCCGGTAGACTTCACCCACAAGCCACCTGATAAATTGCTCCACTATCTTCTGGTTTTTGTCTGTACTTTCTCCAGGTAGGTAGGAGCATTCCCAATAACTTCAGAAGGTACAAATATCATCACGCAAATGCTCATCATGCATATAATTGCCCATTTTGGACTCCCAACATCCATCCAGTCTGATAACAGGCCCACTTTCATCAGCCAAATCACCCAAGGTGTCTCTACATCTTTAAAAATAAAGTAAGTTCTCCACACACCCTACAGGCCTCAATCTTCACGCAAAGTTGAAAAAATGAACTCTGTCCTTAAAGCCCAACTCACCAAGCTGCTTCTAGAAACCCCCCAGTCGTGGACAAAAAATCTCCCTTTTACCCTCATGAGACTCCACGCAACACCAAAAGCACCCTCTTTCTATAGTCCCTTTGAAATCATGTATGGCCAAACTTTTGTCTTGGGGCCTCCACCCTTACCAGACTCTGAGCCACTCAGGAATTATTCCCCTTCTTAATCCAGACATGGTCTTTCATTCGTGAAGCAGCAAATGAGGCCATGCCTCTCCCTGTTGACACCTCCTTGTCCTCTCAACATAACTGTTTTGCAGGCACAGACACCTTTCCAGACAATCCAGATGATGCTCCTGCTACAATGACATGGTGGATACCAACCTGTCTCTCAAGAATAGCCCCAAAATTAAGTTTTTCTTTTTCCAAGGTGCCCATGCCACCCCATGTCACACCTGAAGTGGTTATTGAGAAAGTCGTCCTTTTTCCATAACCAAATAGACAGCAATGTAAAATTCTCCCCAGGGCCTGAAAGCTTAAGGAGATGAGCTCCCCACTTCTCAGGCTCAGTCCCAAGGCACAAGGCTACTTGTGCTAGTGGGGTGCACCAGCAAGATAGCAGAAGCAGGAAGAGAGCCGGCCGGAAGACACATACCCCTGAAGACGGAGAAAGAGGCCATCCAGATATAACATAGCAGTTACATCAGACTAGGACACTTCCTGTTTACAGGAGACTATAAAACCTTTGCACCATCCTCACTTAAGGCTGATGCCACTTTAGGCCTCAGCCCTCCTGCTTCCAGGCGCTCATTAAAACAGCATGTTGCTCCACACTGCCTCGTGTTGTCTGTTGGTATGTTCTTGGGGTTCGAGCCGATACAAAAACCTTACAAGGGGATAGCCTCAGAAAGAAGAGGGACAGGCTGAGGTAGAAGCAGAACAGGTGGCAATAACTGCCCCTGGTGACAGGAATGCTGGGGACAGGACATGAAAGAGACTCCAGGTTCCATGTAAACATCCCCTGCTGTGCTGGGTCCCTGCACAGCACACTCACTCCCCTCAACCCTCATTGCCTTTGCAGCTCACTGCGGGACAGCGGAGGATGGACCCCAGTCCCACCACAGGCACAGGACTAGAGGACATTGAAAATCTTAATAGGGGTACTGTTAAACTCAGTAGTCATATTGCATAGGATTCAAATAATAACATAATATGGTTAAAAATAATATTTTCCTGTAGTAGTTTATAAATTAAACTGAAGCCAACATCCATGATGAGTAAAAATTACAAAATTTAAACCCAGTCAGGTGCCACCCTGCTTTGCAGGACTCCTCTCCCTGGCTGGCTCTGGCCCAGGCCCTGCACATCTCGGGGAGGCCCAGAGACAGCGCAGAGAAGCCTGACATGGCCAGCAGGGCTCAGCGTGGATGGGAGGACTGGAGTGAAAGCAGGTCCTCTGAGTGAAACCCTGCCTCACATCCCAGAGCCTGAGGACTCCAGAGAGAGTCGACGGGGGAGGTGGTGGGATGGGGACAGGGAAACACTCTTCAGAGAGAGTACCAAGGCTTAGAGGTCAGACTGAGGAAACAAATGCTTCACAGAGTCCTCAACCCATGACCATGAGTTCTTTAATAAGTAAGTGTGTGTGTGTGTGTATGTAAAATATGTGAGGCCCTCTAACGCCTCTTTTCTACGGTAGAACAAAGAGAAACTTCAGTTTTTGCCATCAATTTATTAAAATAAACATGTATAGCAGGTTTCAACAATTGTCTTGTAGTTTGTAGTAAAAAGACATAAGAAAGAGAAGGTGTGGTTTGCAGCAATCCGTAGTTGGTTTCTCACCATACCCTGCAGTTCTGTGAGCCAAAGGTCTTGCAGAAAGTTAAAATAAATCACAAAGACTGCTGTCATATATTAATTGCTAGAAAGCAAAAACAGAGACATCACTTAGATTTTCTGCACTCTCTAACAAAATAAAATCTTGAAAAACAGAAGCTTATCTTTTTCCACGGTTTGCCCACAACCATCTAGCATCCCAGACGGTTAGGGCTGGAAGTAGAAGAGCTGTTGTTTCTGGATCATTTCCCCCACCATGGACTTTTTAAATATTTTTTCTGTGTGTTTGTGGTTCTTTGAAATAATGTATTCAACAAATACGTGACTATATTACCTATTTTCACAGGATTGTTAAAATCTTAGCTCAAATGCAAAAAAAAAAAAAAAAAAAAAAGTGAAACTTTGAGCTCTCGTCTAACCCTCCATTGTGGAAATATTCCCAGCATCCCAGCAGTCCGACGCCCTCTGCCACCACCATTGTGCTCTACTAATTATTGGAGCTGCAGACTATGATCTGTCTGAGGAAGCTTTTAAAGAAACAAATCCATCACCCTTCCCTGCAGTTGATAATTAGTTTTTAACAAATTATTAATAGTGGTAAAATGTACATCTCATAAAATTTGCCATTTTAAGGGGACAGTTCGGAGTGTTCTGTATATTCGTGTGGTTGTGCAACCTAACTCCAGAATATTACTGTTTTGCACAACTGAAACTCCAGACCCATTAAATATGACTCCCCCTTCTTCTCTGCACCCAAGCCCTGACAACCACTGTTTTTTTTTTTTTCACTGTCTCTGAGTCTGGCTCCCCAGATTCCCATATGCATGGGTCATGCAGCATTTGTGTTTTTGTGACTCTTTGCTTCACTCTTCACTCGCTATAATATCCTCAAGGTTCATCCATGTTGTAGAAAGCGTCAGGGTTTCCTGAGGTGATGTTCACTTTCATCCTAATGGAGGGGTTTGGTATATTTCTAACTTTTTTTTTTTTTTTTTTTTTACCAGGGAAGGATTAAAGAAGAATTTAACATAGGGAATAAATGCTAAAGAAAACCCTCAACAATATACATGTATAGTTAGAAAGAAATACAAAACTATTGGTTTTTGTTTGAGGCAATTCTTCCTCCATGGTGGTTTCATACCCATGATCTACAGTTGCCTATTGGATAGTCCAAGGTTTCTCATCATTTATGCTAGCAAATTATGATTGCCTGGAAGTGCATTTTAAATTCTTTTTATTTGAGATGTATAGAATCTTGCTCAAATGGTATTTTCCAAACTGTTGAAAAATAGGGCATTTTTTAAGAAAGAACACTTTTACTTTTTTTTGAAGAAGAGAAGTTTTCTCTGCAGATTGGTCTATAGGTGCGGGTCTTCTGGAAAATTGTTTTTTCTGTAGAGAGTGAACATATGTTTGTATGTGTGTGTCTGAGTGTGTTTGTGTGTGTCTCTGTGTTTCTGTGGTTGTGTGGTTCTGTCTGTGTGTTTGTGTTTGTGTCTGGATGATTGTGTGCTGGTGTGATTGTGTCTGTGTCTGTGTCTGTGTCTTTGCCTGTCTGTCTATGTTTGTGTATGTCTGAATGTGTGTGTGTTTGTGTGATTGTGACTGTGTCTGTGTGTTTGCATGTGTCTGGATGTGTGTATGTGTGTTTCTGTGTTTGTGTGATTGTGTCTGTGTTTGTGAGCATGAATTAGAGAGCTCTGGGGATAGGTAAGACTTCTACCGACCTTTCCTTTTCCTCTCTTGCCCTATTCATTTATCATCCACTGAGGATTCTCTGGGTAGAGTGACAACACAGGGACACTGGATGTTTTTCTTGATGGCAAAGTCATTAGACTAACCATTCAACTAAATTAACCAATGTAAGAAAAGGCTTGTTCACTAGTGGCTTTGGCATTGTCAGTGAGAAATGAAGAGCCCACTTGTCCCTGGTCAGGGGATTTAAAAAGCTTATAGGAAGAAAATGAAATTACCATAAACACCTCAACATTGCTCAGAGTTTCATCCGTTTGGTTAAGAAAACATTCCTTCAATTCATCTATGGCATTTGTAGTGGCATTGTCGTCTATGAACTCTTGAAGAAGTTCTTTGTATTCAGTCTTAGACACTTGTGGATTGATTGTCTTGGAAATCACATTCTCCAATAAGGGGCAGCCAGAGCCTGGGAAGGATGCACAAGGAAACAAGCTTGGTACAGAAGGCATGAAAGGCTTGGGGCAGACCTATTACATTCCTCATCTTCTTACAGCCCAAGAGAATATAGACTCAAAGATAATGATGCAGAATCTAGAGTTCTCAAATCTGGGAGAAAACCTCAGGCTCTGGGATTTCCTGTAAGCCCTGCAACTTCTTTCTCTCCACTCCCCAGCCCAGAAAAGCTAAACCTCATGAAACTTCATTTAATGAGAAGACTTGAGAAATGAAACACTCGGACTTGGAAGTATATCGTGAAGATTATTTGGTCTTCTTTGGTTCAAAATCATACGATGCTTCACTATTACCATTCAGAGCATCACAGAAGATTTCCAAGTATCTTAGGCCAAGTGTGGTGGCTCACACCTATAATCCCAGCACTTTGGGAGGCCGAGGTGGACAGACTGCCTGAGCTCAGGAGTTCAAGACCAGCCTGGGCAACATGGTGAGATCTGTTATACCTACAGCCTTTGTACTGGGGCTGATCTCTGCTGAGAATTGGGGAGCAGGAGTTCTTCCATAGAGGCCCAAGTGACAACCCCTAACCCCGAGGCAGCCCTCCCTGCACAGAACTCACCTGCGTAGCAGTGCTGGGAGAGGGCCGCCAGCATGAGGACCATCAGCAACTTCATGGTGAGGCTGCTGCTGTCGGTGTTCAGTCGCGGGTGGCAAGGATCAAGGAAGCCGCTGTGGAGGTGAGCACCCAGCCTTGCTCTATTTATTCCCCAGGTAGGCATCTTAATTCCACCCATGAACGAGGCAATGAGTCAACCTGGCATGGGACCAGTAAACAGGAGCATGCCCCAGGGGAAACACAGCCAGCCTGTATGTAGAATCTTCCTGCTTCTCTTCCTCTTTCTTGTATTCCTTCTCCACTTGCTCCCCTTCCTTTTCTTCTCTGTCTCTTTCTTTAAGGTGAGAATGAAAGCATCATGTCCCGTGTATCTGTGCCAGCTTATCCCAGCAGTGGGCCTAGGTGCAATACCTCACACCTACTCTTGGGAGCAGGCTTTTCTCATCCACTGACATCTCATTTTCAGAAAGGGATGTCTGGGAAAGTTTTACCTTTTGTGGGGAAATTTAAGGCCATCCACCCTCCGCTGAAAGTTATTTTTACAAGGATTATCTCGGTTAATTATAAATTAATTGATAACTTTGTTTAGTTCTTTGGTAACTTTTTAGGGTTTTCTTTCCACTGATTCAAAGGATGCTGTGAATTAGTAGCGTAACTGATGGGCTGGACAGGCAGTGCTGGGTGGTGGGTGGTGATGGAATTTGGAATCAGGGATGAGGGTTTGGACCCTGGATGCAACTTGCAGTCCTGCCATGTCCTTGCTGGTCTCTCTGAGCATCCTTCCTTTTCATCACTTGAAGAAAATAAAAGGCGGAATGGGATAGCATGCAGAATTTGTATAAGGATGCTTCATGTAAAGATTGTTTCATGGCCGGTCGCAATGGCTCATGCCTGTAATCCCAGCACTTTGGGAGGCTGAGGTGGGTGAATCACCTGAGGTCAGGAGTTTGAGACCAGCTTGACCAACATGGAGAAACCCCTTCTCTACTAAAAATACAAAATTAGCTGGGCATGGTGGTACGTGCCTGTAGTCCAAGCTACTCAGGAGGCTGAGGCAGGAGAATTGCTTGAACCCAGGAGGTGGAGGTTGCAGTGGGCCGAGATCACACCATTGCACTCCAGCCTGGGCAACAAGAGTGAAACTCTGTCTCAAAAAAAAAATTGTTTCACACAGCCCAGTACAAAGTAGTCATGTATAAAGACAAGATTTCATCCATGCATGCAGCCATCCATCTTTAAATAACTACTGAGCATCCCCTATGAGCTGGCAGTGAGCTGCACACCATAAATTCAGTTATAGGCACAATTTAGACCAAGCCCTTGCTCTCATGGAGCTGACTTTCCAATAAGGGAGGTAACAAGCATCCTGCCACATAAGAGAGATATGAGAAAGTAGTAATCACTGCAAAGAACTCAAAATATCCACAACAGCAAAATGATGTCATGGACTGACTACTGAGAGGAGGAGGCCATGCCATTTCAGCTGACATTTGGATGAGTGGACGACACTGTCTAGTGACAGATCCAGGGAAGATGCAGTTCCATGCAGAGGGAATGACAAGATCAGAGACCAGAGGGCAGATGGCACTTGGCCAGGTAAGGAAGGCAAGGAACATGGCCACATGGGATCAGGAGGACAGGACAGCCTCATGTGACAGAAAACCCACCCTCGTTTAATTAGGGGCATGGTGAAGGTCATGGGAACAAGAAATACAAAGCTGGCTTGGGTTTTTTATAAAAGAGGCCGGGCGTGATGGCTCATGCCTGTAATCCCAGCACTTTGGGAGGCCAAGGTAGGCAGATCATGAAGTCAGGAGATTGAGACCATGCTTGCTAACATGATGAAACCCCATCTCGATTCAAAATACAAAAAATTAGATGGGCGTGGTGGTGCATGCCTGTAGTCCCAGGTACTCGGGAGGCTGAGGCAAGAGAACCACTTGAACCTCGCAGGCGAAGGTTGCAGTGAGCCAAGATCACGCCACTGCACTCCAGTCTGGGTGACAGAGTGAGACCCCATCTCAAAAGAAAAAAAGAAGATACGGATGAGAGAGCCAAAGAGATGAGTCGGTTCTTCACTTCCCGTGGATGCATTATTTGCTGTCCGGATTACCCATGACGTCTTTCTTTCCATCATTCAGCTGGAGCCTCAGATATTTTCCAGTTGAGAACAAAATTGATTTAGGAAGAGGCTAGAAAAGAAGGTTTCTGTACTTATAGGTGTACTTTCACCCAGCTGGCCATGGCAGGCATCCTTCTTCCATAAATGAAGTGAAAAACTTTGATCATGAAACGGAGACTGTCTCCTTGGCCAAGACCTAATGGGTCTCTGCCTGGTGCCCCAGTCCTTATGGACCTGCCCTCTTTCCCACAGGGACAAACACTCACGCAGAGTTATCTTACCCATCTAAAATGAACTCCCCACACCACCTACATGGTGCCCCACTAAAGAGATGGTGTTTTCTTTCACTCACATATTGTATCCAGATCTGACAGTGATCATTCTCTGGTGAGTCATAAGACATACCTGGCCCAAGAAAGGCTCATTTGCAAGCCAGTATTTGCAGGGAGAGAGAGGAGAATCAGAAGTTTAAAACACGGTACTGCTGGTCCAATTTTTTCTCTTCCCAAAAGGGAAGAATTGTTTTTTCTTTTTCTTTTGAGACAGAGTCTCGCCCTGTCACCCAGGCTGGAGTGCAGTGGCTTGATCTCGGCTCACTGCAACCTCCCCCTCCCAGGTTCTCCTGTCTCAGCCTCCCAAGTAGCTGGGACTACAGGTGCCTACCACCATGCCTGGCTAATTTTTGTATTTTTGGTATAGATGGGGTTTCACCTTATTGGTCAGGCTGGTCTCAAACTCCTGACCTCAGGTGATCTACCCACCTCAGCCTCCCAAAGTGCTGGGTTTATAGGCATGAGCCACAGCACCTGGCCGGGACTTTTATTCAGGTCCCTAATTCAGTTCAGAAACTGGAAGCCAAGTGTCCTTCAGTCTTCAGTGTTTCTGTGACAAGTGTTTACTGAGCCTCTACTATGACAAAGCAATAAGTCATTCACACATTCTCTCTAAAATGTGCTTGTGTTTTGTGAGGGGAAAAAAGTGTGCCTTAAAAAAAAAGGCAGACATCTACCCTGGCCTTGGGCTCACAAAAGAGCTGAGATGTAGGGACATGAGGGATTTGGGTAAAGGAAAGGCATTGCCATACTTCATATTAAATAGCAATGTTGTTTGAAAGTCATCTTTTCTCAGTGATTTCTGTATTTGTACCGAAAAGCCTGGAATGGCCGGCCCTGGAAGCTGCATCTCTGCTGAATTCTGCAGCCCTTTTCCTTCATAGGCCCATGGCTGATGGCTCCTGAGTGAGGACCCCAAGCCAGACCGACTGCCTGTGTTCACATCCCAGCTCCTCTGTTTGCTGACAGTGCCACGGTGGACAGGAGACTTAACGATTTGTGTCCGCTTCAAAATGGAAACAGTCATAGAATGGTTGTGACTCATAAGTAAAGTAAAAATGGTAAGGTACTGGGAACAGTGCCTGGTGCAGAGTCAGTGCTGTCTAAATGTCAGTTGCTCATCATCTTTTCCTATTGTTAAGAGTTGTATTTATGATTCAACTCCTAGGACTACTAAGCTCATCATAGAACACTGGAAAATTAGTCTGCCCTTAATATTCTCAAAAATATATCACAATAACCATAGTTAGACAAAGCAAAAACATTTAACTTGGAAAATAAAGCACTGCATTGTGATCCAGGCTTTGGTATCTTTTCTCTCAGTCCATTTTAAAGAATTTTGCTGAGCTCTAATTGACATATAAATTCTCTCCTAAACAGACCCTACATACTGTCGTCCGATGAATCTTCCCAGAACTCAGCTCCAAATGTGCTTCCACTTGCTTTTTAATGTTCAGTAGAGCAGGAATCATAATTATGTAGCAGTTTGCTGTTTGAAAGGCACTGTTGAACCCTGTGACAACATTCCTAGCAGCAACCTTAGCAGAAGGGTGACCGTATTATTTGTTAGCCAAACTCCAACATTTTGGTGGCTGAAAAGAAACATAAAATCAATGGGATGCCAGGACAATAACATAACCCAGGACTGCTGTGGGCAAATTAGCATGAGTAGTCACTTCCCTATGATGTGGGCATGTCATTTCACCCCACCTAACAGAAATGTGACACAGAGATGTTAAGGCACTCACCTGAAAGAACACAGCTAGGAAGGGGCAGAAGCGGGATAAAAAGCCAGATGTTCTGGCTCCACAGGCTGCTCTCAACACTATTTCCCTCCTTGGCTGAACACTGAGGGACCTGCACATCATGGTTCAGATGAGTCCTGGTGTCCATGACTCCCACTGCTGCCCTATGAGAACTCTGGGTTGATTTCTGCACAAGCCCTGGAGAAGAGTTTTCTGCTTGAGACCTTTGCTCCAAGTGGATTCCCCTCCTCCTCTGCCCTTGCCTCAGCTGCTCTGGGTTGAAACACTTCATTCCAAAAGCCACATCAAAGATGGCTAATGCCTTGTGTTCTTTGCTGGCCCTGCATCTCTGGGGACCTCCCTGTTCACAGGACCCTGTATCTGTCCATAGGCAGTTCCATCTGACATCTCCAGGACCCTCACCCTGACCCTTCCTCCCTGTCCCTGCTCATTGAGCTCATGGCTTGGGCACTTCTTGTTTGTATTATAGTGATGAAAACTACTTATTTTCCTTAATTTACTATTGTGTAACTCATTTTCAAGAGCAGATTTTGATATTTTACACAAAGAGTGTATTGACTGTATTTTATGTTTTATTACTAGATCTATTCAGGAAAAGGAACTCATTTAAAATTAAAGTTTTACGAAACACAGACATCAGACGTAACACTTAAATCAGACACCACTGTGTCTTCCTGGACATGGTAAATACAACACCATTTGTACTTTCCTGGAGGGAAACTGGGGGTCAGGTAGGAAGAAGGTAGTGAAGAAAGAAGATGGCTGGAAACCCTGCTAATGAGAGCCTGGGCCACCTCAGTGTCCTTTTGCCCTAGAAGTGACTGTTAGTGTGACACCATCTGACCAGGATGTATCTAATGAGTTGGAACCTGGAACCGGATTTGAAAGCAGAGACAAGGTCAATGTCAGCCCCTGGCTAATTCTTTCCCGTACCAAAACCCAGAAATTATACAACTCGCCACGTCCCCACATTGTGTGTGGTTAAAAATGTTAATGCGCATATGCGAGAGGAAGTTTACCTTGGCTCATCAGATACCTTCACTAGTACCTTTGCCAGTGAGTTAGTAATTTTCCCCTCCCTTCAATGCCAACATTATCCCAAAAACAGTAGTCAGCCCACTGTCATGAGCCTCTGTTACGCCAGGGCCTCAGGAGAGGCATATGGAGGAACTTATACAAAGTATCCCTGCTGCTGGAGCAATGGGTCTCAGTGGGGACACTTTTTCACTTTCCCCACCCTGAAGAACCTTTCCCAATAGTGGGTTTTGCTTGTCCCAACTGGATGGGGGTGAGTGTCCTATTGAGGTCAAGTGACAGAGGCCAGGAATTAAACATCAACTGAAACCTTCTTAACATCTAACAATGTTCAGGACAGCTGTCCACAAGAATGAGATATTCAACCACAAATATTAATATTGCCAATGCTGAGAAGCCATGTATGCAGAAATATTGAAGAGCCGTTCACCTGGTCACGAAAAAACAGCAGTGCCAGCCAGCCTCACACCCAGTGCACAGTGGATGCAGCCCTACATATGGTAAGAATGCCAGCAGGTGCCTGCCCTCCAATGGGCTGGACTGTATGTAAATTCATGCCCTGGCCGAGGCTGCTTCATCCACCAGAAGGGCCTTACTTCCATCCTTAGGTCTTCCTCATCCTCTAGGTCCTTGTGATGCTACTCAATCATCACCTCATCCACAAACCTTTCCCGGAGCATGTGAAGCTCAGAAGGATGTTGTTCTTTGATTTTCTAAAGGCCTTTAATTTCCATGATGAAATTTCATTCTTAGAGATATTCCACAGGTCCTTCTTCAGTCTTCTGTCTCATATCCTGTTGTTCAACATGTGATTCATTTTTAAAGGAAGTCTATTATTTGTTTTCAGAGTGTGACCTTGTCTAGCCTATGAGGTAGACAGCAGGGAGAAGAGATTTGAGGGAAACATCTTAGGCACAGATGAGTAAATCTTGTCAAGGAAAACAGTTAAGATGCCCATGAGAGAGGCAGCAAGAGTTACATAAAAGGAGCCAGGATAAGTAAATTCTTTGCACTTGGTAAAGCTAAATGTACTTTCATTTTTTGTACAGTTTGTTGACAGCTAGAGATATGTGGTCTTGGGAGGTGTCCGTGGTTCTAGAAGAGGATGTCCATTGGGGGTAAACATGCAGGCCTCATTCACTCCCTTTTGTAGATCCTACCTGTTGCCATCAGATGCCCTCAGCCTGCCCAGTCTTACCTGATCCCACCTCACACTCTTCAGCAGTAGCTCCTGGAGGAATCAGACAGCATATGAATCTAATATGATTGTTTTTATAACAAGGAAACCAATGACAGACATATTTCCTTATGTGATTAGAAATATACACATGTAATCAATAAAGTGAAGAGACAATACACAGAATGAGAGAACATATTTGCAAGCTATTCCACTGACAAGGAATTAATAGCTAGAATACATGAGGAGCTCAAACAACTCAATAAGAGAAAATGTAAAAATCCCATTTAAAAATGGGCAAAAGATCTGAATGAACATTTCTCAAATGGAGACATCCAAATGGCAAACAAGTATATGCTCAACATTATGGATCATCCCAGAAATGTGATACAATGTGATATCCTCTCACCCCAGTTAAAATGGCTTTTATCCAAAAGACAGGCAGTAACAAATGCTAGAGAAAATATGGAGAAAGGGAAATCATCGTTCACTGTTGGCAGGAATATAAATCAATACAGCCACTATGAAGAAGTGTATAAAGATTTTTCAAAAAACTAAAAATAGAACTAGCATATGATGAAGCAATCTCATTACTAGGTGTGTATCCAAAAGAAAGGATATCGATATATTGAAGATATCCCATGTTTCTTGTAGCACTCTTCATAATAGCCAAAATCTGGAATCAAACTAAGCTTCTATCTACAGATGAATGGACAAAGAAACTGTCATGCATATACATGATGGAGTCCTATTCAGTCATAAAAATGAATGAGATTCCATCATTTGCAACAACATGAGTTGAACTAGAGGACATTATGTTAAGTGAAATAAGTTGGGCACAGAAAGACTAACTTGGCATATTTTCATATTTGTGGGACCTAAAAATTAAAACAATGGAATTCATGGAGATAGAGAGTAGAATGATGTCTACCAGAGGTGGGGAAGTTTTTTAGTTAAAATAACTAAAAAATATGATACTTTTTGGCCACTTGTATGCCCTCATTTGAGAAATGTTCATTCAGGTATTTTGGGGCAGGGCAGGGATGGTCAATGGCTACAAAAATATAATTACATAGAATGAATAAGATTTAGTATTTGGGCCAGGTGCAGTGGCTCACACCTGTAATCCTGGCACTTTGGGAGGCCGAAGTGGGCAGATCACAAGGTCAAGAGATTGAGACCATCCTGGCCAATATGGTGAAACCCTGTCCCTACTAAAAATACAAAAATTAGCTGGGCATGGTGGTGCACACCTGTAGTCCCAGCTACTTGGGAGGCTGAGGCAGGAGAATAGCTTGAACCCGGGAGGCAGAGGTTGCAGTGAGTCAAGATTGCACCACTGCACTCCAGCTTGGTGACAGAGCAAGATTCTGTCTCAAAAAAAAAAAAAATGTAGTGTTTGATAGTACAACACGTGACTACAGTCAACAATAATTTATTGTACATTTTTAAATAACTAAAAAAGTAAGAAATGATAAATGCTTGAGGTGATACATACCACATTTACTGATATTGGTAAATATGATTATTACACATCATCTACCAGTGTCAAAATATCTCATGTACCCCATGAATATATACACCTATTATGCACCCATAAAAAATAAAATTAAAATGTTTTTGAAAAGAAAGAAATGAAAATGTATTTAAAGTGCATTATTAAATACACAATCATTGGTATATACTCATTCTTCGATCAAGAGATTATATAATTAGAGTAGCTCTCTCCTGACATCCCCAGAATCCTGAACACATGGTCCATTCTTCTCTGTAGGTGTTTCTTGAGAATACTGTGGTTTCTTTGTCTTGGTGTAACAGTCATACAGCCTAGGTGCTTAATTAATATTGTGTAATTGACTTTTAAGAGCAGATTTTGGCTTTTTCACAAAGAGTTTATTGATTGAATTTCATGCTTTATTACAAAGTCTATTTAGAAAAAAGGATTAATTTGAAATTAAAGTCTTACTAAAAACAAGCATCAGACTTAAGATGAAAATCAGATATCACTGACTTCCCGGGCAATGCATCACCATTTGTACTCTCCATGAGGGAAATTTGGAGTAGGGGAGAAAGAAGGCAAGTGAAGAGAGGAGGTGACTAGAGACTTTGCCAACCAGGGTCTGGGCCACCTCAGTGTCCTTCTCTAGAAGTGACTGTTACCATGACACCATGTGACCAGGATCTATCTAATGAGTTGGGATCAGGATCCGGATCTGGAAGTAGAGCCAGAGTCAGCTGTCAGCCTCTGGCAAATTCTTTTGGCTTCTTCACCAAAACCCAGAAATTACACAACTTTCCATGTCCCCACAATGTGTGTGGTTTAAAATGTTAATGCACAAACACATGGGAAAGTTTGCATTGATTCATTAGATACCTTCACCAGTGCCTTTGCCAGTGAGTTATTAATTTATCCCTCACTTCAAAGCCAGAATTTTACTGCACACAGATGTCAGCCCACTGTCATGAGCCTCTGCTTCACTGGGGGCATTACCTGAGGTATACAGGGACTTACATAAAGCATCCCCATTGCTAGAGCAGTGGGTCACAGTGGGAGCATTTTGCCCTTTTCCTCTGCTCTGGAGAACCTTTGTCAATGTCTGGAGTGGGTTTCTGTTGTTCCTACTAGATGAGGTGATTGCACTATTGAGATCAAATGGCAGAGGCTAGGAATTAAACATTCTGCTGAATTCTGCTAAACATCCTAAAATGCTCAAGACAGCTGTCCACAATCAGAAACATGAATACTGCCAATGTTGAGAAGCCTTATGTACAGAAATATCAAACAGCCTTTGTTCTGGTAATGAAACATCGGCAGTGCCAGCTAGCCTCACACTTGGTGCAAAATTATCGCAGTTCCAACTATGGTAAGATGCCAGCAGATGTGTGGGCATCTCTATCCCCCCCCCCCACCCAGTGAGCTGTACTCCATCTCACCTGCATGCCCTTGCCCAGGCTGCTTTGCCCACCAGGAGGGCCTTAATTCCTCCTCTGTCTTCCTCATCTTCTAAGTCCTTCTGTTACTGGAAAAGAAATCTCAATCCAGACCCCAAGAGAGGGTTTCTGGATCACACACAGGACGGAATTCAAGGTGAGTCACAGAGCGGAATAAAAGAAGCGAGTTTCTTAGAACGAATCCATTACTAAGGAATTCTCAGAATGCCTTGGTAAGGCATTCTCAGAAAGCAGCTGGAGAAATGCACCATCTTTGTTTTAACTTTTTCTTATATTGGGGTCTTGTCTATGTAAAGACTAAACTAAGCTGTGACTACATGGGAGTTAGCAGACAGCATGACAAAAAGTATTGTTCTATTGATTTAAAGGAAACTGTCCTTGACATTTTCGTGTGTGAGTACATCAAAGCAGAACCATAATTATCTTGAAAGCAAATATTGTTATAGGTATTGGGACATCTGGACTTTCTGATGTTGTTGGAGTTTGTCTTTGCAGGCATGACCAAACTGCTTCCTTAGCTATAAACAATTTAGGACTATGGGTGGTGACTGGCAGGGAAGGTGTCTCGCTGGTTTTCAGATGGAGTTGATTTTAAAATAGTGTCATTCTGGCTCTCCCAGCCTCCTGCTTCCCTAACAATTCTAATGCTACTCAACCATCACCTCCTCCAAGAAGCCTTCCTTACTGAAACATGCACAGCTCAGAAAGATACTGCTTTTCTTTGAATTTCTGCAGGCCTTTAATTTTTGTGAGGAAATCTTATTCTTAGTGATATACTTCATGTCTCTCATCAGTACTCTGTCTATGTCTTGTTGTTCTTCATGTAATTAATTCTTTAAGGAAATCCATTATTTCTTTTAATAAAATATATACCTCCTAAGACTTTGGTGGGGTTCTGGGTTGATCTGAGATAATATTCAGCATCATAGGCTCTTTCCACTCAATGTTTTCACCAACCACTTTTTCCCAGTGTTCCTTCTGTATCTCCTCACCTTTCATTTGTCTTCTACTTATTTTTTCATACTTCTAATTTTTAAAATGATATAGGTGCTTCGAGTAAAAAATATAATTGTGTTAAATAGATTCTAATTAAAAACAGTAGTTCTCTGTTCCTTTCCATTCTCACAATATAGTCCATACTTACCTTGAACTTGGTTCACTGTTTCTCCTGGTATTTACCTTCATAGGTCTAATTAATTTTTTTTTTGAGACAGAGTCTTGCTCTATCACCCAGGCTGGAGTGCAGTGCAATATCAGCTCACTGCAACCTCTCCTTCCTGGCTTCAAGAGATTCTCCTGCCTCAGACTCCCAAGTAGCTGGGACTACATGTGCCCACCACCATGCTAGCTAATTTTTTGTATTTTTAGTAGAGATGGGATTTTACCATCTTGGCCAGCCTGGTCTCAAACTGCAGGCCTCAAGTGATCTGCCTGCCTCAGCCTCCCAAAGTGATGGGATTACAGGCGTGAGCTACCATGCCTGGCAGATCTAATTAATTTTTAATGCAGTTCTCTGTTCATCATCAGATGCAGATAGCTCTTACACTTTTTTTTTTTTTTTGACTCAAAGGTACATGTGCAGCGTTGTTGCATGAGTATATTTTCTGATGCTGATGTTTGGGCTTCTAAAGATCCTGTCCCCCAAATTGTGCACATAGTACCTGATAGGTAGTCTTTCAACCTCTTCTTCCTCCCCACCTCCCCCTTTTGGAGTCCCGAGTGTCTGTTTTTCCATGTTTGTGTCCATGTGCACCTAACGTTTAGTTCTCACTTATAATTGAGAACACATGGTATTTGGGTATTTAGTTTTCTGTTTCTGCATTGGTTCACTTAGGAGAATGGCCTCCAGTTGCATCCATGTTGCTGCAAAGGACATGATTTTTCTCTTTTTTATGACTGCTTAGTATTCCATGGTATGTACATACCACATTGTCTTAATGAAATCCACCATTACTGGACACCTGGGTTGATTCCATGTCTTTGCTACTATGAATAGTGCTACAACGAACATATGAGTGCAGGTGTCTGTTTGGTAGAATAATTTATTTTCATTTGAGTATATACCCAGTAATGAGATTGCTGGGTCAAATATAATTGTATTATTGGTTCTTTGAGATCTCTCCAAACTGCTTTCCATAGGGACTGAGCTAATATACCTTCCCACCAATAATGTATGTGTTCCTTTTCTCCGCAGCCTTGACAGCATTCATCATTTTTCACTTTTTAATAACAGCCATTCTGATTGGTGTGAGATGCTATCTTATTGTGGTTTTGATTTGCATCTCTCTGATAATTAGCGATGTTGAGCATTTTTTCATATGTTTTTTTGGTCCCTTGTATGGTTTCTTTTGAGAAGTGTCTTTTCACGTCCTTTGCTCACTTTTTACTAGGGTTATTTGTGGGTTTTTTAAAATTGATTTGTTTACATTGCTTATAGAATCTGGTCATTAGTCCTTTGTCAGATGCATAATTTGCAGATCATTTATCCCTTTCTGTAGGTTGTCTATTTACTCTGTTGACTGTTTCATTTGCTGGGCAGAAGTTTAGTTGAATTAAGTCCCACTTGTCAATTTTTTGTTTTGCTGCATTTGCCTTTGAGGACTTAGTCTTAATTTCTTTTAGGACCATGAGTGGTGACTGGCAGGGAAGGTGTCTCGCTGGTTTTCAGATGGAGTAGTTCCAAAAGAGTAATTCCTAGGTTTTCTTCCAGAATTTTTGTTGGAGGTCTACATGTAAGTCTTTAATCCATTTGATGTTAAATTTTTATATGATAAGTGGTAGGGGTCCAGTTTTACTCTTCTCCCTATGATTAGCCAGTTTTTCCGATATCATTTATTGAATAAAATATCACTTCCCTGTTGTTTATTTTTGTTAACTTTATCAAAGATCAGTTGGTGGTAGATGTGAAGCTTTATTTCAGGGTTCTGTCTTCTGTTCCATTTGTCTATGTGTCTTTTTTTTTTTTTAAACCAGTGGCATGCTGTTTTTGGTTACTATAGCCTTGTAGTATAGTTTGGAATCCAGTAATGTGATGTCTCTGAATTTGTTCTTTTTGTATACAATTGCTTTGGTTATTCAGGTTGTTTTTTGGTTCTACATGTGGTTTAGAATAGTTTTTTTCTAATTCTGTGAAGAATAATGTTGGTAATTTGGTAGGAATAGTGTTTAATCTGTAGATTGCTTTGAGCAGTATAGACATTTTAATGATGTTGATTTTTCCAGTCCACGAGCATGGGATACTTTTCCATTTGTCTGTGTCATCTATAATTTCTTTCATCAGTGTATTATACTTCTTCTTGTAGCGATTCTTAACCTCATTGGTTAGATGTATTTCTAACACCACTTATTGCTATGTGAAATCCTCAACACTGATTTCATCCCTGTCTCTCTCTCCTACTCATCCTTTCTTCAGGATATCTTTCATTATCTTTCTGAAAAAAAAAAAAAAAAAAAAAAAAGCCATTGTAAAACAAAGCTTGGGAGGCCAGGTGCCGTGGCTCACACCTGTAATCCCAGCACTTTGGAAGGCCGAGGTAGGCGGATCATGAGGTGAGGAGTTCGAGACCAGCCTGACCAACATAGTGAAACCCCACTAAAAATACAAAAAATTAGCCAGGCATGGTGGCGGGCACCTGTAGTCCCAGCTACTCAGGAGGCTGAGGCAGGAGAATCGCTTGAACCTGGGAGGCGGAGGTTGCAGTGAGCCGAGATCCTGCCATTGCATTCCAGCCTGGGTGACAGAGCAAGACTGTCTCAAAAAAAAAAAAAAGAAAAGAAAAGGCTTGGGAAATTTTGTGTTACTGAAAATATCTTAATTCTATCTTCAAGCTTAAATGAAAGTTGACTGATTATAGAATTATAAGCAGAAAATTCTACAAATATGTATTTCTCCTTTACAGTTAAGTTTCTTGTGTTGATGCCATTTTTTATTCCACAGCTTGGTATGTGTTTCTTCTAGAGAAAAGATCCTTTTTTGAAAATAATGTTCCAAAATTTCACCTTGATTGTTTTTGGAGTGGAGAATGAGGGCCTTCTTAATTTAATTCTGTATCCTTTATTTTGGGATGATTTTGTGTGTTCTTTCTTCGATATTATGGTTCCCACCATTTTCTCTCTTTCTCATGGTGGAATTTTGTAATTGGACATTGTGAATTAATTCTTCAACATTCTTCATCTTACATTCATAGTTTTTTTCTTTAATTTATCCTCCACATATATACTATTTGTTATACTGTTTTAATTTGGTCTTTCATTATTTTATACATTTTTCATCCAATGATACTTTTACTTTGCTGAAACTCTGTTGCTTTTTCAGTCATTTTTAAAACATCAGGAAAATGAGAGATCTTAGTAGTGTGGACTTTGTGAGACATGTGACTGTGTTCTAGGAGATGAATCATCATAATGCCTAGAGAACCTAGACTAATCACAAAAGCATTTGGATTAATTGAGAACTTTCATATCTTTGTGTTGCCTCTTTCTACACCCCAACGGTGAAGTGACATACACCATGGGTAGGTTCCATGGGAAGAATCAGTAGAAGTGTCAAGGAGAGGAGAAAAGAGAGGCTTAATTTTGAGTCACTGTGAAGTTTTGATTAACGCACAGGTCTGCATATTTTAATTTCTGAATTGAGACCCTGAGCAATATTTTGTAGAAAGGTTTACTTTAAATAAGCCTATGAGAAAGACATAGTTTTGTTTTCACAACATTGATTTTGTCCTAGAGTGTTAGGTACATAATAAGCAAAAGTGATTTCAACAAGAAAGCCTAGGTAGAGATAAGTAAAGCTTTGCAAAGAAAAAAAAAACATTTTGAGACCCTACATGAGCCAACAGGTGTGGGAGAGGCTGCAAGCAATAGAATCAAGAGACTGAGCATAAGTAAATCTTTTGTACCTGGTAAAGCTCTGTTTTCTTTTTATTTTAAGCCAGAGTTTGTTAAAAATAGTTGATATTTTCAACAAAGAAGCTATATAGAATGTGAATCAAGCAGAAAGTTGATAGCAAGAGATGTATTGTCTTTGCGGTGTTAATGGTTCTGGGAGAATATGTCCAATGAGGATTAAAATACAGACCTGCCCAGCTTTCTATCACTTTCTTACTTTCTTACTACCACTCAGACTGCCCCTGACTATAGAGCTGCAGACTGTAGAATCTGGCTTGATTTCACTTCGCACTTTTTTTTTTTTTGGAGGCAGAGTTCAGGTGGGAGTGTAGCCACACGATCTTGGCTCACTGCTGCAAACTCTGCCTCCCGAGTTCAAGCCATTCTCTTGTTTCAGTCTCCTGAGTAGCTGGGATTACAAGTGTGTGTCAACATGCCCAGATAATTTTTGTATTTTTTGTAGAGACAGGGTTTCACTGTGTTGACCAGGCTGGTCTCAACCTCCTGGCCTCCAGTGATTCTTCCGCCTTGGCCTCCCAAAGTGCTGGGATTACGTGCATGAGCCACTGGGCCCAGGTGTCACCTCACTCTCTTTAACAGCAGCTCCAGAAGAAAATCATATGTAGCACAAAACTGATGTGACTAATTTTATAAATATAAGAGTAACACAGATGAATGGCCTACAATCCCAAGCTTTGGAGGGCTGAAGAATTATAAGAGGAAGACTTGTGTGTCATAACATTTGAGATCTAATTTCTTAGCAATGTTCATGAAAATGTTAAATAAGATATGAATAAAAAATCTATATTAATTACTAAATGGCAGGTACTGTTGTAAGCCTCTTTTAATCCCACAACCACCATCCTATGATCCAGATGACCGTAATATTGATTGTAAATGAGGGACACTTTTGCGAATGAGAGGGAAACCTAAATGGGTGGGAAGCCAGGACAACGATGTAAACCAGGACTGTCCTGAGCAAATGAATTTGTGGTCACCATGCTGTAAGGTGGCAGATCATTCAACCTCAGCTGCAGGAGACAGGACACAGAGATTCCATAGAACTTCATGGGACACAACCAGGAAGAGGCAGAACCAGGATATGAAGTCAGGTGTTGTGGCTCCACAGGCTTCTCTCAATATTATTTCACTCCTTAGCTGGACCCTGAGGGACACATGCATCATAGCTCAGGTGGGTGCTGGTGTCCATGACGCTGCTGCCCTATGTGAACTCTGGTTTGTTTTTTTTTTTTTTTTTTTTTTTTGAGATGGAGTCTCACTCTGTCACCCAGGCTAGAGTGCAGTGGTGCGATCTCAACTCACTGCTGCAAGCTCTGCCTCCTGGGTTCAGGCCATGCTCCTACCTCAGCCTCCCAAGTAGCTGGGACTACAGGCACCTGCCACCATGCCTGGCTAATTTTTTTGTATTTTTAGTAGAGATGGGGTTTCACTGTGTTAGCCAGGATGGTCTCGATCTCCTGACCTCATGATCCACCCACCTTGGCCTCCCAAAGTGCGTGAACTCAGGATTTATTTCTGAACAAGCCCCATAGTTTTTTGCTTGGGATCTTTGCTCCCTGTGGACACCCCTCTTCCACTGCCCTTGACTCAGTCACTCTGGATTGAACCACTTCATTCATTCCTGAAAGCACATCAAGGACCACACATGTAGAGAGCTGAAGGCCTGTGGGTTGTGACCAACTCAGCATTCCACTGGAGGCTATATGATCAAACAGCAAACTGTTTATCATGAATGCAGGATGTGGGCAAACTCGCTACTGCACCTGCCACCAGAAGGTTTGCTGAGGGCAATCACTCCCTGGTGCCATGCTCCTTGATGTTATCTACTTTGACATCTAGAGCCTACTGTTTGAAGGATGCAGTCTTGCAAGTTAAGGCAGCTTTTGCCTAAAATTAGTCCCATGTATCCTGCTGGTAAATGTCCCCAAATGCCAGTGGAACTTTGATAGGTTTGTCTAATGTAATTTTTTTTCTGACTGGGAGATCTAATCCTGCATTTCCTGGTGTTCCTGGAGTGAGGGAATCAATGCTTCTCCTGGGACCCATCCCTGAGACAGGGTTGTGGTCTGAACTGGGAATGCCCTCATTGTTTGAGGTGCCCGGGTCCGGATCCCTTTCTCATTTCCTGATGGGGGGGTGCCATTTTGATGAAATTTTGAGCGGCATTCATTAGCCCAATGATTTTCTTTGTTACAGCAAGGACAGAGTCCTGGAGTTTTTTCCACTGGTGGGGGAACTGCATTATAAGACCCTTTATGTCCTGAGATCTGGCAGCATTCCTTTTTAAAATGTCCAGTTTTTCCACAATTATAACATTTTCCTACTTTTGGGCTTAATCCTTGGCTCCTTTCAGAATTGTCAATTACTAAATTAGCCATTGCTTGAGCTAAAATTGCAGAGTGATGAAGCTCAGTTCCTACATCCTGACAAGCTCTGAGAAAATTTCCCAAGTTTTTTGTACACCTCACAGGTGCCAGTGCACATTTACAATCCGCATTTGAATTCTCAAAAGCTAAAGATAAGGTTAGCATTTCTGCAGCAGTGGTATGAGGAGTTTGACGCTTCACTACTGCTTGTAATCTTGAAAGAAATTGTGCATTGGGCTCCTGTGACCCTTTCATGATATGTAGAAAGGATTGTACTGGGACTCCGTCTTCAGGAATTGTGGCCAAGGCACATTTAGTGGCCTGTGCACACTGCTGATAAGCAGGGTCTGGGAGTGCCATTTGATGTTCCAGGTCTGAATAAGGACCATTACCTAAGAGCATATTCTCTGTAATGTCTCCGTGTCCAGCAGCACAGTTCTGTCTAGCCTGGTCTGCAAACATTTCTTGCCAATTTAAATTTCATGTCAGATATGCACTAACAGACAAACAAGTTCAAGCCAAGTGTTTTACATCAAAGGTTAGAAAGCGCATAGCACCAAATACAGATTCTAGCAATCCTAAAGTGAATGGGCTCTGTATCCCATTATTAACTACATTAGTTTTTAATTCCTTCAACAACTTAAACTCTAGGTGGGGGATGTGTTCATGAGTACACTGCAGTGGATTATTTGGATCATGACTTATGGAAATAGGAAAAACACAAGGTCCTAAGGGCTCTCTAGCTATGGCAGCAGAGTATAACATTCTTTGTATTGGGGTCTCTATTTCTGCTACTGAAGGAGGCGGTACAGATGTTTCTGCTATTGGAGGGGTGGTATAGGCCAATTTTTATCCTCCCTCTCCTGTTTTTTATTTTCAAAGATTCTTTCAGATTTTTAGACTTAAAACATGACACCTGCTGTCCAGCAGAATAAGAAGGAGATAATGACAGAAGGAGAGTATGGACCAAACTCCAAGTGGAGAAAACAGAAGAATCAACTTTAAGACCTTTTTGATGAGCCTGTTTTAATCCTTCTGCTCTGTCCCAATTTTCCACATCAAGAGTGCCTGCCTGTGAAAACCATGGATTATGCATAATAACTTCCTGCAGAAACTTAGTGTCTGCGAATTAACCTGAGCTCCAAACTGTCTCAACAGAACTTTAAGAAACTGCACATAATATTTTTCTTCAATAGACAAATTCTGTCCCATGTTACCCTGATTCAGAAAACTTCCCATTCCCAGTACTTCTTTAGAACACTGACCTTGTTTCACTCCCAGTACCTCTTTAGGGCACTGGCCTTATATCCACTGCTGGCAGACTCATCCCAGGGTCCCTGTTTGTCTTGTCAACTTCAGTTCCTCTGCTCCAGCAGACCTTTTTTGTTCATGTCCTCGAAGTCCCTGTTCAGGCGCCACTTGACACAGCCCCAGTCCCTGTTGGACTGAACAAAGGGGGATGAACACAGGAATAAAGATAAAGACAGGAGAGTATATTTGGAAGAAGGGGTCAGGGGGCTCCTTGCTTCTAGTGAACAAGGGCCCTAAGCTTTTACAGCCCATCGTATTTATTAGGTAAAAGAGATAGCGAGAAGGGGGGTGTGGTTGTTGGTCAGCAGCTTGATTTACAGCAGGCTTGCAAGACTGCATTCTTCAAACAGTAGGCTCTAGATGTCCCAGTAGGTAACATCAAGGAGCATGGTGCCACGGAGTGATTGCCCTCAGCAAACCTTCTGGTGGCAGGTGCAGTCACAAGTTTGCCCACATCCTGCATTCATGATAAACAGTTTGCTGTTTGATCATATAGCCTCCAGTGGAATGCTGAGTTGGTCATGATCCATGGACCTTTGGCTCTCTACACACGCAGGTCTTGTGTTCTTTGCTGATCCCTGCATCTCCAGGGATCTCCTCCTTCACAGGACCCTGTGGCTCTCTGTGGGCAGCTCCCTTCTGACATCTCCAGATCCCTGATGTTAACTCCTCCTTTCTGTTCATGCTTCTTGAGAGCAAGTCCTGTGCACATCCTCTCTTTGCATGGCAACATCATATGGTATGGGCCTAATGAACAATTTTTAATTATTTTTCAGAGCAGAATTTGCTGTTTGCAAGAGTTCACTGATGATATTACATGTTATGTTATAAGGTGTATTTAGAAATAGGTGCTCATCTACACTTGAATCTTTAGTAAAGGCAGGAATCAGATGCAACACTAACCACACATCACAGTCACATTCTGGACACTAACACCAATGATGTTCTTTCTTGGGTGAGGACTTTGGGATCAGGGTGGGAAGAAATCAGCTAAAAGAAGAGGTAGTTGGAGACTGTACCACCAGTGCCTAGGCCACCTCAGTGTCCTTTTTCCCCAAAAGTGACTGTTACCATAACAGCATATGACTTGGATTTATCTAATGAGTTTGGACCAGGAGCTGAATTTGGAAGCAGAGCCAGAATCAGGTGTCAGCCCCTGGCTAATTCTCCTTGGCTCCCTCACCAAACCCTGAACTTTACTCAACCTGACATTTCCCTATAGTATGTGGTTAAAAGTTAATCCTGTACATGTATGACTGCTGATTTGGTTCTTCAAATATCTGCACTAACATTTTCATCATCAAGTTGGTATTTGTTTTATTTTCAATGTCCCTATTTTCTTGTACCTGTAGTAATTCCAACTTTGTGAAAGTCTGATCATTAGAAGTATTAGTATAGTTGTATAGCAGAACTGACAAGGTTTCCCACTCCAAAGCAGTGACTTTCAACTAGGACACATCTACTCCCAACTTTCCCCATCCCTGAAGACATTAGTCTGGAGATGTTTTTGGTTGTCACAGCTGTATGGCAGCCCAGATACTATTGGCATCAAGTGGGCAGAGAACAGGGGTGCTGCTGAACCTCCTACAATGCACAAGACAGATCCCACAAGAAAGGATTACTTGCCCTCTATGTCACTACTGCTAAGATTGAGAAACCCTGTGCTAGAGAAATATCTGTGAGCCTTCAAGATGCCAAAAGGAGTGTGGTCATCTTTGTCCTCCAGGGGGCTGGCTCAGCCTTCTGTCCATGCCTTTGCCCAGGCTGCTCCATGCACCTGGAGGCCCTGCTTCCTCTGCTTGCCATCCTCATCTTCTCGGTGCTTCATGGTCCAACTCAGCCATCACCTCTTCTGCAAGCCTTCCTTGATATTTCCTTGAATGTCTGCAGGCTTTTAATTTGTGTAGTAAGATCTCATCTCAGTGATATACATTGTGTCTTTCTTTAGTTCTACGTCCTGTCTTCCCATTCAACTTGCTAATTAATTCTTTAAGGAAATTCATTAATTCTTTCAGCAAAATATACTATCTTCCTCCATGGTACAGTGTGGTGTAGATTCTGCTTTGACCTGAGGCCATTTGCATCTTCTTAACTTCTTTTTGCCAAATTATCTCCTCTCTGCCCACTTTTTTGCCCCTTTTCTTCTATGCTCCCTTTCCTTTTTATTTGTTTTCCAACATCCTTTTTTTTTTACAGTTTTAATTTTTAAAAAGTTGATATAGATGCATGTTTTGAAAAGGAATATAATGCAAAAAAGTGTTTTATTAAAAGTGATTATTCCTTGCCCTTCCTCTGCAGACCTCCCAGTCCCATTCTCACTTTCAGCTTGTTTTCCTGTGGGGGTATTTCCGTGTTCTCAATAATCTTTTCTCGCTGTTCTGTTGATGTATCCAGTAACTCCTATTATAATCCCTGTGTATCCAATCCCACATCTTTGCCTTTCTTGTTCTACTTCTTTTTGGTGGAGCATATCCTACAATAACTTTCTGAAAAGAAGTTCATTGGTGATAAAATGTTTGCAGATTTGCATGCCTGAAAATATCTTTATTTTGTCTTCATGCTTGAATAATTGTAGCCTGGATGTAGATTCACATCTGTGTAGAATTACAGGTTGAAATACTCTGAATTCTGAGTGTTACTGCTCTGCCTTCCTGTTCTTGTGTTGGTTCCATTATTATTCTCCATTCTTGTAAGTGTCTAGCTGTTTCTTCCAAAAAAAAAGTGGGGGGCTTTTATTTAAGATGATGTTCCAAAATATGATCAAAATTGTTTTGGTATGGGAAATCAGTGGATTTCTATAGATTTTTCAATCTTTTTATTCTAGAAAATTACCTAGGTAGTGTGGGCTTTCAGAAGCACTCATGGAACTGTCCAGGACACAAAACATCTGACAGACCCAGAGAGCCTGAACCAATCACAAAAAAGGGCAAGTTAATTCAGAGCTTTCTGATTTCCTTCTCTTTCCTCTTTTCCTAGATTCTAACTCTGTCAGAAACCATGGTTAGTTCATTGGGAGAGAATAGATGGAAGTATAAAGAAAGAAAGAAAACAACATGTATTCTTAAACAATGTGAGGTTGTGATTATTACAAAAACTTGAATATTCTAATTTATGAATTGAGATATTGAGCTTTATTTCATTAAAAGAAAATTGAGATCCATTGAAGATATACTTTAAAGATGCCTATAACAAAACCTAAGCTTTGTTATCAGAATATTGGGCTTATCAGGCCAGGTGTGGTGGCTCACGCCTGTAATCCCAGCACTTTGGGAGGCCGAGGTGGGTGGATCACCTGAATTCAGGAGTTCGAGACCAGCCTGACTAATATGGAGAAACCCCATCTTTACTAAAAAATACAAAATTAGCTGGGCGTGGTGGTGCATGCCTGTAATCCCAGCTACTCGGGAGGCTGAGGCAGGAGAATCGCTTGAACCCAGCCTGGGCAACAAGAGCAAAACCCCGTCTCAAAAAAAAAAAAAAAAAAAGAATATTGGGCTTATCATAAAATGCCAGATGGATCATAGGGACAAGATATTTGAGAAAAAGAGCCTAGGCAGAGATTGATAATATTTGTCCAGGGGGGAAATTATGAGACTCTACTTAGTTCAATGGTCATGGGAGACAGCCTTAAGGGGTAAAAGTCTGGAGACCCTGCATGGGTGAATCCTACATCCTTGGTAAACCTCAATCTCAGGTTTCTGGATTAGATTTTCTTAGAAATTGTGATACCTCCATCAAAGAAGCAATCCAGGAAGTGAATCAATGAGAGCATGGACTTGGAGAGAAGTGCTGACTGTGGGATGCCGACAGGTCTTGGGGGGGGTGTGTCCAGAGGTAAAATACAGGCCCAGCTCCCCTTCACAGGTATCTTCCTGCTGCCTCCCAGACAGCAGCAACCCTTAGAGTGTTTCGTTTTGTTTTGTTTTTTTTTTATTGTGTGTGCTTTTTTTCTTTTTTGTCGGAGTCTTACTCTGTCAGGCTGGAGTGCAGTGGCGCGATCTCGGCTCACTGCAACCTCTGCTTCCTTGGCTCAAGCAATCCTCTTGATTCAGCCTTCCAAGTAGCTGGGACTACAGGTGCACACCACCATACCCAGCTGATTTTTGTATTTTTAGTAGAGACAGGGTTTCACCATGTTGGCCAGGATGGTCTCGATCTCTTGATCTCGTGATCCACCTGCCTCAGCCTCCCAAACCGCTGGGATTACAGGCATGAACCACAATGCCCTGCCCTTTTCAAACCATCTTTAAGTGTATAATTCAGTGGCCTTAAAGGCATTCACAACGTTTCACAATATTCCTTCCCAGAAAATTATTATCATCCCAATCAGGAACTCAATAGCCCTTAAATAATGACTCCTAATGCCCTCCCTCCCTGCCCCAGCCTGTGCAGTCTTACTGAATTTCACGTCACACTCTTTTAATAGCAACTCAGGAAGGAAAACCTTACCACAGATGATCCCTATGTGATTAGCTGTATAATGGTGAAAAGAGTGAGCACTTTGCAATCTCCAATCTTTAAAAGCGATGAAAGTAGCTAAGGAAAAGGCCTCCAGGTCACAGCCCTGGTGATGCTGGGAGTCCTGTGAGTATCACAAGGGACTCTTGTCCCAGATATTGCCTCCCCAGGTCACTGGATGACTGCACCCATAGAGCTGAAGGCACAAGAACAGGGACTGCAGGAGCTCTACTTTCACAGAGATAGACACATATACACTAGATGGAGCCTGGGCATCACTTGATTTTGACAGCTTCCCAGTGGATTCCAAAACAGAACCAGGGTTGAGGACCACTGGGTAGGGCATTCGTCATTCTCATGTTCATTAGTGGGAACAATCTTGGACCTTCTTGGGCACTACTGATGATGAAGTGAGAGAGAACTTGGAATTCTTCCAACAAAATGCATATCAGGATGATCAATGACTAGAAACTTCTAGTAGTTGTAAGCATTATAATAATGATTGTTATAATTTGTTGAGTGCTTTATAGTATTAATGTATTTAATATGTTCTCACAACAATGCTGTGATATGCATCCTATATAACAGAAAGGTAAACTGATAATAAAAGAGGAATGTCTAGGCATGTGGGTGCACATGTGTATAAAGATAAAATATAAGGTGTGGATATCTGAGAGGGCTTCACAGAGGAGGAGGCATATGAAGTGGATTCTATAGATGAGATTGTCAGATGTCATCGTGAGAGATGGCTATACAGGGAAAGGGAGACCCCTATGCACTTATGCAGGGGTGTGACTCACATGAGGCCCAAAAAATGAGATATAAACAAGTATGGCTGAGCACAGAGTGCCCCAGGGAAGAGGAGAGGAGGAGACAAAGGCTCCCAGAAGCAGGTCTTGAAGGTCCTTGTGTGCAACACAAGGGTGTGGACTCGCTCCTCCAGCAGTGGTTCCTCTCTGGTTTTCTCCCAGTGATGTGAGAGCTCCATAAATCCTTGTATCTGCCACACACAACAGCACGCTATGCCTGCTGATAGTAAGTTTGATATATCTTGGTTCTATTTTTAAGTGTACATAATTTCTGGTGTGATTAAAATACAAATTTCTTTTAAAAGCAATGTTTAATTAATAACAACTGTTATCTACTCTCCTGCCAATTGTGTAATGGTGACTATTATCATAAAAAGATGGGCTTGGGGTAAAAAAATAATTTCCCTTACTTGAAAGCCTTGAGAACCAGTGCCCTCTGGTCATTTAGAGTTGTTGAAAAGAGAATAGGATCACATTTTAAATTTAGGAGACTTACCCTGGCATGAATGAGGAGGATGTATAGTAAGAAGAGTTCATAGAGGCTGCAAGACAATGTAGAAGAATTTGGTCAGAGCTGGGGAGGACATAGACCAGACTGTGATATGACTGTGTGATGGGAAAGAAGGAACTCGTAAAGGTGATTCTGGGGCAATGGAGGGAATAGAACATAGTGCACTGTTAGGAGTCAGGAGGGAGGGGAGCTGTCATTGGCTGCCTCATGTCCACCCTGAAAGATACCCACATCCTAGTTCCTGAAATCTGTGAATGTTCCATTATATGACAAAAAAAGCACTTGGCAGACACGATCAAACATAATGAGATGGGGTGTTATTCTGAATAATCTGCAGGGTCCCAAAACCAAACCTGTGTATTTTGTGATTAAAAGTCAGGGTGGTGGCTCACGTCTGTAATCCCAGCACTTTGGGAGGCCGAGGTGGGTGGATCACGAGGTCAGGAGATCAAGACCATCCTGGCTAACACGGTGAAACCCCATCTCTACTAAAAATACAAAAAATTAGCCGAGCATGGTGGCGGGCGCCTGTAGTCCCAGCTACTCGGGAGGCTGAGGCAGGAGAACAGCGTGAACCCGGGAGGTGGAGCTTGCAGTGAGCCGAAATGGTGCCACTGCACTCCAGCCTGGGCGACAGAGCGAGACTCCTTCTCAAAAAAAAAAAAAAAAAAAAGCCAAGGTGGGTGGGGTTGATGTAGAAAGAAAAGAAGGGAACATATCATGGAGGCAGAGGTTGGAGTGATGTGGCCACAGGACCAGGACAATTATTAGCCCAGAAGCCAGAAGCAACCCTTAGTGAATTCCCCCCAAGAGTCCCCAGAGGGAGCGGAGCCCTGCTGCCCCCTAACGTCTTCACAGTGATACTAATGTTGGACTTCTGACCCCCAGAGATGCCTGAGAATCAGTCGTTTTAAGCCATGAAGTTTGCAGATTTTTGTTCCAGTAGTCACAGGACACCAAGCAGGGAAACTGTGGTGTCTCTCTGTGTCCTGGTCAGGGTGCTTGCTGGGTGGGTGCCTTAGCCTGGATGGGCTCATGGAAGGGAGAGCAGGCTGGGGGCAGACCCTGTGCTCAGTTTTACATCCTGCTCCTGAAATGACTGTGGAGTGCGCACTGGGAGCTGTCCAGTTGTCAGGGGGTGCTGGTCTCTGGAGCTCTTGGGAGAGCTTGAGGAAGGAAGCATTCACCTCAGGTGCTGGTGAGTGATGCAGACGCTGAGGAGTGCTCTGAGCGTGGGGAGTAAAACAATGTGAACTCCAGGTTGAAACCTAAAGAGGACCCCAAATTGTGATAAGTGGAAAATGAAGTATACTGGACATGACGGAGGACAGAAAGCATAGTGCAGAGAGAGCACCAAGCAGGCTGACTGTGGGTCTGAGGGGACATCAGAGTAAAGTCACTGATAGGTGGGAACCCTCGGCCTGGATACCCATTCAGGCTGGGGGTTCTCTCAGTGTAAGACCAGTGGAACATTTCAATTCCTGTGTCCTTGTTACCATGGTTTTTATTCACGGCTGCAAGATGGGAAATCTGTAAGGAATGCAGGATAATTCCTACCAAATATTCTCCTCTGTGACACCTGGACTCAGGCCCCATTAGTAACAGGATGCTGGTTCTCTGGAGTTAATTATCACCCACAGCAAAAGGCCACTCCACTATGGAAACCACCCTGTACTCAAGGCTCGAGACTGCAGGATTATAACAAGACCAGTGGAGACGTGGAGAGCAAGTGATTTATTAAAGCAAGACGTTGAAACCTTTACATTCTGCAGTGAAGATCAGGGTGTCATTGAAAGACAGTGGAAACCAGGATGAAAGTTTTTACATGTCACACACTACATTTCTTCAATATTTTCACCTAAAATAGGAAAAGAAAAAAGAAGGTGGGGTCAGTCATGCTGCTGCTGGAGGTGACAGGCTCACATCCAAGAGGCCAGTGGGATTCTGCCCCCAAAGGCAATTGGAAGGGCAGAGGCAACAACTCAGTTTGGGAAACTGAGGCCTAGACCTGGTGGCCTCACAGCACCCATGCCGGTGATGGAGCAGCCTTTTCTTGCCAGGCCAATAGCCCTGGGGTGATCCGGGAATGAGGCCCAGGATCCTCATGGAAGCAAGTGACGAGGGTTGGAGAGAGCAGCAAGAGGTTATTGCCTGGGCTGTCCCAGGGCTTGGAGTCTCCTGGTTCCTGCAGTGAGGGACCCAGGACTGAGAGGCTGGTCAGGGCTGAGAGGGCTTCTGGGAAGCTTGGCTTCCAGGAGACTCCAGCCTCCCCATGTGGGAATTCTGCCTCAGGGCCCGAGCACCTCTCAGTCCCGAGCCTGCAGCTTCCATGAGCATTTGCAGCTAAACCTCAGGACAGCAACTCAGAGGCAGCCAGGCAGAGAGGCCCCTGGAAAACCTCTGATTTCTTGAGAAAGACAGAGTGAGAACATCCCGCTTCCATGGCACTGCAGGAGGTAGACTAGCTAGGGTCTTGGACGACTGGCCATGGTCAGGAGAGTGTCGTGGGTGTGGAGGGGAGTATGGGGTCTCAGGAGCTGGGAGGGGCTCCTTCCTGGCTCTGCAGAAGCTGCAGAGAAGTCCAGCCTGCCAGTGCTACATCTGCAGGAGCCCCTGCTCTATGTCCCTCCCTGCCTTCCTCTCCCTGTTCAAGGCTCCCATGCTCCCCAGGACATTCCACAGTGACTGTGTCCATTACATGAGGGCAGTTTGGTCTCAGGAAAGCTCCCAGCAGCGAGGCGGCCATGCTTGGCCCTTTACCATTTCTGCCTGGGCCCAGGCTCACTCCCCATGTCCTCAGCACACTCTGGGGACATGGCATCCAGGCAGGTGACATGAGAAGGAGGAACATGCAGGAGGCTGTGTGCAGCTGAGTTGAATTCTGCAGGTGAAATGGTGGCACCCACCCTGTGGCCCCAGGTGACCTTCTCAAGAGGTGACCAGCAAGGCAGCTGCCCCACCACCTGTGTCCCCAACAGAGCAGCAAGCTGACCTCACTTCATACTGTGCAGCTGACCAGAAGCCTTAACAAATAAAGGAGAAAGAAGTTACCAGGACTTCCGCAATGAGGCTTCGTTTCTGAAGGGACATCTGATCCGTGCATCTCTTCACTCCTAACTTGGCTGCAACAGCTTCCGGAGGGGCATCAAATTTGGCAAGACTTAACTTGAACAGAGGTTCACTAATGAAGAAGAAGTCTAACAGCTCAGAAACAAGAGCTGGGCAGAACTCGGCATTGGCTGCAGCAAAAGAATAAAAATATAGTTGATGTTAGGAAAGTCGATTTTTCTCTTTGGCTCCCTGACGTTAGACCAGACAGGATCCCCTGGGTTATATGTTCACATACATTTGTTGTGCTGATGACAATGCCAGACCCTTCAGGTGTGACTTCCTCAAGCTCTCACAATAAAGGAAAGCACTTCATATCAACAGCCAAACTCTTTTTTTTCCCTTTGTCACCCAGGCTGGAATTCAGTAGCTCAATCATGGCTCACTGCAGCCTCTACCTCCTGGGCTCAAGCGATATCCCCATCTCAGCCCCCTAAGTAGCTGAGACTACTGGTGCATGTCACCACGTCCAGCTGATTTTTCATATTTCTTTTGGTAAAGCTGGAGTTTCGCCACGTTGCCTAGGCCGGACTCAAACTCCTGAGCTCAAGCAATTCACTCTCCTTGACCTTCCAAAGTGCTAGGATTACAGGCATGAGCCGCCATGCTTAGCCCACAGCTAGACTCTTTTGACAGTATTAATCTTTCTTACTCCATTCTCATAGCCTCTCCTGGCAGAAGCGCTAACTACCAGTGATAGGAGGAGGCTCAGGGAGGGTGAGCATTGTGCCCAAGGTCAAAGGGCTGGGAAGTGGCGGATCCCAGATTCACCCCAGACCTCACATTACATCATCTGACACAGATCCCACCCAGGAGTGAAGCTCAGGCAGAAGAATTCCTAATATTTGCCTGCACTGATTTTCAATAAAACTTCGTAGGTGCTGGGGAGTAGAAGAAATAGCTCTGAACTTGATGAGGGGCTTGTTCAACAAGCACAGAAAAAGGTTTGGAATTTTGGTTTTGTGCAGATCCTAACCCCAGCCTGAATAGGTGACCTCGTGCTTGGAAGAGGGTGCTTCCCAGGGGCTGGAGCTAGACTCATGACTGATGTACTCACCCTGGTAGCAGCAGAGGGCCAGCGTGACCAGCAGGAGACACACCGACAGCTTCATGGTGGCTTGTTTTGCTGTGAGCTCAGCTTTCACAAACAATGAGTGATTTGGACTCCACCCCAGGAGCCTGTGGAGCTGCAGAGCCCAGGGCTATTTGTACCTAGGGAGTCTAGCTGGTACTGGTCATGAGGCCTGGCTCCCAGCCCACCTCTCCTTCCCAGGGCTGTTGCCATCCATCTGTGTCACCTCCCCACGCCTCCCTGCACTCTGACTGGGGCAGAGCACAGGAGGGTAGCCCTGCAGGAACTCTGCTCTGTGTTCCAGGTGAATGTTCAGGCACCTCTGGAAATATTCCTGGGATTCTGTTTCCTTCTGAGTTTTGCTGATTATTTTTTTTCTTTGTATCAGTTCAAGGGCACAGGTAAATTCTGACTTTGGAAGGCACAGGAAGCTGGAAGGCTGTGTTCTGGTTATGGGGGAGCAGGGACATAAGGAAACCCTGCTTTGATCCCCCTGCATGTCTGACAACCAGTAGGCTTGTTTCAGTTGCACATTGAGCAAGTCTAAACAAGACCTATTCCCCTCAGCCCCTCCCATCACCACCATGTTCACTGCATAGGTACCTAAAACCTAGTTCAATGCATCTTACCTTTGGAGGATTTCCTGGGGAAAAGCAACTGCTGCACCTGTTCTCTAGCCTGTCTCACTCCCAAACCTGAGTCTTGTTTATGAGTGCAGCTATAAATATGGCCAAGACTCACATTTTCTCTCTACGAGGAGCAAGCTTTCTGTGATGTGTAGCCACCCACATGTTGATGGGTTGACCTGATGATTACATAGCCTAACTTTTTCCAAGTAGCTTTTGGAGTGTCCAGAGCCAATCATGCATCGGACAGGTACTGAGAGTTCTTTGCTCTGGGGCTCCAGGAGGGGAAGAAGATGGAAAAGAAGAGACAGATGATCAGGGTGAGTGGTCACTTCCCCCCAACCTCTAGGCTCAAGTTTTCCACTTCAAATCTAGCTGTGCAGCCTGAGCCAATCCCATTTTTAATAGAAAGGGAAGGAAGCACCCAGACAAAGCAATACACACCCTCCTGCCCTCCTGCTGTGATGCCTTTGTGTGGTGTGAGCAGGAAATCAATCACTAGAAATTTCTCTCTCTTTTTTGTTATTATACTTTAAGTTTTAGGGTACGTGTGCACAACGTGCAGGTTAGCTACATATGTATACATGTGCCATGTTGGTGTGCTGCACCAATTAACTCATCATTTAACATTAGGTATATCTCCTAATGCTATCCCTCCCCCCTCCCCCCACCCCACAACAGTCCCTGGTGTGTGCTGTTCCCCTTCCTGTGTCCATGTGTTCTCATTGTTCAATTCCCACCTATGAGTGAGAACACGCGGTGTTTGTTTTTTTGTCCTTGCGATAGTTTGCTGAGAATGATGGTTTCCAGCTTCATCCATGTCCCTACAAAGGACATGAACTCATCATTTTTTATGGCTGCATAGTATTCCGTGGTGTATATGTGCCACATTTTTTTAATCCAGTCTATCATTGTTGGACATTTGGGTTGGTTCCAAGACTTTGCTATTGTGAATAGTGCTGCAATAAACATACGTGTGCATGCGTCTTTATAGCAGCATGATTTATAATCCTTTGGGTATATACCCAGTAATGGGATCGCTGGGTCAAATGGTATTTCTAGTTCAAGGTCCCTGAGGAATCGCCACACTGACTTCCACAATGGTTGAACTAGTTTACATAATCATGTGATTTTTTCATTGGTTCTGTTTATATGCTGGATTACATTTATTGATTTACGTATGTTGAACCAACCTTGCATCCCAGGGATGAAGCCCAATTGATCATGGTGGATAAGTTTAATGCCCACAAGAGAAAGCAGGAAAAATCTAAAATTGACACCCTAACATCACAATTAAAAGAACTAGAGAAGCAAGAGCAAACATATTCAAAAGCTAGCAGAAGGCATTGAATAACTAAGATCAGAGCAGAACTGAAGGAGATAGAGACACAAAAAACCCTTCAAAAAATCAACGAATCCAGGAGCTGGTTTTTTGAAAAGAGCAACAAAATTGATAGACCACTAGCAAGACTAATAAAGAAAAAAAGAGAGAAGAATCAAATAGATACAATAAAAAATGATAAAGGGGATATCACCACCGATCCCATAGAAATACAAACTACCGTCAGAGAATACTATAAACACCTCTATGCAAATAAACTAGAAAATCTAGAAGAAATGGATAAATTCCTCGACACATACACCCTCCCAAGACTAAACCAGGAAGAAGTTGAATCTCTGAATAGACCAATAACAGGCTCTGAAATTGAGGCAATAATTAATAGCCTACCAACCAAAAAAAGTCCAGGACCAGATGGATTCACAGCCGAATTCTACCAGAGGTCCAAGGAGGAGCTGGTACCATTCCTTCTGAAACTATTCTAATCAATAGAAAAAGAGGGAATCCTCCCTAACTCAATTTATGAGGCCAGCACCATCCTGATACCAAAGACTGGCAGAGACACAACAAAAAAAGAGAATTATAGACCAATATCCCTGATGAACATCGATGCAAAAATCCCCAATAAAATACTGGCAAACCGAATCCAGCAACACATCAAGAAATTTCTCTCTTAAATGAACTTACTTTTGAGAGGATTCACAGCCTAGGCCCGAGCTTTCCATTCGCAGCTGCGCAATCGAATCACTTGGAGCTTTTAAAATATACTGACTCCCCAGGTTTCTCTCTCTGGGGATTTTGATTCAGTAGCGTTGGGTTGACTCCCTGATTCCTACACTGTTTAAACTGCTCTGGTGTTTCTGATGGGCAGGAGGGCTGAAAACCACACAGAAAGACATGTATGTAAAGAGGGGACCTTATGGGCTGTGTCATCAGAGACAACTTGGCAGGTTTGTTTGAGCCCCAGCTGAGGGCAACAGTGGCTGTCACTTCCATCACACAGGATCATGAGGAAATCCCTGAGCCAGCTCTTCCGCCACCACCAAGGAGTGGGAGGGCCAGTGGTGAGGCTCACAGATACAAGGCTCACAGATACAGCCTCATTTGTGGGCTCTTGGACCTTAAGAAAATTATTCAGCTTATGTAACCTCAGTTTTCCTATTTGTCAAAGTAGGCTAGTAATTGTGCCTACATCATTGGGTTCATAGATGATCAAATGAGTGTGTTCATGGGGGTGTGTGTGTTTAAAGTTAACTAAGTTCTGGTACATAGTAGTTCTCAATAAATTCTAACTCCCATTATCTTGTCCCACTTGTCATATATGTCATGGTTTGCCAGTAGTTCCTAGTTTAGAGCACAGCCAAAATCCACTAAATCACCTACTTTCAGAACTACATGGACACCTAGATACACCATTTCTCTCTGACATAAATGGAAAAAGAAATCCAGTTCATGATCTCTGAGTCTACAGACCCATGGACTTGGGCTTCAGGACTGAGACGTCTTTCACAGCAGACAGGTCTGTGAGGCATTCATCCTAACTGTGGACCAGAGCTTGTCCTGGCACAGGCTTGGCATTCACCTTGTCAGCTCTATGGTCCACCGGGGAGGATGTGTATCTCTGAGAGAGGACTGTTTGCTTGTACTTTTATCATTCCTATTGCCCTTAACACCTGCACAGGGTTTTTTAGTTTTCATCATTGATATTTTTAATGGGTCCCTCCTCCTTACCGAGTTCATGCAATATTTCAGTTCATTCTTTCCACCCACGGGCATTGTTGCCTGACCCCGATGCTTTGGTCAGTGTTGCCCTTTACAGACACTGCTGGAACCATGCACCTCTCATTTGCAGCAATTCCAAGGCTGTTATTTTACAAATGTGTAATCAGTTCATGGATACAAGTTTTCCTGGACTGTTAGCTCCATAATCACAGGGCCAGTATCTGCTTTTGCTCATCTTGGCTCAGCACAGCGGCTGGCATGGAGAAGAAGATCAGCAAACAATCTTTTAACAAATACATCATAAAATTATGAATCAACAAACTGCTAAATGGGTGACATTCATGTTCAGTGTAAAAGAATGCTCATGGTGCCAGGCTTCCCTGTGGGCAGTTGAGGGTGAAAGATGAGTAGTGTGGTGGTGACTGTGAAAGAAACTCATCGGTTTTCCACATCCCTAGAGAGAACAGTGAAACGAGGATTTTGCCGCATCAACCACTCCAACTCCTAATCTTCTAGTGGAAGCCAAGACTTCTAAAACAATTTCAGGGAAATTTAATATCAACTCACCAAGCTCTATATTGACTAATAGGAGCTCCTGTTTAGTTTCTCTTCTAATTAGGAGGTTCAGAGCTTCTGAGTTCCCAGGGTCCCAGCAGCAAAGCAGCCCATGGGGACAACTCCTCTGCCCTTCCCCAGCCATGAGCAGAGTGCTCCAGGGAAACAGGGGGAGGCATGGAACGTTCTGGGTGAAGGCACTGAGACGTGTTGCTGGGAATATAAAGGAGCATATCTGAGTGCCGCTCAGGGACACATCGGATTTGATTCACACACACACACACACACACATACACCCACACACAACACACACACACACAGACACACACATATGCACACATACACACAGACACACACATACACACAAATACACACACACAGATACACATACACACAGCCACACATACACACACAGACACACACAAAACATACACACATACACACACAGACACACACAAACACACACACATACACACATGCACACAGACACACACATACATGCAAATGCACACATACACACATACACGTACACACACACACACACACAAAGTGTGGAAGAAGCCCAGGGAACAACATGAGAGAAATCGACAATGTATAAACCAAGTGGCTTGTGAGGGACACCAGATAGCCAGGTGAACCTGAAACAGACAGGTGCACATGGTAAAACAGGGATGGGTTTGTGGCTGGAGAACAGGATGGGCCAAATGGAGGGGAGCTTCCACTTTCCTCTATGGCTTATGACAGCAGAATGGGTGTGAGAGGTGAGACACCTTCAGATTTTGCTACCCCACTGATTTTTTTGGTTTTCAAATCTCAGGTCAAAATAACATAGACTTTTCATACCCCTTAGGGTGCTATTATAAAACAGACCAACAAGCAAACTAATAAATTAGAATATAATATTGTAACAAGGATGTACAGAGGTAGCAATTCTTGTGCACATTTGGTGGGAATGTAAAATCTGCAGCTGCCATGGAAGAGTATGGGGGCCTCTCAAATTAAAATAGAAAATATCATAGGATGAAGGAATTTCTCCTTTGAGGATACATCCACAAAAACTGAAATCAGGATCTTGTAGAGATATTGCATACGCATGTCTTTAAGGACACTATTCACATCCATCAGGAAGGGGATCCAATCCATTGTTCATCCCCAGATAAATGGATGAAGCAAATCTGTGCATTCATGGAATAGAATCTTATTCAGACTCAAAAGGGAAGAAGATTCAGACACAGGCTGTAGAATTCTATATAGATGAACTAGAGTACATTATGCTATATGAAATAATCCAGTCACAAAAACAAACATAGTATGATTCCACTTATGCATGGTATTTACAGTAGCCAGATTCATAGAAACAGAAATTAGAATAGTGGTTTCCAGGAAAAAGATATTGAGAGTTATCATTTAGTGATAGAGAGTTTCAGGTTTTTAAGAGAAAGTTTCTAGAGATTGGTTGCACAACAAATCTCTCTCATGAATGTACTTAATACCACTAAGGTGCACACTAAGAAATGCTTAAAATGGCACTTTTTACATTTTCGTACCACAATGAAAAAAACTTAAATCACCTAAGCTTGAAATCAAAATTACACTTTCCAAGCACCTCAATTCTGAGCTACCTGCTTCTGTAAAGCCAAAGATTTACAGAAGGCCAAAAGAGCCTTGAGCACATTCTTTCCTAAGCCCTTTCTTTTTCTTGGCTCATTCATTCAGCAAACAAACCACTTTTTATTATTGATCACACAAACATTCACTTAACTTCATAGAATAGAATGTTCCATGAAAATCCAGCCACCAAACCAACAGTGAGTTCATTCTATTTAGAAACAGGGAGGTCCTGCAAGTTGCAAAATCTTCTGTAGCTAATGAGAATAGTGGTAACAAAAAATGGTAGCAATAGTTTTCGGTTTGTATGTCCAAACCTGCAAAACACAATTTATCATAATCACGTCCTTGTCACAAAATTATAAGATATAAGCTATTACATTTCCAAAATTATAGTGGAGGCAACTTACTTGCAGAAAAAAGAAACCTGTCCACAGTTGCACAGCTTGAAAGCCTGAAGGTCTGGCTCTGGCACTGATGGTGTGTGAGTTGTCAAGTAACCAAGTGCTTCTCTCAGTTGTACATCTGGCAATGGTGACATGTGAGGTGGGATGAAGTTGGATACAGATTAATTTCAATCTCAGCTCCTCCTTGCATTTCACTTTTGGACTCAAATGAATTCTTCTAATGATGACTCATACTAGCTCCTTCATTTAGTTGATTTCTTTTTTTATTCTTTATTTTTTTTCCTTTTAAGCAAACATCCTATACTGACAACACCATATGCTGGCGAGATGATGAGCAACAGGAACTCTCATTCATTGACTGGTGGGAATGCAAAATGGTACAACCATTTGGAAGACAACGTGGCAGTTTCTTACTAAAGTGAGCATATTCTCACCATAAATTCCAGTGAGTTTGCTCCTTGATATTGACCTAAATTAATTGCAATGTTATTTCTACACAAAAATGTGGACACAGATACTCATAGCAGCTTGATTGAAAATTGTCAAAACTGGGAAGCAACTGAGAAGTCCTTTAAGAGGTACAGGGATTATTAACCTTTGGTACACACAGTGGAAGATGATTCGCCACCAAGAAGAAATGAGCTATTATGCCATGAAAAGACAAAGAGGACTCTCAAATGCATATGACTAAGTGAAAGAAGCCAATCTGAAAGGGTTACCTACTGTAGGATTCCAACAGTATGGCATTCTGAAAAGCACATATGGAGACAAAGATCAGTGATTGGCAGAGGTTAGTGAGGAGGGGGCACAAAAAGGGAATGCACAGAGGATTTTTTAGGGCAAGGAAATGATTCTGAATTTTTTTTAAAATTTTTATTTCCTTAGGTTTTTGGGGAACCGGTGGTATTTGGATACATGAGTAAGTTCTTTAGTGGTGATCTATGAGATAATGGTGCACCCATCATCCAAATAGTATACACTGAACCGAATTTGTAGTCTTTTATCCCTCACCCCCTTCCACTCTTTCTGCCAAGTCCCCAATGTCCATTGTATCATTCTTATGCCTTTGCATCCCCATGGCTTAGCTCCCAATCATGAGTGAGAGCATACGATGTTTGGTCTTCCATTCCTGAGTGACTTCACTTGGAATAATAGTCTCCAGTTCCATCCAGGTTGCTGCAAATGCCATTAATTCATTCCTTTTTATGGCCATTGTGTATATATATATATACCACAATTTCTTTGTCCACTCATTGACTTATGGGCATTTGGGCTGGTCCACATTTTTGCAATAACAAATTGTGCTGCTATAAACATGTGTGTGCAAGTATCTTTTGCATATAATGTCTTCTTTTCCTCTGGGCAGATAACAAGTAGTGGGATTGCTGGAAGTTTTACTCTTAGTTATTTAAGGAACCTCCACACTCTTTTCCATAGTGGTTGTCCTAGCTTACATTCCCACCAACAGCGTAGACGTGTTTTCGTTTCACCACATCCATGCCAATATCTATTATTTTTTATTTTTTGATAATGGCCATTTTTGTGGGAGTAAGGAGGTATTTTATTGTGGTTTTGATTTGTGTTTCCCTGATTATTAGTGATGTTGAGCATTTTTTCATGTTTGTTGTCCATTTGTATATCTTCTTTTGAGAATTGTCTATTCATGTCTTTAGCCCACTTTTTGATGGGATTGTTTGTATTTTTCTTGTAAATTTGCTTGAGTTCCTGGTAGATTCTGCATAATAGTCCTTTGTTGGATGTATAGATTGTGAAGATTTTCTCCTACTCTGTGGGCTATTTACTCTGTTGTTTCTTTTGCTGTGCAGAAGCTTATTAGTTTAATTAAGTCCTGTCTATTTATGTTTGTTTTTGTTGCATTTGCTTTTGGGTTCTTGGTCATGCAGTCTTTGCCTAAGCTAATGTCTAGAAGGGGTTTTCCAATGTTATCTTTTAGAATTTTTATAGTTTCAGGTCTTAGATTTAAGTCCTTGATCCTTCTTGAGTTGGTTTTTGTGAGAGATGAGGATACAGTTTAATTCTCCTAAAGGTGGCTTGCCAATCATACCAGCACCATTTATTGAATAGGGTGTCCATCCTATCATTTCATTTTAGTCACTTTGAGATTTGCATCTGGTTATGAAAGTTAAGGCCTCCCTCTAGTGACTGGTGGCATATTGCAAATGTTCAAGGAGACTCCAGATTTTACACAAATGTCACCACACTGAGGTTAACAGTTTACACTCACTGTCAATTTAAGGAAAACTCATTATTCTAGTTCTGGTGCTAGACTTGGTGATTTAAAGATTAAAAAGACACTTTTTTGTAACCAAAGATTTCAAGCTCCTGGGATAGGCAGACCCACAAAGATATCCCTTGGTCACTATTGTACTGAATGCAACTGAACATCTGCAAAGGTCTTCTACGTAGGTGAGTTCAGTGCTTGGATGAAGCTGTGATCCAAGAATTACAAGAACGTGGAAAACGGTTACCTAAACCAGGGGGGCACTCAGAGGAGGTCTTTGGAGGGTGTGAATGAAAAGAAATGAAGAAAGGATGTAGGCTGGAATAACAGTCAGCCTTCAGCAACTTCACACACAATGAAAACAGGAAGACCTGATCTCAGTGCATTCTCAGTACTGAGCAACATGGACTTCTGGGGTAGGAGAGAAACTATAGATTGGCACAAAAGTAATTGCAGTTTTCGCCACTAAAGGTAATTGCAAAACTGCAATTACTTTTGCACCAAACTAATACAAGTGGTTGAAACTAAGGTTGGTGAAACTGCCATTCCTTTCGTCTATGGAGCAGGATGCAGCCTCTGTGTGTGTGTGTAGGTAGGTGTGGTGAGGGGATTGACAATAACCAGGCATGAGGGAAATACTCCATGGATCCTAAGTTCCAGGGAGGAGTGAAGTTCTTGTGAAATCTCTGGATCTATTTGGAGAGGCAGACAGGACCTATCTTGTGAGTTAGGACAACATAGCAGTGATTTGAGGAGAAGTTTTTGGGGTGTGCTACAAGCTCATTGTGGACTAGAAATCTTGAGTGGTTTGGCATCTGGTTAATAAGAAGTCATCAGAAATTCCTGGACGTCTGGCATCTGTGGTTTGCTCACCAGTGATAAAGGAGGGTGTTGTGAATCAGGAATCAATCACTGATTTTTCAGCTGACAGTGATTCACCAAGGAAGGGTACAGAATCTACTTTCCCCATCTCCACTGAGGAACAAAACAACCACTTGTCCTGTGTTTGTCAAAGTCCTGATGTCTCCTTCTGACCATCATCAGCATATTCACCTTCTACCCACATGCAAACATAGCATTAGTGCCTGTCCTAGATTGCGGTAAAAGCAGGCCAAGGCCAATTTTCGTGTCCTCAACTCCTGAGCACCTCCCACGCTAGGGACTGTGGATGGTGCCAGGGACTCCAGTGGATCGGGGAACAAAAACACCTCGCCCAAGACAGAGATAGACTTTCCTCTAAAGATTGAGGGCAAAGGAAAAAGGGTGAAAAAAATATACAGGAAATAGGGGAAAAAAAGAAAATGATAATTCTTCTCCACAATTTGGAGCAACTTTACACTTGTGAAAACAAAGGACAACAAACAATTTTTAAAAACCTCAAAACACCCACAGAAAAGACTTTTTAAATTTCTGTGGGAAATGGCAACTGTCACCCAATTTCAGGGATAACAGTGACAATGGTGAGGATATTCAATACCCAAAGAATAATGGATTCTGAGACAGGGACTGGCAGCATCGTATCTGCTGGTCCATAATCCCTATGAACCAAATCCTCATTCAGAGAGGTGGACTTCATCAGTGACTCAACTCTGCAGCCAACAAAGGACCCAATGTTATGCTTGCACACAGCAGGTGTGCACTAAATACAAGATAAACATATTAATATGATTGGAGTTCATTTCAGTCTGTTTTGCTGGAGTCTAGATTCTAGTTTCTGAACTTAATTTGGGCTTCTAAGTTAGTTTCCCTACAAAGCTGTCCCAGTTTAATGAAGATCCATTTGTGAATTTTTATTTTTGTTGCAACTCCCTTTGAGGACTTATTCATAAATTATTTCCCAAGGCTGATGTCCAGAATGGTGTGACTTAGGTTTTCTTCTAGGATTATCATAGTTGGAGGTATTACATTTAAATCTGTAATCCATCTTGATTTAACTTTTGTATATGGTGAAATGTAGGGGTCCAGTTTTAATCTGCATATGGCTAGACAGCTATCCCAGCACTATTTATTAACTATGGAGTCCTTTCCCCATTGCTTAATTTTGTTGACTTTGTCAAAGATCAGATGGCTGAAGGTGGATGGCTTTATTCCTGGGATGCATTGGTCTATGTGTCTATTTCAGTACATAACTCACAGACCCTATAAAACAACAACACAGTAGAAAATACAAAGTAACCAGCTAACAACTTCATGATAGGATCAAAACTACACATATCAATATCAACCTTGAATGTAAATGGTCTAAACATCCCACTTAAAATGCACAGAGTTGCAAGTTGGATTTAAAAAAAAGACCCATTCATCTGCTCTCTTCAAGAGCCCCATTTCACACATAAAGACACCCATAGCTTAAAGGGTTGTACAGAGATCTAGCATGGAAATGAACTCTTAACTTTGGATGGAAAGAAACCTAGGAATAAAAATGAAATAGAAGACAGGCCCTTCTGGCAGGGTGTGGTGATTCATGCCTCTAATCCCAGCACTTTGGGAGGCCGAGGCAGGTGGATCACCTGAGATCAGGAGTTCGAGACCAGTCTGACCAACATGGTGAAACCCCGTGTCTACTAAAAATACAAAATTAGCCAGGCGTGGTGATGCATGCTTGTAATCCCAGCTACTTGGGAGGCTGAGGCAGGAGAATCACTTGAACCCGGGAGGCGGAGGTTGCAGTGAGCCAAGATCGTGCCATTGCACTCCAGCCTGGGCAACTGAGCAAGACTATGTCACAAAAAAAAAAAAAAAAAAAAAGAAAAGAAAAAGAAGACAGGCCCTTGTAAGAGAGTATAGCTCAATGCAAATGGGATGAGGAGATCACAGAGTGTAATGATTCCAGGCATCACAATGCAGCCACAGTTGCTTGTAAGAAGAAAATGTAAATAGAGGATGATGACGCTCTCTCAGGCCTCATAGCATGAGATTAATGCTGTGCTTCACAGTTTCTGGTCCTCTCAAAAAACCAGAGGCCCTCTAGGAAGTGAAAGAGCATTGTCCCCAACCATCCCAGCAGGAGGCCAGAGTAGAGAAGGGCTTATCCACTGTTCTTGCCCGCCTATACCTGTCATCTCAGTGTTAGACAAAGATACTTAATACAAATTTCAGAAAGTATTTAATGACTCATTGATTGTTTAGTAGTCAGATGTTTAATTTCCAAGTTATTGGAGGATTTCTTGTTATCCTGTTCTTGATTTTAATTTGACTCAATTATGGTCACAGAACATGGTTTATATGATCTCAATTATTTTATTTGCTTTTATTTGTTTGTTTCTTTTTGAGACAGGGTCTCACTCCATTGTCCATTCTGGAGCACAATGGCATGATTTCAGCTCACTGCAGCCTCAACCTCCCTGGCTCAGGTGATCCTCTTGCTTCAGCCTTCTGAGTAGCTGAGACTACAGACATGCACCACCATGCCCAGCTAATTTTTGTACTTTTTGTAGAGATGGGGTTTGCCATGTTGTCCAGGCTGGTCTGGAACTCCTGGGCTCACACGATCCACTCACCTCAGCCTCCCAAAGTGCTGGTATTACAGGCATTGTTAATGGTGGAGGGTGTCCAGGTTCTTGGCATCTTGAATGAAGAATTGGACAAAACGCACAAATAAAGCAAGCAAGGAATGAAGGGATTTACTGAAAATGAAAGTATGTTCCACAGCGTGGGAGTGGGCCCGAGCATAGGGGCTCAAAGGCCCCACTACAGAATTTTTGGGAGTTTAAATACCTGCTAGAGGATTCCATTGGTTACTTGGGGTAAGCCCTATGTAAATGGAGAGGATGAAGTAAAATGACAAAGTCATTGAGTTGGCCTACGCCCTATGGAGAGGATATTTCCTCTCATAGCTGAAGTGTGAATTGGCCTTATGTTCTCTGCCTCCAGAACCTATTTTTCTGCATCATCTCCCCCGTGAGGGATGTGATCTCCATAAGTCTTTATGGGAGGCAGAGGGACTGATGGTCTTTTTTCTGTAACTGCTTCATGTTGACTTGGGGATCATGGAACTCTCACCCTGTTCTGTCTAGTGGAGGTGGAGTAGCTTCTTGATGGCATTGGGGCGGTGTCTTCACCTGGAATTGGCTGGAACCTTTGTTGCATGATTATCTGAAGCTTGAAGGTCTCTAGGCAAGAGGAAATGAATTTGGTTAAAAGATTTAATGGGAACTTCAGGGGGCAGATACCTCCGCTCTTAGAAATTTTCATTATAGAGATTTGCAAGAGAAAAAACAAAACCTGGTCTGTTCTAGAATCTATGTGTTTCCTTAAAGTCTTAGCACAAGCAACTCCATTTTGGTTTGGTTTGGTTTGTTGGGGCCTAGTGCATGACCTTAGTCCAAAACAATGACCGCCCTAGAATTTTGTTTTTAAAATTCCCCCTTTATGGACAAGTTCTCACTTAGGTGAGAGTGTGACACAAACTTAGGGGCTTAACGCCACTCTCAGTTACCATTATTTTGGGTTTCTGGTCTCAGCACATCATTTATAGGTTACAGGGTCCTCATGGTCGCACATTTCTTTTAGCCCCTGTTATTCCAGTTGAAGGGAGACCATATGACATTCTAGAGATGGCTGAGTAAAAGTATTTAAAACCTTTGAGAGAATACAGTGCACCAGAGAGACTACTGGGAGGATAATACCAAGAGTTTGCAGTATGCTCCTCACCCAAGGTCTCCATAAACCAAACCACTTCAAATTAAATAGATCAAATAATGAGCTAGATAAAGTTTACTCTCTTGACTAAGCAATTTCTTCATCAATCCCCTACCACTGAATTTCTCTAATCTTCATTTGATGTAATTCCCCATAGGCCAAAATTGCCAGCAGCTGCACAGGTACTTTTCTGGTTAGCTAATTCTATTATTTAGCATAACTTTCAGAAGAGAATTTAAAGTCTGTTGTGTAAGTGTGGCCTATACAGTAAAGTTTGCTATGGAACCTATCATGAGGGATACATTTCTAATCATTGTCTCTTTTACTTTAAACCACATAAAAAGGACCAAACAAATGATACCCTTCTGGAAGTGTGAAGGCCTCCTGGCAATGTTCTCTTTCAACCCATGATATGGGTTAAGAGGAGTGAACCAAGGTTTTGTTTTTGATGATTGTGAGGCAACGTGTGTACCATTAAAGTTTCTTACCTACCTTGGCCGTTCACCTTTTATCTATCAAAGTATAAGATTACCCAGGTATAAGGCTGGCTGCAAACTCCTTCACAAATAAGAGTATACCCCATAAGGGTGCATAACAGACCCCTTTTCCATTTCTATTGTTCATAGAGGCATAAGCAAGAAAAAAAATTCAAAGATAAGAGTTTCATGATAGTAGAAGTCTCGATCTGTGAACTTGGGAAAAGCTGTTCACATCAAGGATGTCATCTTCTTCTTGGGAGAAGTTTCCGTGGTTAGCTTTTCCTCAAGGGTTCCAATGAATGCACAGTTCCAAAAGCGGGGAGGGACCCCTTCTCAGTTGTGAGACCATGAACCCGAATCCCAAGGCCCCAAAATTTTGTTGTAGTGTGGATGGCAAGGATAGTCTTTTTCTGACGTTTCCAGGAGATTCAAACCATAAAAAGCTTTCTTTACCTGGTGAAAATACACTGTAGCATAATAATCTACTGTTATAACATCATCCCTCTTGCATGGGAAAGCTTTTATACAACCAGAAAACATGCACTGAAAATTAAAATGGGATGAAATCCCTTTATAAAATGTTTAAGTTGCCCACCAGGCGACCAAATGTACCTGAAGCTTTAATTGTTTTCCCAGGAATATGGGATCAAGCATCGGTTATAAATTATTTTAGTAATTTGTAAGCCACTTTACCAATGTATTCAATTGGGATCATTATATCTTTTCCACGATGAGTCATGGAATGCAGAAGTTTTAATAATAAAAGCTTTAAGGACTCAGGAAGGACAAGATGGCCATCCTGTTTCTCCATGAGTCCATGTTTAGTTAACATTAGACTTATATCCTCTTGGATACCAGTTGTTTATCCAAATTAGGCACATAACACTGGCAAGAAAATTTCATTATTTTTGTGGTTTACAATAACTTAACATAATAACCATAATTATAATTGATAGCATATACTTAGACATTAGAATTTTAGAAATCCCATACAATTTAGGAATATATATTAGTATTATTCACAAAAATATAACCTAAAGAAGATTGAACATCATTTTGGCCCATGTACCTAAACACATCAAATAATCCTGTTTACCTCTTTTCAAGATGTTTTCAGGGGCCCTCTGATTCATCTAGAAAGCCAGGAATTAGGAAAGACAATTTTGAAACTGAAGTTTGATTTTGGAATTCCAGATTACCATAAATTATTTATTTTGCCAAAATGATGACTCAGAAATCTTAAAGATGTAAAAACCTTTTATAGCCTCTTACAAGGAAAAAAAAACACATTCTACTTACATATCTTGCATGTAAAACTGTTTCTAGTGGTCTTAATTTCATGTTGTAATGAAGAATTTTAAGGTAAAACCTGGTAAATTACATTCTGATAAGTTTTGACTATTTGCAGCATAGCTAGGGTGTGGCCAATTCCACATGTTCCCAGACCTTACCTAGCTGGAAAGCAGGTAAGTTAAACAATTTTCAAAAGCCAAAGAAACAGTTTATGACCTTACAGCATTTAGCAAACCTAATATTTGAACATAATTTAGACTACATGTTTACATTTTGAAGACATTTGTATTTTACCCATAATCTTTTTCTTTTTTTCTTTCTTTCTTTTTTTTTTTTTTTTGAGATGGAGTCTTGCTCTGTTGCCAGGCTGGAGTGCAGTAGTGCAATCTTGGCTCACTGCAACCTCCACCTCCCAGGTTCAAGCGATTCTCCTGCCTCAGCCTCCCGAGTAGCTGGGACTACAGGCATGCGCCACCATGCCTAGCTAATTTTTGTATTTTTAGTAGAGATGGGGTTTCAGCATGTTGGCAAGGATGGTCTCGATCTCTTGACCTCGTGATCTGCCCACCTCAGCCTCCCAAAGTGCTGGCATTACAGGCGTGACCCACCACTCCCAGCCACCCATAATCTTGAAAAACATCTTTATTTCTCAAAGATTGCTAAAGTCACATGAACTAAAAGGCATTACACCTTCTACTTTTCTGACAAAATATTTAATTTAAGGTTTTATTATTATTAAACCAACTAATTTAAAACTTCACAGAGGAGATTAACCAGTTTGCACAGAGAGAAAGAGGCCAGAGACTGCCTGGTAAGAAATTCTTACCCTTTGGCTGGCATGCCAGGTTTCTGGGTTCTCTCTCCCTGAGCGGCCCTGGCAGCCCTGCTTGACTGTATGCAAACAAACACATTGCCATGAATTAAAAATATTCATAGACAGTTTACAAATTTTGGAGAAACTAGGCAGAGAGAGAAATATGACTTAAATTCTATTTGTAAGTGTATACTCAACACACTTAAAGTATCAGGAAGCCTAAAATCCAAAAAGTTAGTTTAAGGATGAAAAGCTGGTGTGCTCCAGTAATTCCTGCACCCCAAAAAAGGTTGCTTAGGAATTCCAGATAAATGGAATGAATGATGCCTTGCTAGAAATGCATAGGAAACAAAATAACTATTGACAGAACCAAATAAAAGCCTTCCACTGGAAACTAAAAAGCCTCACGGTTTTATATACATGCAGACACAAGCAAAACCAGAGAAGAATAAAAAGCAAATGAATGAAAATAGAAGCCAAAACAAATAAACAGGAAACCAACCCTAAATTTTCCTACTTAATTTACTCTAGAGGCTACAGTGTTACCTAGGGCCCCCAAAAAACCAACATAATGAATACTTTCTTTCTTTCTTCTTCTTTTTTTTTTTTTTTTTTTTGAGACAGGGTCTTACACCGTCACGCAGGCTGGAGTGCAATGGCACAATCTCGGCTCACTGCAACCTCCACCTCCACCTCCCAGGTTCAAGTGATTCTCCTGCCTCAGCCTCCCCCGTAGCTGGGATTACAGGTGCCCACCACCACACCTGGCTAATTTTTTGTATTGTTAGTAGAGACAGGGTTTCACTATGTTGACCAGCCTGATCCTTGAACTCCTGACCTCGTGATCCACCCACCTCGGCCTCCTAAAGTGCTGGGATTACAGGTGTGAGCCACCATGCCCAGCCTTGAATATTTTATTTCTGATATACAATTCAATATCTTAAGTTCACCAATATTATCATACATTCTGAGCAATCAAGAAATCCACTTTTAGCACATGGCCAATAAGTACTCCAACACTATCCATGCAAAACAGTAGACATAGTGTGAAGCAATGCAAGCATGTATGTGAAATTTGGCTCCACACTAAGTCCAGCTTCATGTTTAACTATATCAAAAAGAGAATTGCCAAACTGCTGATGCATTTTTGCAATACTTTTTATTTAACTTTAATTAAGACTAAGAGCTTTACTTATGAAAATGTTAATTAGCAAAATGTCTCCAATTCCCTATCAGGATTTGGAGAATGTTTTATTATTTAAACTTTTTTCACATCTTTCTCCTCTACTTAATGATTTCTCACTACATTGTTTCATAAATAACCTTTTCAGTCTGTAATTTGAACTAACTTTTAGATAATTTCTGAATTGCACAAAATTACTCTTTTTTCCACTAATAACATAACCCTTTCTGGGCACATTTTGTATACACAATTACATGTTAACTAAAATGTTTATCCTTAGTAACCTAAAACTTTAGTGAAACCCTAAAAAGCAAGAAATCCTGAACTATCAGATATGGACATTTATAGATAAGAATAATTCCACAACTTTAGAAACATATTTTCCCTATCACAACGCTTTCCTAATTGGAAAGACCCAGATATTAAATGAGCATCAAAAATAACTTTAAGATTTTAATTTACACAAAAAGTTTACCTAAAAAATTTATCCCAATCATTGTACTTAAATTTTACTTTTAACAAGAGAGACAGGAGATATCAATCAACATAGGTAAAATACATTGGTTTGGTCCAGAAAGGCAGGACAACTTGAGGCAGAGAAGGGGATTGGGGCCTTTCAGATCACAGGTGTGAGACAAATGGTTGCATTCTTTTGAGTTTCTGATCAGACTTTCCAAAGGAAGCAATCAGATATGCATTTATCTCAGTGAGACTTTGAATAGAATAGGAGGCAGGCTCTCCCCAAGCAGCTCCTAGCTTGAATTAACATTGACATTTTAAAATATCTAGCCAAGACAAACATAAAATTTAGACAGAATGTATGCTGACAACCCTGAAGGCATTTCTATTTTTATTCCACCAATAATTTTAAAGCTAGCTTGTTTAGTAAAGTCATACTTAGGTCATGTGAGCTTGAAAATTACTTAGACTTATTTACTTAATTTATGATGCCCTTATAAGCCAATTGGTAGACACAACATGTAACAATAAGTGTACATACAAATAAACACATCTGGACATGTATACACACACATAAATGAAGATTCAGTAGCTTGGAACCTTAGCCATGAGATAGCAATACAAGCTTGCCTGTTTTACTTTGCCCCAATAGATAATCCAAGGAAGGCTGTGAACCAAAATTTCAGGTAATGCAGTCTCCATGGCAGTTTGATTTTTAAAGGCTAAATGTCCCAAGACTCCAAGAAGCACTGGGGCCAGACAGTACTGCTGGAAGTAAATGTTCAGTGTCACAAAGTGAAACTAGTACTCAGGAAAAAGTTTTTTCAGCAAGGCAATTTACTTCTGTAGAAGGGTGCTGTCTGTGTCAATTACAATCCCAAGAGCCCACTGAACAAAGGAGGGAAGAGGCTTTTATTTTTAACATGTGGTCCCTACCTCTGTGTCACTCTCCCATGGGCTAGGGTCCAACCATACAATTTAAGCTGACCTGATTGGCTACTTGTGAATATTTTTCTCAAATAAGGAAGGGGGAAGGGGAAGGTGAGTTAAAGTGGTGGGATGTGTGGTTTTGGCAGGAGGAATGGGTGTAGAGTGAGTAACCAAGGAAACAGATGTGATGTATTGGTTAGCACTGATGGGAAGGTTGTTTACAGTAACTAGGGGCAAGGAGGCATGGAGAACGAGAAAGTTAGGTTCGAGAATAAAGAACAAGGAAGTCAACAGGCTGAAACTTTGAGGAGGAATTTTATTGTATCTTACAATTCCCCCCTTTTAATTTTTTACAGTCCTTCCTCTTTAAACCGTTTTAGCACATCTTGGCTTTGTTGTTTAACTTGATGTTTTAAAAGGAAAAGCTTATCTGAATAAGGTGGAGGAGAACTAAGGGAGGTTTTAGTAAGTGTTATTTTTATAAGTCTTTGTACTAGTTCACAGATGTATGGTATGACACAACACCCAACAAGAATGAGTACACTTATTACGACTGTAAAGAGAAGTGAGAATTGAGGCCATGATTCCTTTTTATTTACCAAACCATCTTTCTAGTCATTCTTGTTAGAAATCAGTTTTCAGTGTCACAAAGGAAATAGCACTTGAATATGAATTTTCCCAGCAAGGCAATTTTAATTTCTGCAGAAAGGGTGCTTCTTGGAAGCCTGATTGTCATGAGAGCACCCTGAACAAAGAAAAGCAGAGGTTTTTATCCCTGACACATTGGTTCCTTACTGCTGTGTCCTATCTCCATTGGCTGGAGCTGGACTGCACAATGTAGACTGATTCTGATTGGCTAAAAACTTACAACTTTCCTAAATAGGTAAATGTGAGATGGAGAACAAAGAAAGGAAGGAGGTTGTTTATGGGAAACTAGGAGAATAATAACATTTCCAAATAAGGAAGGGATGTAGGCTGTAAGCCAGGAAATGCCTGAGCATGTTGGGACATGTCTAAGCAGGATACATGCCAGAAAAAATAACTTAGTTAAAGTACAAGGACATAAAGTGTACTTATTCCCTTACTATATTTAACAGCTACATAGGGCTTAACAAAGAGTTATTAGCAAAAAGCAAGGAAGCTTGAAGAAAGTTAGCTTTTAAAAGAAACTGTTATTTCTAACACTTATTATTTACTATTAACAAAAAGGGAAACTTTGAAGAGGAACTTTTTACTTTTCACATTCTGAGAAAGGGTTACTGACTCTAGAATTTTTAGCTAGTTTATTGGATAAAGCGGTAAGTCCTTGTAAGGCCTTTGTTATGTTTTCACCAGGGCCAGTATTGTTTGGGATGAAGATATAACATTGAGTTTTAATCATAACACAAACTCCACCTTTTTCAGCTAACATCATGTCTAGGGCCATTTTGTTTTCTCAAGTCATTTTGCTAGTAGGCCCTAATCGTTTGGCTATTTTTTTTGACAGTATCTCTAATGTAATTAATAAATTGCTGTTGGTTATAATAGATGTAACTTATCTAATCTACATTTTTATTAATAGTTACCTGTGGTAATAATGATTTAAATCCTGTAGTTATTTGGTCTCGGGATTTGAATTTATCAGGTACTCCCTGTGGGACTCCAGTTGCATCTAAATAAACTTCAGAGTCAAAAGATCCATAAGATGCTTCTCTTATTTTATGGCGTTGTGATTTTTCTTTCTCTGGCTGATGAAATGTTAGGGTGAAAAAGGGATAGCCAATTGGACAAGAGCGCAAGAGTCGCTCTAGTTACCTGGCAGAGTGTCTAGTAAGGGTCCGTCAGAATACCACCATACATCCACTCGAGGATGGCTGAGGGCAGACTGATGGGGAAGCTCCTGGAAGGGCTTAAGCTCACTGTGTCCCATTAAGCTTTTAAGGAACGCCAAGTTTTCCCTTTGTCATGAGAGACACGAGGTGAAATTGACATTGGGAGATGGAAGTTGGATGGCCCTTGAGGGCTGACCCACAGGGTGTTGGACTTTGGGATATCGCAGAGAGCTTGGCATGATTTATTGTCTCAAGTCATAGAATTCTAGAAGAGACCTACCATGTAACCCATGTCTGGTTGACTGGGAGACCATCCGAGTGGAAAGGGGACAATCTGGGCCTCTGGCCGGCCGTGTGCACAAGCATAACAATTGTTTTTGTTTAACGTGTGGACAGAATATTTGATCCATTTCAACCAGGCATTTATAGCTTGATATTCTATTTTAATTGTTAAAGTTCATCTTAGATCATTTACTTTTACAATATTTTATATTGTAATATAATATAATATATAATACTTTAGTATTATCATTGTTTATTATTATATATTATTTATAATTGTTTATTATTATATATTACATATATAGTAATATAATGTATAATACTTTAGTATTATTGGGTATAGAAGAGATGGCAGTCTGATTAGAAGAAGCCTTAGAAGGAGAAGAGAGGCAATGGGGTGAAGAGGATGAGGGATTAATAAAATGCATTTTCAAAGACCCTATGAAGTCTGTGCCAGCTAAGTTGGCTTTTATGTCATAGAAGTGACTCAAAGTAGATCTAGGGTTGGTAGAGGTGATGTCAATGAGACCTATTCTTGATATTTGGTTGTCCACAGGACATCATTTCAGCTATGGCAGATCTGTTTTTCTATATTTGTTAAGGGGCAAGAGTCTTGGTAGGGGGATCCTCTTATTTTAAAGGGGCAGAGATACTTTTCTGAGGCTGAGAGTTGTCTTTGACTTTGGAGATCTCTACAGGGTATGACTAAACAAGTATCAAAAGTAATAACTTGGGGTGAATTTGATTTAGTTACATTGGTAATAAGGTGGTCAGTAACAGAATGGGAAAAGAAGAAAGATTAATAGAATAAATGGAAGAGAGTTAAACTTTTCTTTGCTTTAGTTTGAGGGAGTTTTCTCCTGGGATAATGGCCCATGACTCTGGAGGTGGTGGTGTTTTCTTGACTTGGGTGAGATGGGTCTATCTTTTTTCTGTTGTCAGGACTGTGGTTTCAGTGATTAGAAGCACCAGGTAAGGTCCTTCCCAGGCCAGCTGAAGTTTTTCTTTTCTTAAGTTTCTGATGAGGACGTGATCCCCAACCTGATGTTGATGTACTGGGAACTCCAGGGGTGGCGTCTGTGTTAGGAGACTTTTGGTTTTAAGAAAAGAGAAAGTTGAGAAGAGACCAAGTATATAATTCTTGAAGAATTGGTCTTTTGTTTTAAATGTAGGAATGTCAGTAGTGCAGTTTAAATAAGGCAATCCGTAAAGCATTTCGTAAGGATGAAAGCCTATATCTTTTCGAGGAGCAGTTCAGATTTTTAAACAAGGCAATAGGAAGATATTTTGTCCATGGCCACTGAGTCTCTAGAACCAATTTGGTTAAGTGGTTTTTTAAGGTCTGATTTATCCTTTTTACTCTCTCTGATGAAGGTGGGCGTCAAGGAGTATGATATTTTCATTTAATGTCTAGGGCTTGGGATAGCTTTTTAATGATATGTGCTGTGAAATCGGTTTTATTGTCTGTCAATGTTTTTTATTAGTCTGAACCTGGGCACTATATTTTTAAATAATGTTTTAACTACATTATTGGCCATTGCATTTGAAAAGGAAATAGCTTTGACCCAGTGAATGAGATGATCTACTATTACTAATAAGTACTTTAGGCGACCAACTGGGGGCATTCCAGTGTAGTCAATTTCAACACCTTGGAATGGTCTTAGTCCTGGATCTCTCCCCACCAGGGGTGATTTTTTTTTTTTATAACTTGTTTGTTGAGGTTTTTTTACATATTGAGCAACTGTCCACAACCTGTTTGGCTAGGGTATAAATTCTTATACACTTATAAAACCTGAGAACTGTATTACACATCGCTTGGGGTCTCCAACGAGTCTCTTGTTGTAGATGAGACAAGATATTTTTCATGAGGGGTTTGGATAGTATTTCTCTTTGATGTTGTAACACCCATTTTCTTTTTGAATTTTCTTTGGCTCCTATTTTTATTAATTTTTTCTCTCCTGCAGCAGAGAAGATAGGGGTTGTAACAGGTGGAGAAAGACAAGGAGTTAAGTGAAAGACAGGTGTTTTAGGTGAAACAGCAGTCTGTTTGGCTACTTTATCTGTAAGGTTATTTTCCTGACTTGTAAAGGAAAAGTCTTTCTGGTGTCCAGGGACATGTACAATGACTATTTCTTTTGGCAACTGGAGATTGTTTAAAACATGGACGATTAGCACTTTGTGGGCAAGATTTTGGCCTTTACTATTAATAGGAACTTGCTCAGCTCAAATTTTTGTAAATGTATGTGCTACTCCAGGTGTACTTAGAATCAGTATAAATAGTCCCTTCCTTGTTTCATAAGCATTTTAAAGTCTGGCTGAGTGTAAATAATTCACAAGCTTGAGTAGACCAACTGTTGGGCAACTTCTCTGACTCTAGTTCTTCAAGAGATTTTCCATCAATTACTGAATATCTATTATGTCTTTCTCCTATAATTACTTGGGAGGAACCATTTAAAAATAAGTGTTGTCCTGTTGTGAAAGGAGTTTTTTCTAGATCTGGCCTGACCTTTGTTTGGTAGTCAATTAAATCTAGACATAAGTGATCTCTTTTTAGATTTGGGTATTTTGTCAAGAAACCTGCCGGATTGAGTGACTTATCAGTAGTCAAGGTTAAATCATCTTTTTTTAGTAAAATGGCCTCATATTTTAAGATTCTGGAGTCAGCGAGTCACCTTCCTGCTTTTTGATTTAAAATTGTTTTAACTTGGTGGGGTGTGTTTACAGTCAATTTTTTTCTAAAAGTTAATTTTCTACTTTCTTTAACTAATATTGTTGTAGTTGTAACAGATTGAATGTATTGAGGCCATCTACAGGTAACTGGGTCTAAAACTTTTGATAGGAAGGCTACAGGCTGCTGGCAGCCACTGTGTTTTTAGGTAAGCACTCCCAAAGTTACTTCATTATTTACATTAACAAAAAGATGGAATGGTTTTTCTAGGGAAGGTAAGGCTAGAGCAGGGGCGGTTATGAGCCTTTCTTTTAGCTCTTTAACCTGATCGACTTTCTCAGACGTCCACAGGAGATGATCAGGTTTTTTTCTGGACAATTTTTTGTTATAGAAGTTTACTGTTTAGTGAGTCAATCCATAGGCCGCAATATCCAACTAACCCTAAAAAATTGCTGAGTTCCTGTTTAGTTTGAGGTGAGGATAAGGACATGATGCCTTTAACTCGTTCAGGCCCTATCCGTTGTTTACCTGTACTTATTAAGTGGCCTAAATATTTAACTTTGGCCTCTACATACTGAAGCTTTCCCTTTGAAACCCATAACCCCTTGAACTCCAGATGGTCAAGAATATGTGTAAAGAAGCCAGAGATTTTCTCTATATTCTCACCAGATATGAAGAATATTATCCACATACTGGAGTAGGCATATTTGCTTTGGGACAACCACTTTTTTCAACACTTGTTCTAAAATTTGACCGAAAATGTTTGGGGAATCTGTAAACCCTTGAGACAAAACTGCCCACTGATACTGTTGTTTTTGTTCTGAATGGGGATCCTCTCACTCGAAAGTAAATATGTCTCGACTGTCTTCAGCCAAGGGGCATGTCCAGAAGGCATCTTTTAAATCTATTATTGTAAACCACTGATGACTATATGGAATTTTGTTGAGAATGGTGTATGGGTTGGGGACAACAGGATGGGTAGTCTGGAATATTTGATTGATGGCCCTAAGATCTTGTACCAGTCGGTATGACCCGTCTGATTTCTTGGCAATATTGGAGTGTTATAAGGGGACATACAGGGTTCAAGAAGCCCAACCTTGATAAGACTTTCAATTATGGGCTTTAACCCTATTCTATCCTCTAGGGTAATGGGGTATTTTTTTTTTACTACTTTCCTGGGGGTCTTTAGTTTGATGTGGATTGGAGGGATTTTGAGTTTCTCTCAGTTTTCTTTCCTTGACCAGACATAGGGGTTAATATATTTTTCATCTGCAGTGGTGAGTAGGTTTAATGAAGTAAGGACTCTTTTAAGGCTAACTTGTAGACCTATACCTAATTTTAGCATTAAGTCTCTTTTTAGTAGATTAGTTTTTGTTTCAGGGATTAAAAAATATTGGATGTTAGTCAATGAATCTTGGTATTTAACTTTTGTACTTTCTAAGATTTTTGTTTTAAATCCTTTTCTTTTTACCCCAGAGACTAAAAGTTCTTCCGAAGAGCAGGCAATGTTGGATGGAGGGAAACAAACAGAGGAGCGAGTCGTCCCTGAATTGACTGAAAAGGTGATAAGCTCATGTTTGGGTCTCACCTCTAAATTTATCAAGGGCTCTTGGTGGGACTTGAGGTAAAAGAAACAGAGTCCCTGACCCCCCTTATTCTTCCTCAAAAGTCATGAGTGGAAGGGTTTTTTCCTCTTTTTTTAGTTTGGGACATTCTCTCTTGAAGTGGCCTGTCCTTTCACGTTTGTAGCACCTATCCTGTCTTTTTTTTCTCTCAGTTTTGGGATTTTGTCACTTTGTCCCCCCATATTTTTTGAGGTTCTGGTAGAAGAGGGCCTGAGTCCTCTAGGTGGAGGCTTGTGTCCTTTAATTGGGGATCTGAACCTTTTATAGTTTTTGGCCCCGTGGAAGCTTTCTTTAGAAGTATGTGGGTTTGGAGCCACCTGTTGGAAAGTGGATGCCATACGTTTTGTCTTTTGTTTTTATTTTTCTTTGTCTCTTCTCACATACACTTTTTGAGCTTTTCTGAGAAGTTCATTTAGAGGTCGGTTCTCCCAATTTTCTAATTTTTGTAACTTTCTGAAATATCTGGGCAACTTTTAGTGACAAAGTGGAGTTTTAACATTCCCTGTCCGAGGGGATCTTTTAAATTTAGGCCTGTATATTGTCTCATTTGATCCTTTAGTCTGTCTAGAAATTTCATAGGCCCTTCATCTTTTTCTTGTTGTATATCAAGTGTTTTAGAGAGGTTTTGGGTTTGGGGTACTGATTCTCTAATTTTCTTTACTATCATTTTTCTTAGGTCTTGTATATTTTCCCTGTGAGCTGTGCTATTATTGTCTTACCGGGCTGAAGGGGGCCAACCCCTCCACACCTGTGGGTATTTCTCGTAGGTGGGATGAGAGACTGAGAAAAGAAATAAGACACGGAGACAAAGTATAGAGAAAGAACAGTGGGCCCAGGGGACCGGCACTCAGCATACGGAGGACCTGCACCAGCACCGTTCTCTGAGTTCCCTCATTATTTATTGATTACCATTTTCACTATCTCAGCAAGAGGAATGTGGTAGGAGAGCAGGGTGATAGTGGGGAGAAGGTCAGCAAGAAAACATATGAGCAAGGAATCTGTGTTACAAGTAAGTTCAAGGGAAGGTACTATGCCTGGATGTGCACGTAGGCCAGATTTATGTTTCTCTCCACCCGAACATCTCAGTGGAGTAAAGAATAATAAAGCAGCATTGCTGCCAACATGTCTCACCTCCCGCCACAGGGCAGTTTTTCCCTTTTTCTCCTATCTCAGAATTGAACAAATGTACAATCGGGTTTTATACTGAGACATTCAGTTCCAGGGGCAGGAGACAGTGGCCTTTCTCTATCTCAACTGCAAAGGCTTTCCTCTTTTACTAATCCTCCTCAGAACAGACCCTTCCCGGGTGTCGGGCTGGGGGACAGTCAGGTCTTTGCCATCCCACGAGGCCATATTTCAGACTATCACATGGGGAGAAACCTTGGATATACCTGGCTTTCCAGGACAGAGGTCCCTGTGGCTTTCCACAGTGCATTGTGCCCCTGGTTTATCAAGACTGGAGAATGGTGATGACTTCTACCAACCATACTGCCTGTAAACATTTTGTTAACAAGGCACATCCTGCACAGCCCTAGATCCCTTAAACCTTGATTCCATACAACACATGTTTTTGTGAGCTCAAGGTTGGGGAAAATTACAGATTAACAGCATCTCAGGGCAAAGCAATTGTTCAGGGTACAGGTCAAAATGGAGTTTCTTATGTCTTCCCTTTCTGCATAGACACAGTAACAGTCTGATCTCTTTCTTTTCCCTACCCCGGGGGTCTTGGGTGGAAAACTTTCGATCTGCATTAGGAATGTTTGACCGGGAGGATATTTACATTTTTAAATTGCCATAGCAGCCCTAGGGATCATGTTTTTTTCCTTCCCTGAAAAGAGGATGTCTAGGATGGACATTAACTCGACCCAAGTGTGTAACCGAGGTCTCAAAAACTGATCAACCTGATCTGTCACTCTGTAAGTGTCATATAACAATGGCTTAAGTTTCTTCTTCAAACTTTAGACCTCCAAACTGGTTAAGGGAGTATTTACAAAGTCAGTAGTTCCATCTCCTTGTGGCACCTCTTTTAAGGGGAAGAGAGTTGGGGCTGACTCCTTAGGTGTGGAGGGAAATGGGAAATTTTGAATATCCTTTTTATATTGTTTTTTCTAATGCTGGAGTCTTTTTAGGGAAGGATACATGGGCTGAGAAGAAATAGGCTACATGGGCTGAGAAGAAATAGGCTCATGGGATGATGATTCCCAGGAATCTGGATTGTAAGGAGGAGGAATAATGTGAGCAAGGGAGGGATCTGGGGCAGGATCTGGGACAGAAGGGCTGTCTGAGGGGAAGGGTTAAGAGCATTCAGCAGGGGAAGATGGTCTAGGGGATCCCATGTGCTGGAGTCTTTAGGCATGAGAACTGGCTTTTCTGACTCTTTATTTTGGGGTTTTTGATTGAGTTTTTTCCTAATTGTCTTTCAGGGAAAAAGGAGAATAGGTCTCTGTCTCTAAAAAAGAATATAGTCCAGCTCTTCTTGAGAAACTAGATTTTTGTCATTTACATATTGAATTACAAGTTGACACATCACATCCTTATTTGACCTAAACTTTGGCCAGAAGATTGAGGGTTTGAGGATAGGTCTCTGAGTCCAAATAAAACAGCAATATTTTATCATCTGTTGCATGGCTTTTGTAGGTCACAGGTATTACATTGCCTTCATAGGCCACTTCTTCATAAGAACATTTTAAACATACTTTACAACTGTATTGGTAAGACGAAGTATAGAATTCAGGCTAGATTCATTGGTATATGTTCATTAATATTACAATCACTTCAGGAAATTATTCTTTAAATTATAACATTTTCATACACCCCTATGTATATTGTGGGCCTGGATCCCTGCCCTTGCCTTGCCTGATGGAAGAGTCGGCCCTGGTGAAGCTGAGTTGTCCAGACACATAGACAGGGTCTTCCTGGGTGAGGGGATAGCCCCAGAAGGAAAAGGGACAGGCAATAACCTAACCCTGGTGACAGGAGTGCTGGGGACAGGACACGATGGAGACCCCGGTTCCATTTAAACATCCCCTTCTGTGCTGGGTCCCTGCATAGCACACTCACTCCCCTCAACCCTCATTGCCTTTGCAGCTCACTGTGGGGCAGGGGAGGATGGACCCACTGGCAGAGACTGGACTGAGAAAAGTTGCACAATTTAAGGTGTCGCTATGCTAGCAAACTCAGTCATCAGGGTAAGTAATATTTTCATGCAATATTTTAAAAGTTCAAAATTAATGCCAACATCCATGAACGACAAATAAAACTCAAAATTTAAAATCCAGACAGGATCCACCTTGCTTTGCAGGCCTCCCCTCCCTGGCTGGCTCTGGTCTGGGCCCTGCACACGTTGGGGAGGCCCAAAGACAACCCAGAGGAGCCTGGCATAACCAGCAGGGCTCAGCATGGATGGGACTGGGGTAAAATCAGGGCTTCTGAGCATGACTCCAAGAGTGTGAGGTCCCCAGAGAAAGTGGCTTAGGGAGGTAGTGGGATGTGGAGAGTGAAACACTCTTCAGAGAAAAATTAGCTAAGCAACAAGAGCTAATACTTTGTTCTGCAGAGAGAGAGAAGTCCAACTCTTGGGCTCGAGATGATGAGAAATAAAGTATTTCCCAGAAACCTCGGACCCTCACTCAACTCCTTCGAGGCTTGTCTCTGTCTGCAACCTACAGCCTGACTGTGCAGCCTGGAAAGCTTCTTTTTTTATAGAAGAACAAGAAAGAATTTTAGTGATTTGCAGTTAGTTTATTGAAATGGAAATGAATTTGAGGTTTCAACAGTTGTCTAGCAGTTTCCACATAAAAAGACAACACAAGAAAGAAAAGTGGTTTCTAGCAATCAACAGATGAGTTCTGGCCATAGTCTGTAGCCCTCTGAGCCAAACGCCTTGGGTAAAGTTAATTACTCTTCATATTACACCAAATGCTGTCGTACACTGTATGCTGGAAAACAAAAGCAGGTCACTTAGGTTTGCAAATTTCACTTATTAAATCAAATATTAAAACTTGTCTTCTTGTTTTCTTGCATTTGTCCACAAACAGCTAACTCTCAGGAGGATTTGCAGTGGAAGCAAAGCCAGCATCCCCTCTCCATTTATTCTGTTATCTAGGAGACACTTCATAATGCCAAACAGGGGCCAGGGTTGTAGGATCTCTTCCCTACCAGTGATCCATGTAATACTTTTTTTCTCCAAAAATTCTATCCTTTGAAATAACTTATCCAATAAATATGCTGCATATACTATTTGTTGAAGACCTGATCATTTGGACTGTTTCTGATACCACTTTTACAACACAGAATTATTAAAAAATCTCAGCTCAGATACAAGAATGTGATGGTTTTGAGTTGCTGCACAGGCATAAAAGGTAGAAATGTTGTAACAGTCTGAGACTCTTCACCATTACCTTTGAGGCCTATGAAATATTGGAGCTGGGCTGGGTGGGATGGCTCATGCCTGTAATCCCAGCACTTTGGGAAGCCAAGGAGGGCAGATTGCTTGACCCCAGGAGTTTAAACCAGCCTGGACAATATGACAAAATGCCATCTCTACAAAAAAAAAAATATATATATATATATGTGTATATATGTGTATATATGTATATATGTGTATATATGTGTATATATGTATATATGTGTGTATATATGTATATATGTGCATATATGTGTACATATATGCATGTATATGTGCACATATATGTGTACATATGTGTACATATGTGTGTACATATGTGTGTATATATGTGTGTGTGTATATATATGTATATATATGCCAGGTGTGTTAGTGTGCACCTGTAGTCGCAGCTACTCAGGAGGCTGAAGCGGGAGGATCACTTGAGCCCAGGAGATGGAGGCTGCAGTGAGCTGTGATTGTACCACTGCATTCCAGCCTGGGCAAAAGAGCAAGACTCTGTCTCAAAAACAAAAACAAAGACAAAAAAACGGAAACAAGAAACACTGGAGTTTTACAATATGAATGATTAATCTGAGGGGTTTTTTTGGTTTGTTTAGGATTTTTGTTTGTTTGTTTGTTTTTGAGATGGAGTCTTACTCTGTTGCCCAGGCTGGAGTGCGGTGGCACTATCTTGGCTCACTGCAATCTCTGCCTCCTGGCTTCAAGTAATTCTTCTGCCTCAGCCACCCAAGCAGCTGGAATTACAGGTGTGCGCCACCACGCCTAGCTAATTTTTGTATTTTTAGTAGAGACAGGGTTTCAGCATGTTGGCCAGGCTGGTCTTGAACTCCTGACCTCAAGTGATCTGCCCGCCTTGGCCTCCTAAAGTGCTGGGATTACAGGTATGAGGGATGCACCTGGCTAATCTGAGTTTTTAAAGAAAAAAATGATTCAACCATCCCAAATTGCAGTTAATATTTATTTTTATCCTTGAGCATTTGATATATCTTTACATTTTTTATTATGGAATGTTTTAAATAAAATTTTAGGGTATTAAATAAATTCTTAAAAAAAAAATGTAATCCCAGCACTTTGGGAGGCTGAAGCGGGCAGATCACCTGAGGTCAGGAGTTTGAGACCAGCCTGGCCAACATGGTGAAACCCCATCTCTACTTAAAATACAAAAATTAGCAGGCTGTGGTGTTGTGTGCCAGTAATTCCAGCTACTCCGAAGACTGAGGCAGGAGAATCACTTGAACTCAGGAGCCGGAGATTGTAGTGAGCCGAGATCGTGCCATTGCACTCCAGCCTGAGCAACAAGAGCTAAACTCCATCTCGAAAAAAACGAAAAACAAAAAACAAAACTCGTAACCAACACATCTTTATAAACAGACAGAAATACTCCTTGTTATAACCACTGACTTTTGTTTTAAACAATTCTAGCACTCGTGCTGTTTCATACCCATAATCTGCACTTCCCACTTCATGAGGCACTTAATTAAGTGGTGCATGACTTCCAGTCATGTATGCTAACAAATCTTGGTTGCTTGGACTTGCATTTTAAATTCTTTATTTTAGGCCGGGAGCAGTGGCTCACACCTGTAATCCCAGCACTTTGGGAGGCCGAGGCGGGCAGATCACCTGAGGTCAGGAGTTCAAGACCAGCCTGGCCAACATGGTAAAATCTCATCTCTACTAAAAATACAAAAATTAGCTGGGCATGGTGGTACATGCCTGTAGTCCCAGCTACCTGAGAGTCTGAGGCACAAGAATTGCTTGATCCCAGGAGGCAGAGGTTGCAGTGAACGAAGATCATGCCACTGCACTCCAGCCTGGGCAACAGAGTGAAACTCCATCTCAAAAAAATTTTTTTCTTTATTTTAGAAAATGCAGAATTTGCACAAATTGTATTTTCTGAGCTAGATAAAAAAAAATAAGAATGTTTTGAATATTTGTTTTTGTGAAAGTAGGAAATTTCTTAGTAGATTGCTCCTACAAGTGTGTGATCTCTTGAGAACCAGATATTTTCTCTTGATAAAAATGTGCATGTTCTGGCTGGGTGCGGGGGCTCAGACCTGTAATCTCAGAACTCTGGGAGGCCAAGGGAGGCAGATCACTTGAGGTTAGGAGTTTGAGACCAGCCTGGCCAACATGGTGAAACTCCTTCTCTAGTTAAAATACAAAAATTAGCCCGGCGTGGTGGCGCACACCTGTAATCCCAACTACTCGGGAGGTGGAGGCAGGCAAATCTCTTGAACCCGGGAGGTGGAGGTTGCAGTGAGCCGAGATTCACGCCACTACACTCCAGCCTGAGTGACAGAGCGAAACTCCGTCTCAAAAAAAAAAAAAAAAATGCCGATGCCTGTCCCCGTGTGTCTGTGTGTGTCTATACTTGTGTGCTTATGTGTGTCTGTGTCTGTGTGAGAAGGGACTGGTGAGGTCAGAGGTAGACGGGTGATCTCTAAGGCTTTCTTTTCTCCTTTTTGCCTTTTCCATTTATCACTCCCTAAAGATTCTCAATGTGAAGTGGCAAAGCAGCCTGGAGACAAAGTTTAATGAATTGATATATAAAGAAAGTTTGTTCACCAGTTGCTTGGCATTCTTGGTGCCAAATTTAGAGCCCGCTGGTTCTGATCAGTGATTTTCAAAGGGTACATAAGAAGAAACCCAAATTACCATCATCAGTCCAAAGTTTTTCAGAGTTCTATGTGACTGGTTGAGGAAACACTGCTTGAATTTCCCCATAGCCTCTGCAGCGGCATCACTGTCTATGAACTCTTGAAGAAGCTCTTTGTATTCAGGTATAGATATGTCGGAATTGATGGTCTTTTCAACCATGTCCTCCAGGAGTTTGCAGCCAGAATCTGGAAAAAAAAAAAAAAAAAAAAAAGACACAAGAACATGGGCCATTACTAGAGGTGTGATTCATTCTACAGATGAATTGGGAAGCTGGCTATCTTCGTACCTCCAGGGACAGACCGAGGTTCAGAAAGATTTTGGTGCAGTATGCAGAGTTCTCAATTCTGGGAGTGTAAACTCAGGCTCTGCAAATTCTCTCTGACCTTCCAAACCCAGAGAAGCCCAACCCTGTGTATTCTTGGTGAAGAGGACCCTCGAGAAATGAGGTGTTCTGACTGGGGGGACATAGCAAACACTACTTGGACTTTCTTGGTTCAAAGTCATGCAATGCTTCCCTGTTATCATGCCCAGCATCAGGTAGGGTTTCCAAGGATTTCAGATGAATGGGTCTAGGACATTGTCCATTAGTTCTGTTGACTCTACTGCAATAAAAGGGAATGTGTGGCCAGGTATGGTGGCTCACGCCTGTAATCCCAGCACTTAGGGAGGCCAAGGCAGGCGAATTGCTTGAGCTCAGGAGTTTAAGACCAGCCTGGACAACACAGGGAGACCTCATCTCTACAAAAAATTTAAAAATTAGCCAGGCATAGTGGTGTCCACCTGTAGTCCCAGCTACTCGGGAGGCTGAGGCAGGAGCATTACTTGAGCCTTCGAGGAAGAGGTTGCAGTGAGCTGAGACTGTGCCATTGCACACCAGTCCCAGTCCCAGCCTGGGTGACAGAGCAAGACCCTGTCTCAAACACACACACACACACACACACACACACACACACACACACACATGAATGTGAAATAGAGCTTGTTCATGAGGGGATCTGAGGTCACCTCCCACTGTAAGGGAGAGGAACGAGCTCAGGACGTGGCTTCATGTGAGCTGGTTGTGCTCTGGACTTTGTGATTTTCCAGTTAGTTGACTGTGAGCTTGTCACCCTTCTACACATCTGCACCTACCTTGGATGCCAATACGGTAGGGTTTGGAATCCACCTTTGTGAACTGCACAAGGCAGGCTACCTATGGAAATATTAGCGCTGATTCCAGCAGCCGGGGCTTTTTCCTCCCACTGAATCTTTAGTGCTGGAAGGAGACTCCAGGGGTTGTGAGTTCTCACCTGTCTGCCTTGAGCCTGAAGCAACTGGGAGGGTAAGGGCATCCCAGAAGGACCCAGATCAACTCTGAGAACACAGAGTGAGCCACACAGGGTGAGAGACACTGGGTCACACTCTGCAGCCTGGGCCTTCTGTCCTGGGAGGTTTCCTATTTCGTTCCATATTCAAGGAGACCCATGATTATTTCCTGATTTCTAGGTGTAGATGCCATCTCTCCCTTGCCCCACTGAAATAGTTCATTTCAATATTTAATCCTGAGACTCATCCTGGTTTCTATGGTCACCGTGACCATGGTGAGACGCTGAGTGCCATGATACACTGTGTGCAGCTCCAATGCAGGGGACAGCCCATGAGGACACTGCATGCTTGATTGTCAGGAACTCATGGGGATCCTAAGGCCTATCGCACCCAGGCCCTTCACACTGGGGCTCGTCTGTGCTGGGGATTAGAGGTTGGGAGTTCTTCTACAGGGGCCCAGGTGACAATTCCTAGCCCAGAAGCAGCCCTCTCTGCCCAGAACTCACCTGCATAGCAGTGCAGGAGGAGGGCCGCCAGCATGAGGACCATCAGCAGCTTCATGGCGAGGCGGCTGCTGTCTGTGTTCAGTCGTGCGTGGCAGGGATCAAGGAAGTTGCTGTGGAGGTGAGTACCCAGCCCTGCTCTATTTATTCCCCAGGGAGGCACCTTAGTCCCTCCCAGGAATGAGGCAATGTGTCAACCTGGCATGGGACCAGGACACAATAGTGTACACCAATGGGAACACAGCCAGCCTGTGCTCTGTTTGTAGAAACCAAGAAGGCAGTAATATTTGGATCCCTGACAATCTGGGGACTACAATAATGATACATGGCTTTTAGTAAAATGGATGTGACAGTGTTTTCCAAAATATAAAGCAAAACCCAGTGGCGTGATCTTGTGGTCTCAACAATGTTGTTATTATTGTAGTTTTCTTCTAGTCCTCCTTCCCTTCTTCCTCCTCCTCCTTCTATTCTTTTTCTTCTATTCCTCTTGGTCTCCTCCTCTTCTCGTTATTCTTCAAGGTACAAACAGTTTCATAACTTGTGTATCTGCCGGTCCTGGAATCATCAAATATTTGGGCTATGTGCAATACCTGCATCTTCCTATGGGAGGCAGACCTTCCTAATCCATAGACATTTCTTTTTCAGAAAAGCGGGTTTTTTTGTTTTTGTTTTTTGGGGTTTTGTTGCTGTTGTTGTTGTTGTTTTGAGACAGAGTCTCACTCTATTGCCCAGGCTGGAGTGCAGTGGTGCGATCTTGGCTCACTGCAGCCTCCGCCTCCCGGGTTCCAGAAATTCTCCTGCCTCAGCCTCCTGGGTAGCTGGGATTACAGGCATGCGCCAGGACACCTGGCTAATTTTTGTATTTTTAGTAGAGACAGGGTTTCACCATTTTGGCCAGGCTGGTCTCGAACTTCTGACCTCAGGAGATCCACCTCACTCAGCCTCCCAAAGTGCTGGGATTACAGGCGTGAGCCACCATGCCCAGCCCCGAAAAGTGCTTTAAGTTTTGGGGAAAACATTAATATCTAACCTCTACTGAAAGCTTCTTGTTATTCTTGTTAAGAATTACAACACTAAGTTAATTCAACTTTACAAATTTATTTTACAATATATTTATAATTTAATTTGTGCTTAGTTCTTTGTTAGCCTTTTACGGTTTTCTATCCACTGACTGAGAGGATGCTGTGAGTGAGTGGAGTAACTGACTGCTTGGGCAGGCAGTGCTAGGCAGTGGGTGGCAATGGGGTTGGGTGATGATGAGATTTAGGTGATAAGATTTGGGCAGGTGTGGGTGTGGATCCTGGAGGCCACACGTACTCATGCTGTGTCTTTGGGCAAATTACAATGCTGGTCCCTCTGGGCTTCCTTTCTGTCTTTGTGAAACGGGTATAAGTGATGCTGAATTTTTTTTTTTTTCGAGACAGAGTCTTGCCCTGTTGCCCAGGCTGGAGTTCAGTGGCACGATCTTGGCTCACTGCAACCTCCGCCTCCCGAGTTCAAGCGATTCTCCTGCCTCAACCTTCTGAGTAGCTGGGATTACAGGCATGTGGCACGAGGCCCGGCTAATTTTCGTATTTTTAGTAGAGACGGAGTTTCTCCATGTTGGCCAGGCTGGTCTCGAACTCCTGACCTCAGGTGATCCACCCACCTCGGCCTCCCAAAGTGCTGAGATTACAGGTGTGAGCCACCGTGCCCGCCTGGCCGTGAATTTTTGTAAAGATGAGAGATACTCTGTAAATTTTTTTTTTTGAGATGGAGTCTCACTCTTATTGCCCAGGCTGGAGTGCAGTGGCGTGATCTCAACTCACTGCAACCTCAGCCTTCCCGGGTTCAAGCGATTATCCTGCCTCAGTCTCCTGAGTAGCTGGGATTACAGGTGTGCACCACCACGCCCAGCTAATTTTTATTTATTTATTTATTTATTTATTTATTTATTTATTTATTTATTTTGTATTTTTAGTAGAGATGGGGGTTTCACCATGTTGGCCAGGCTGGTCTCAAACTCCTGACCTCGTGATCCACCCACCTTGGCCTCCCAAAGTGCTGGGATTATAGGTTTGAGCCACCGCTCCCGGCCGACGCTCTGTAAATTTTTAATCACGCAGCCAAGCATGAGATAATTCTGAATAAATGGCAGTTGCATTCATGCGTGGATCCCTTGTTGTACGCATCACTGTTTTGCTTCTCCTGTGAGCTGGGCCTTGCACTAGATTCAGTTATAGAAACAGGTTAGACCAGGTGCTTGCTCCTGTGGACCTTATTTTCTAATGAAGGACACAAAGAACAAGACTAAAGATATATCAGAGGTATGAGAAAGTGGTCATTGCTGCAAAGAACAACAAAATATTCACAACAGCTGAATGCTGTCATAGATGGCCTGCCCAGGGGCAGTGGCCTGTAAGCCCCCCAAGGCAGCCTGTAGGAGCAGGTGCTGTTTCAGCTGAGACTTGGATGAGTGGATGGTGATGTCCAAGGACACATCTGGGGAAGAGAATTCCAGGGAGAGGGAACTGCAAGTACAGAAGCTTGAGGACAGATGGCACTGGCAAGGTAAGGAAGGGAAGGAACGTGGCCACATAGAATCAGGAAAAGGACGGGACAGCCTCACATGATAGAAAGCCCATCCCTGTTTAATTAGGGGCACAGTGAAGGTCATAGGAACAAGAAAAACAAAGTTGGCTCAGGTAAAAAAAGAAAAAAGAAAAAAAAAGAAGTCGATGAAACAGCCAGAGGAATGAATCCATTGTTAATTCCCTGTGAATGCATTGTTTTCTCTCTGGATTACTTGCGACATGTTTCTTTCCACCATTCAGGTGGAGCCTCAGTGGCCAAGAACAAACCTAATTTTGGGGAGGACAGAAAGGAGAAGTGTTGTTTACTTACCACTGTACACAGCTGACCCTGGCTGGTGGCCTTGTTTCCCAAGGGTAGTGAAGGACCTTGATTATGAAATGTGAGAGTGTCTCCTTGGCCAGTACTTATTGGGGCTCTGCCTGGTGCCCCAGTCCTTGTGGCCCTGCCTTGTCAGTCACCTTCTTACACAGAACAGAACTTCAGGAAAGGCCTCTGGTCTTGGAGCCATCTTTGTTGGCAGCAATATGCCTGTTGTTCAAGTCACCAAGGCCTCGTCTAGACCCAGCGCCTCCCTCGCGCCCGAGCCTCATGCTGGGATTCCAAGTCTGAGTTGCTCAGTGTTCAATCCACCCCAGCACCCCCATATTCCAGCTCAGTGTCCCAAAATGTGTCAGAAGCTTGCAAAGACTGACCTCCCCCTGCGTAGGGGTGAATACATCTGGTGACACGGGGTTGGGATTGAGTGAAGGGAACAGGGTGAATCCTCTAAAGAGACCACAAGCATCAGAAACGCTTTCTGGCCTCTCCTTTCTGAAATGGGGCTGAGGAAAGGAGAGGCTGTAGCTTCCATGGGGAGTCTACAGCAACCAAGGAAGAACCCCCTTCCCCTTACACACACACCCAAGATGCACGTGACGGTGGTGCGTTTTTCATACTCACTCAATTGTCAGAAGAGACCTGTGACCCTCTGTACCTCTGAGAGGCCTGGGGAGACACACACAGGAGACTATAAGCCCGGACGGGAAAGGAGAGGTGCAGAGAGAGATGGATGAAGGGCTCTGGAAGGCCAAAGGAGGGAAAGGGTGCTTTCCCTTAAGTGGGAGAAACGTCCTCTGGCTCAGAGGTTGAGGGGAGGCTGTGGGTAGGGAGAGGTAGGTTAAAGATGGATAAATTCAGAAGATGCCGGAGGTGACTCCCAGAGGAGTCAGATGATTGAAAAGTAAGGAAAGGATAAAATCCCTTATTCCATGGGGCAGTCCCATCCCAGCTGGACATTCCCAAGACTCCCAGGAAGGATCTGGGAAGGGAGGGCCTGAGAAGCTGCAGCTCTGCTGAGCGCCGCTGTGTTGCACTGCTGGGTCCCATCTCTGCAGGTTCTGCAGCCCTTTCTCGTAAGGGTTGGATGGCAGGTGGGTGGTGAGTGAGGACTCGGAGCCTGACCACCACTTGTGTTCACATCACAGCTCCTCCGTTTGCTGACTGCCACATTGGACAGGAGACTTAATGCTGTGTGTTCCCTTTAAAATGGGAACAGTCATAGAATTGCTGTGATTCACAAGTAAAAAGTGGAAAGTCCTGAGAACAGTGCTTGGCACAAAGCAGGTGCTATCCAGATGTCAGCTGGTAGCCATTATTTTTGAATAATAAAAAAATGTATTTATGGTAAACTCCAAGGACCACTAGGACTGTTCGACACTACTGAAACTCGGCTTCCACATAATATTCTCTAAAATATTTGAGTAACTATTCAGATATAAGCTAAAACTTTTAAGTTTGAAAACAAAGTTCTGTGTTTTGATCCATGTGTATTTGATTTTTTTTCAGCGTTCCCCTTTCCTCAGAGGTTTTTTGGTTTTATGATTTTTTTTTTTTTTTGGAACAGGGTCTTGCTCTGTCGCCCCAGCTGGAGTGCAGTGGTGCCATCTTGGCTCACTGCACCCTCTGCCTCCTGAGTTCAAGCGATCCTCCTGCCTCAGCCTTTCCAGTAGCCGAGATTACAGGCGCACACCACCACGCCCAGCTATATTTTTGTATTTTTGGTAGAGACAGAGTTTCGCCATGTTGCTCAGGCTGGTCTCGAACTCCTGGGGTCAAGTGATCCGCCCACCTTGGCCTCCCAAAGTGCTGGGATTATAGGCATGAACTACCACGACTAGCCTCAGAGTTTTATTGAAATAATTTACAAATAACTTATCACCCAAGCATCTTCTACTTAGTATTACCATATTAATCTTCCCAGAAACCAGTTCCAATTTATTGAACATGTTTACATACATTTTTTAATTTTTTACCCAGCTTTACTAAGGTAAATTGACAAATAAAAATTATATTTATTTATGGTTTATATGTTTTGATGTATATATGCATTCTGAAATGATTAATTCAAGCTAATTAACACACCATCATCTCACACACTTGTTTTTTTTGTGATAAGAACATTTAAGATCTCATTGTTTAGCAACTTTCAGGAAATGTTCAATAAAATATGAATGAAAAACAATTCTACACCAGTTCCTAAATGACGGGCACTGTTGTAAGCCCCTTTGAATCTCACAGCCATCATCCTATGAGCAGGGTGACCATGCTATTGATTGTAAATGAGGGGCACTTTGGAGAATAAAAGGGAACCCTAAATGGGTGGGATGCCAGGATAACAATGTAAACCAGGCCTGTCCTGAGCAAACTGGATGTGTGATCACCACCCTGTGAAGTGGGCAGATCATTTCACCCCAGCTACAGGAGAAAGGACACAGAGATTCCATAGAACTTTTTGGGACACAGCTGGGAAGTGGCAGAAACAGGATATGAAGCCAGGTGTTCTGCCTCCACAAGCTGCTGTCAACACTATTTCCCTCCTTGGCTGGACACTGAGAAGCCTGCACACCATGGTTCAGGTGGATCCTGGTGACCTTGACACCCACTGCTGCCCTGTGGGAACTCCGTGTGGATTTCTGCACAAGACCCGCAGTTTTCTGCTTGAGAAATTATTGAAATAATTTACGTTTACTTTGCAATTTTACCTTACAGTAATTGAACAATTTTACTCTGCTCCCTGTGGTCTCCACTGCCTTGCCTTAGTCACTCTGGGTTGAAACGCTTCATTCATTCTGGAAGCCACATCAAAGCAGCTCACACCTTGTGTTCTTTGCTGGCCCCTCCAACTCCCTGGATCTCCCCTTTCCCAGGGACCTGTGGCTCTCCGTGGGCAGCTCCGACCTGACATCCCCTGGAGCTGACCTGTCCTCTCTGTTCATGCTCCTGGAGAACATGGCCTCTCTGCATGTCCTGCTTCTGTATGACAACATCATACAATAAGTGCTTAATCAATAATTTTGTAATTTATTTTCTGGGCCAAAATTTGGTGCTTTACAAGAGTTCACTGATGATATCTCTCATGTTTTAGTACAAGGTCTATCTAAAAAGAGGCACTCATTGACATTTGAATCTTTAGTAAAGGCAGGGATTACACACAACACTAACCACACATCTGGGTGACATCCTGGGCACTAACACTAATGTTGTACTTTCTTGGATGAGGGCTTTGGGGTCAGGGTGGGAGGAGACAGGCAAGGGAAGGAGGTAGTTGGAGGCTGTGCCAGCTTGGGGTGGGGCCACCTCAGTGTTCCTTTTTTTTTGAGACAGAGTCTCACTCTGTCACCCAGGCTGGAGTTCAGTGGCTCAATCTCCATCTCAGCTCACTGCAACCTCCGCCTCCTGGATTCAAGCGATTCTCATGCCTCAGCCAAGTAGCTGGGAATACAGGTGTGCACCACCACGGCCAGCTAATTTTTGTATTCTTAGTAGAGATGGGGTTTTGCCATGTTGGTCAGTCTGGTCTTGAACTCCTGACCTCAAGTGATCCACCCACCTCGGCCTCCCAAACTGCTGGGATTACAGGCATGAGCCACCACGCCAGCCCAGTGATCTGTTTCTCAAAAAATGACGATTACCACGATATGATCTGACCTGGATTCATCTAATGAGTTGGGAGATGGAGCTGGATTAGGAAGCAGAGCCGAGGTCAGGTGTCAGCCCCTGGCTAATTCTCCTTGGCTCCTTAACCAAAACTATGAACTTTACTTAACTTGACATTTCCCTATAATGTGTGGTGAAAAGCTTAATCCTGTACCCATGTAACAACTGATTTGGTTCATTAGATATTTACACTAACATCTTCTCCATTAAGTTCATGACTTTTTTTTCTTTTCAATGCCCCATTCGTTTTTCTGGTAACTGTGGTGATCCCAAAGTTGTGAATGCCTGCCTTAGGGCCATTGCAAGAGTCACATAGGAGAACCGACATAAAGTTTTCCACTGTAGAGCAGCGATTGTCAACTAGGGCACACCTACTCCCATCTCCTCCCTATTCCCAAAGACATCAGTCTGGACAGTTTTGGGTGTCACAGCTGGATGGTGGTAGGGTACTATCAGCACCCAGGGGACAGAGGCCAGGGGTACTGCTGAACCTCCTACAATGCAAAGGACAGATCCCACAGAAAAAGGATTACTTACCTTTGATGTCAGTACTGCCAAGTGCTAGAGAAATACCTGCACACATTTGCTCTTGTGATGAATGACCAGTAGCATTCGTGAGCCTCATACTCAGCAAACAGGGAGTGTAGCCCCAGCCTGGCAAGGTGCCAGCAGGAATGTGGGCATCTTTGTCCTCCAGGTGGCTGAGTCAGCCTCATGTCCATGCCTTTGCCCAGGCTGCTCCATGCACCTGGAGGCCCTGCTTCCCCTGCCTGTCATCCTCGTCTTCTAGGTGCTTCATGGTCCAACTCAGCCATCACCTCTTCCACAAGCTTTCCTTTCTATATCCTTGGATTTCTATAGGTTTTTAATTTGCATAATAAGATCTCATCTCAGTGATATACATTGTAACTTTCTTCAGTTCTATATCGTGTCTTCCCATTCAACTTGCTGATTAATTCCTTAAGGAAATTTATGAATCCTTTCAACAAAATGTATCACCCTCCCCCATTTGGTGTGGTGTCGATTCTGCATTGACCTGAGACCTTCTTTCTCTACAGAAGGATTTCCATGTTCCAAATAATCTTTTATTACTGTTCTCTTGATTTATCCACTAACTCCTATTTTCATCACTGTTTACCGAGTCCCATGTCTTTCTCTTTCTTGTTGTACTTGTTTTTGCTGGGGTCTGTCCTCCAGTACCTTTTGGAGAAGAAGTTTATTGGGCATAAAATGTTTGAGGATCTTTATTTTATCTTTGTGTTTGAATGAGTAGGCTGATTACAGATTCATATTTGTATAGAATTAGAGGTTGACAATCCTCTGATTTTTTAGTATTTATCCTCCATCCACCAGTTCTTGTGTTGGTTCCATTATTATTCCCCATCACTGTATGTGCCTCACTGTTTCTTTCTGGGAAAGAAAGACCTTTTCTTAAAGACAATGTTCCAGAATGTTAGCAAAATATTTTTTGGTATGGAAAACAGATGGATGTCTATGGATTTTTCAATACTGTATTTTTTTCTGGGAAATTTTTTGGTATTATTTCCTTGGTGACTTTTTTTTTCTGAGACAGAGTCTTGCTCTGTCATCCCGACTAGAGTGCAGTGGCATGATCTCGGTCCACTGCAACTTCTGCCCCCTGGGCTCAAGTGATCCTCCCACTTCAGCCTCCCCAGTAGCTGGGACTACAGACACGTGCCATCATACCCAGCTAATTTTTGTAGAGATGGGCTTTCACTATGTTGCCCAGGCTGGTCTCAAACTCCTGGGCTCAAGTGGTCTGCCTGCCTTGGCCTCCCAAAGTGCTGGGATTACAAGCATGAGCCACCACAACTGGCCTCTTCGGTGACTTTCTTTCCACCATGATCTCTGTCATTCTGGAATTCTTTCAGTTGGACATAATGGATTCATCCTCCAACCTTCTTTTCTTTTCTCTCATATTTTTTATTGCTTTATCTTTTCCACCACATACATACTGCTTTTCATGACACTATTTTAATTTTTTCTTTCAATTCTATTAATTATTCCAGCTATCATGTTTTAATTTCTCTAAAGTTCTTTGTTGTTGTCTGAATACTTGTTAAACCATAAAACGAAGGAGAGATCTTACTAATCTGGACTTTATAAAGCACTCATGAAACTTACCCATGACATAAAACATCTGTCAGACCCAGAGAAACTGAATGAATTACAAAATAGTGTGTAAATTAAGAACTTTATTTCCTTTTCTCTTCTCTTTTTCTAGCCCCTAAGCTGTTAGAAAACAGCTGAGAGAAAAAAAGTGAAAGAATAAGGATAGAAAGGAAAACACATATTTTTTAACAATGTGAAGCTTAGATTATTATACAGACTTGAATATTCCGATTTCTGAATTGAAATGTTGAGCTTTATTTCATAAAAAAATGGAGATTCATTGAAGGTTCACTTTAATGAAGCTTATGACAAAATGAGAGCTTTGTGTTCAGAATATTGAGCTTGTCATAAAGTGTCAGATGGATCACAGGAAGAAGACATTTGAGGAAAAGAGCCTAGGCAGAGATTGATAATATTTGTGCAGGAGGCAAATTATGAGACTTTACTTAGCTTGGAGGTTATGGGAGAGGCTTTAAGGGATAAAGTCAACAGACCCTGCATGAGTGAATTCTATGTCCCTGGCAAACCTCAATCTCAGCTTTTTGAATGAGAGTTTCTTAAAAATTAGCAATATCTTCAACAAAGAAGACATCCAGCAGGTGAATCAATGAGAGCATGGACACCTAGAGAAGTGCTGACTTTGGAATGCTGACAGGTCCAGGGGGTAAAACACAGGCCTAGCTCCCTTTTGCAGGTATCTTCCTGCTGCCCCTCAGGCAATGGCAGCCCTTGCAGTATTTTTTTGTATTGTGGTAAAATAAGCAAAAAATGTTCATTTCAGCTATTTTTAAGTGTACAGTTCAGCAGCCTTAGGAGCATTTATGATGCCTTTGAAATATTCATTTTCATTGTCGTTATCCCAAACAGAAACTCTGTACCCCTTAAACAATGACTCTCGATACCCTCCCTCCCTGCCCCAGCCTGAGCAGTCTTGCTGGATCTCACTTCACACTCTTTTGTTTTTTGTGATTGTTATTGTTGTTGTTGAGACGGAGTCTCGCTCTGTCGCCAGGCTGGAGTGCGTGGTGATCTCGGCTTACTGCAACCTCTGCCTCCCAGGTTCAAGCAATTCTCCTGCCTCAGCCTCCTGAGTAGCTGGGACTACAGGCGTGCGCCACCATGCCCAGCTAATTTTTGTAATTTTGGTAGAGACAGGGTTTCACCATGTTGGCCAGGATGGTCTCTTGACCTCGTGATCTGCCTGCCTCAGCCTCCCAAAGTGCTGGGATTACAAGCGTGAGCCACCGTGCCCGGCCTTCACACTCTTTTAACAGCAGCTCAGGAAGGAAACTTAACCTTATGTGACCCCCATGTGATTAGAGTGAGCACCTTGAAATCCCCAGGCTTTAAAGACTATGGAAGTAGCTAAGGGAAAGGCCTCAAGGTAACAGCCGGGTGATGTCCGGAGTCCTGTGAGTATCATGGGGGACTCCTGTCCCAGCTACTCCCTCCCCAGTTCACTGGATGCCTGCACCTATAAGAGCGGGAGGTCCAAGACCAGGGACTGCATGGACTCTATTTGCACACAAATACACACGTGCACCCCGGATGGAGCCTGGACACTGATTGCTTTTGACAGCTTCCCAGTGAATTCTAAAACAGAGCCAGTGTTGAGGGGCACTGGGTAGAGCATTTGTCATTCTCAGGTTCATTAGTGGGAACAATCTCAGACCTTCTTGGGAACTAGTGAGGACTAAGTCATACAGAACTTGGAAGGCTTCTGGCAAAACGCATATTAGGGTGCTCAATAAACAGAAAGGTATTAATTGTAAGCATTATAGTAAAGATTGCTAAGATTTGTTGAATGCTTTCTAGTATTCATGTAATATGTTCTTATCACAATGCTATGATATGTGTCCTGTATCACAGGAAGAAAAAGTGATGATAAAACAGGGATATCCATCAGAGTGAACTGGCAAATTTTTGCAATCTAGCCATCTGACGAAGGGCTAATATCCAGAATCTACAAAGAACTTAAACAAATTTACAAGAAAAAAAATCAAAAAGTGGGCAAAGGATATGAACAGACACTTCGCAAAAGAAGACATTTATGCAGCCAACAAACATACGAAAAAAGGCTCATCATCACTGGTTATTAGAGAAATGCAAATCAAAACCACAGTGAGATACCATCTCACGCCAGTTAGAATGGCAATCATTAAAAAGTCAGGAAACAACAGATACTGGAGAGGATACGGAGAAAGAGGAATGCTTTTACACTGTTGGTAGGAGTGTAAATTAGTTCAACTATTGTGGAAGACAGTGTGGTGATTCCTCAAGGATCTAGAACCAGAAATACCATTTGACCCAGCAATTGCATTACTGGGTATATACCCAAAGGATTATAAATCATTCTACTATAAAAACACATGCACATGTATGTTTACTATGGCACTGTTCACAATAGCAAAGATTTGGAACCAACCCAAATGTCCATCAATAATAGACTGGATAAAGAAAATGTGGCACACATGCACCATGGAATACTATGCAGCCATAAAAAGGATGAGTTCATGACCTTTGCAGGGACATGGATGAAGCTGGAAACCATCTTTCTCAGCAAACCAACACAAGAACAGAAAGCCGAACACCGCATGTTCTCACTCATAATTGGGAGTTGAACAATGAGAACACATGGCCACAGAGAGGGGAACATCACACACCAGGGCCTGTCAGGAGTTGGGGGGCTACTGCAGGGATAACATTAGGAGAAATACCTAATGTAGATGACGGGTTGATGGGTGCAACAAACCACCATGGCACATGTATACCTATGTAACAAACCTGCACGTTATGCCATGTATCCCAGAACTTAATGTATAATTTAAAAAAAACAGATATCTATGCATGTGAATGCACGTGTGTGTAAAGATTTGATGTAATATGTGAGTATCCAAGAAAGCTTTACAGAGGAGAAGTGGATTCTAAAGATGGGGTTGTCAGATGTCATAGGAACAAAAAGCTATAGAGGGAAAGGGAAACCCATATACCCTGGTGCAAGGGTGTGACTCATGTGAGGCCTAAGAAATGAAATATAAACAGCAATGGCTGAGCATGGAGCACCTGGGAGAAAGGAGAGGAAGGGACAGGGGCTGGCAGGAAAAGGGCCTTGGAAGTCCTTGTGTGCAACATAAGGGTGTGGACTTGCTCCCCCGGCAGTGGTTCCTTCTAGGTGTCTCTGAGTGCTGGAAGAACTCCATGAATCCTTGTTTCCAGCACACATAGTGTGTAGTAGGCTGAACTGGTCATGAGTTTCACACATTAGGTTCTACTTCTAAGTGTACATATTTCCTGATGTGATTAAAAATACAAATTTCCCTTAAGATCAATGCTTACCTAATAATAACTGTTATCGACCAGGCACAGTGGCTCATGCCTGTAATCCCAGCACTTTGGGAGGCCGAGATGGGCGGATCACCTAAGGTCGGGAGTTTGAGACCAGCCTGACCAACATGGAGAAACCCCGTCTCTACTAAAAAAACCCAAAAAATTAGCTGGGCGTGGTGGTGCATGGCTGTAATCCCAACTACTTGGGAGGCTGAAGCAGGAGAATTGCTTGAACCTGGGAACCAGAGGTTACAGTGAGCTGAGATCGTGCCATTGCACTCCAGCCTGGGCGACAAGAGCGAAACTCTGTCTCAAATAATAATAATAATAATAATAATAATTGTCATCTACTATTTTCTCCACTGTATAAAAATAACCACTATTTATGAAAGTGTGTTTTCAGTATTGTGTTCCCTTACTTGAAACCCTTGAGAACAAGTGCCTTCTGGTCATGCAGGGTTGTTGAACAGATGATAGTGTCACATTTCAGTTTTAGGGGGCTCACTTTGGCGTGAATGAGGAGGATGTATTACAGGAAGCGTTCTCGGAGGCTGCAAGACAATTTAGGGACTTAGTCTGAGCTGGGAAGGATGTGGACTGGGCTGTGATGTGACGTCTGATGGGAATGGAGCGACTCTTAGAGGTGATGCTGTGGCCATGGAGGGAATAGAATGTAGAGCACTGTTAGGGCGCAGGAGGGAGGGGAGCTGTGGTTGGCTGATTCTTGCCCCCATTCCCCCAAAGATATCTACTTCCTAATCCCTGGAATCTGTGAATGTTCCGTTACATGATCCAAAAACAGCACTTTGCAGATGTGATGAAGGTAAGGGTCATAAGATGGGAAGATTGTTTTGAATATTCTGGTGGTGCCTAAACTCAAACCCTATATTTTGTAATTATAAGTCGCAGCGGGGAGCGTTAACCTGGAAGAAAAAGGAGATGAGAATGTATCATGGAGGCAGAGGTTGGAGTAATGTGGCCACAGGACCAGGACGGTCAGCAGCCCAGAAGCCAGAAGCAGCCCTTAGTGAACTCTCCCTGAGAGCCCCCAGCGCAAGTGGAGCCCTCCTGCCTCCAACCTCCTGAGCGTGATACTAATGTTGGGCTTCTGACCCCCAGACATGCAAGAGAATCAGTTGGTGTTTTGTTTTTTGAAGGGGTGGGTTGCCCCTCCACACCTGTGGGTGTTTCTCGTAAGGTGGAACGAGACACTTAGGAAAGAAAAAGACAAAGAGACAAAGTATAGAGAAAGAAATAAGGGGACCCGGGGAACCAGCGTTCAGCATATGGAGGATCCCGCCAGCCTCTGAGTTCCCTTAGTATTTATTGATCATTCGTGGGTGTTTCTCTGAGAGGGGGATGTGTCAGGGTCACAAGACAATAGTGGGGAGAGGTTCAGCAGACAAACACGTGAACAAAGGTCTTTGCATCATAGACAAGGTAAAGGATTAAGTGCTGTGCTTTTAGATATGCATACACATAAACATCTCAATGCTTTACAAAGCAGTATTGCTGCCCGCATGTCCCACCTCCAGCCCTAAGGCAGTTTTGCCCTATCTCAGTAGATAGAACGTACAATCAGGTTTTATACCGAGACATTCCATTGCCCAGGGACGGGCAGGAAACAGATGCCTTCCTCTTGTCTCAACTGTAAGAGGCATGCCTTCCTCTTATACTAATCCTCCTCAGCACAGACCCTTTACGGGTGTCGGGCTGGGGGATGGTCAGGTCTTTCCCTTCCCACGAGGCCGTATTTCAGACTATCACATGGGGAGAAACCTTGGACAATACCTGGCTTTCCTAGGCAGAGGTCCCTGCGGCCTTCCGCAGTTTTTGTGTCCCTGGGTACTTGAGATTAGGGAGTGGTGATGACTCTTAAGGAGCATGCTGCCTTCAAGCATCTGTTTAACAAAGCACATCTTGCACTGCCCTTAATCCATTTAACTCTTGAGTTGACACAGCACATGTTTCAGAGAGCACGGGGTTGGGGGTAAGGTTATAGATTAACAGAATCTCAAGGCAGAAGAATTTTTCTTAGTACAGAACAAAATGGAGTCTCCTATGTCTACTTCTTTCTACACAGACACAGTAACAATCTGATCTCTCTTGCTTTTCCCCACAGTTTTTGTTTTGTTTTGTTTTCTTGAGACGGAGTCTCACTCTGTCGCCAGGCTGGAGTGCCGTGGCACGATCTCGGCTCACTGCAACCTCCGCCTCCCAGGTGCAAGTAATTCTCCTGCCTCAGCCTCCTGAGTAGCTGGGACCACAGTTTTGCGCCTCTATGCCCAGCTAATTTTTGTATTTTTAGTAGAGACGGGGTTTCACCATGTTGGCCAGGATGGCCTCGATCTCTTGACCTTGTGATCTGCCTGCCTTGCACTCCCAAAGTGCTGGGATTACAGGTGTGAGCCACCCCACCCAGCCGAATCAGTTGTTTTAAGTCACCAAGCTTGTGGAGGTTTTTTGCAGCAGACACAGAACACCAAGCCAGGAACCTGTGGCGTCTCCCTGTGTCCTGGTCAGGGGACTTGCTGGGTGGGTGCCTTAGCCTGGATGGGCTCATGGAAGGGAGAGCAGGTTGAGGGCGGACCCTGTGTTCAGTTTTACATCCTGCTCCTGAAATGAGTGTGGAATGTGCGCTTGGAGCTGTCCAATTGGCAGGGGGTGCTGGTCTCTGGAGCTCTTGGGGTGGCTTGAGGGAGGGAAGGAAGCATTCACCTCAGGTGCTGGTGAGTGATGCAGACGCTGAGGAGTCCTCTGAGTGTGGGGAGTGAACAAATGTGAAATCCAGGTTGAAACCTGGAGATGTCCTCAAATTATGGTAAATGGAAAAGAAAGTATACTGGACATGAGAGGGGAGATAAACCACAGTGCAGAGGTGGCACCAAGCAGGCTGACTGTGGGTCTGAGGGGACATCCACTAGGGTCCCTGCTAGGTGGGAACCCTGGGCCTGGACAATCAGGCAGGCTTGGGGTTCCCTCAGTACAAGACCAGCAGGAACATTGTAATTCCTGTGTCCTCATTACCATGGTTTTCATTTACGGCTGCAGGATGGAAAATCTGTAAGGAATGCAGGATGATTCCTACCAAATATTTCCTTCTGGGATGCCTGGACTCAGGCCCCATTGATAACGGGATGCTGGTTCTCTGGAGTTGATTGTCAGCCAAAGGCCACTCCCCTATGGAAACCACTCTCAACTCAAGGCCCAAGACTGCAGGATAACACGACCAGTGGAGAAGTTCAGGGCAAGTGATTTATTAGAGCAAGACGTTGAAACCTTTACATTCTGCAGTGAAGATCAGGGTATCATTGAAAGATGGTGGAAACTAGCATTAAAAACTTTTTACATCTCAGCGATCACATTTCTCTGCTATTTTTCCCTGAAATAGAAAAGGAAAGAAAGGAAGGTGAGGTCGGTCATGCAGCTCCTGGAGACAACAGGTTAACATCCAAGTGGCCGATGGAATTCTGCTCCCAAAGACAATTGAAGGGTAGAGGCAGGAACCCAGTGTGTGTGGGAAACCAGGGCCTAGACCTAGACCAGCCTTTCCTTGCCAGGCCAATAGCCCTGGGGGGACACAAGCATAAGGCCCAGGGTCCTCATAGAGGGGGGACAGAGCAGAGCAGCAAGAGGTTATTGTCTGGGCTGTCCCAGGACTTGGAGTCTCCTGTTCCCCGCAATGAAAGACCCAGTGCTGAGAGGTTGGTCAGGGCTGGGAGGGCCTCTGGGAAGCTTGGCTTCCAGGAGACTCCAGCCTCCCCATGTGGGAATTCTGCCTCAGGGCCTGAGCACCTCAATCCTGAGCCTGCAGCTTCCATGAGCATTTGCAGCTAAACCTCAGGACAGCAACCCAGAGGCAGCCAGGCTGAGAGGCCCCTGGAAAACCTCTGATTTCTTGAGAAAGACAGAGTGAGAACATCCCGCTTCCATGGCACTGCAGGAGGTAGAGTAGCGAGGGTCTTGGCCCACTGGCCGTGGTCAGGAGAGCATCGTGGGTGAGGAGGGGAGCGTGGAGTCTGAGGAGCTGGGAGGGGCTCCTTCCTGGTTCTGCAGAAGCTGCAGAGAAGTCCAGCCCTCCAGCGCAGCATCTGCAGGAGCCCCTGCTCTAGGTCCCTCCCTGCCTTCTTCTCCCTGTTCAAGGCTCCCACACTCCCCAGTACATTCCACAGTGACTGTGTGAGGTCCACTTGGCCTCAGGAAAGTCCCCAGGTGGAGAGACAGTTGTGCTTGGCCCTTCACCACCCCTGCCTGGACCCAGGCTCACTCCCCATGTCCTCAGCACACTCTGGGGACACGGCATCCAGGTAGGTGACCTGAGAAGGAGGAACATGCAGGAGGCTGTGTGCAGCTGAGTTGAATTCTGCAGGTGAAATGGTAGCACCCACCCTGTGGTCCCAGGTGACCTTCTCAAGCGGTGACCAGTAAGGCAGGTGCCCCACCACCTGTGTCCCTCACAGAGCAGCAAGCAAGCTGACCTCACTTCACACTGTGCCGCTGACCAGAAGCCTGGACACATGAAAGAGACAGAAATTACCAATGTTTTTGTAATTAGCACTCTTTTCTCATAGGCCATCGTATCCACGCATTTCTTCACTTCCATCTTGGCTGCAACAGCTTCCAGAGGTGCCTTAAATTTGGCAAGTTGGAACTTGAACACAGGTTTTCCAGCTAATAAGAAGCCTGTGATTTCAGAACCAAGAGCTTGGCAGACCACTGCATTTGCTGGAGCAAAAGAATAAAAATATAATTTGTGTAAGGAAATCAGTGTTTCTCCCATGCCTCCCTGATGTCAGACCAGACAGGAACCCCAGGGTTTTAGGCTTCTATTCAATAACTATGCCAATGACAATGTCAGACCCAGGAGGTTGTGACTTCCTTGAGGTCACACAGCAAAGGGTAGAGCTAGAACTGGAGAACCAACTTCCTGATCACTCATTCAGTCTTTGTTTTTTTTTTAAAGCACACTCATTACTTTCCAAAGCTTCTCTGGATGGATGGCCAACGTTCTCTTTTCTAGATTTGAAAATAATCACTTTTCTATGCCAGTTAAGTGACACTTTATTAGTCTTGGACATTGGTGAAGAGGAGGCTTTGAGTAATCAAATTTTGAAGTGGAATGGTAGAGTCAGAATCCTATCAGAAATTAGAGAAATGAGTAAATCTGGAACAGAAGAAGTTAAAATTATTGAAATGTTGAAGGTGATGTTTTGAGAACAAGTTGTAGAATTTAGGCTTATGTGATTCAATACAGACAGAGCTAAAAGGTAAACAAATTAAAACAAAATAAAATAATGTGAATCAGTTTTAACACACATTAGAAGCTTATACAGGAAATTGTACTTGGCCCATATTCTGCAGCAGCATCTAGAATATTTGGAGAGGATGAGAGGAGGGAACTGAGGCTCATTCCTGCTCCCACTGGGAATTTTGGAAAGACCTGGAGTAATCATTTTGCTTGGTCTGGAATCTCCATTCACCTAAGTCTTTTGCAAACACCATGCATCCAGAAAGCGCCCCACCATGCTCAACATGACCCCTGACTACCCGACTTCAAACTGTGGGGAGAATTTGGAGAGGGTAGGATCGGGGTGTCACAGGGAAACAGGGAGAGGTTCAGAAAAGAAGAGGAAAGAGAAAAATCAGAGTCTGGATCGGTCCTGACAGGGGAAAGGAAAGTACCCAAATGAACTGGGGAAAAATCAGCCAGAATTAATTTTAGAAAAATAGAAGTTCTGAGGCTAACCATTGTAGTATTTCTACCACCATTACGGTAGGACCCCTAGAAGATATATTGAGTGCTGCTTATTCTAAGAATTCATTTGCAGGCTTCTTATTGAGAGAATCAGAAAGCACCATCTCTTCTTGGACTGAGAGTTCTCCAAGGATCCTTCGAGATGTAACATTTTATGAGTCTGAATTTACAATGTAAGAAGCTGTGAGCTCAATTGGCACCTAAAGGTCTGGGGACGAGAATGTCTGACAGTACAGTGATTGGCTTCACATCCACAGCTAGACCCTTGGCACAATAATCCCACTCCATTCCCATTGCCACTCCCGGAAGAAGCTCTAAGCACCAGAGATAGGAGGAGGCGCGGGGAGGGTGAGCATCTTGCCCACGGTGAAAGGGCTGAGAAGTGGCTGAGCCCAGAGTCACCCCAGACCTCACATTACATCATCTGACACAGATCCCATCCAAGAGTGAAGCTCAGGCAGAATTCCTAACGTTCGCCTGCATTGATTTTCTGCAAAACTTCCTAGGTACTGGGGATTTGATGAAATGAGGCCCGAGCTTTATGAGCAGTTCCTTCAACAAGCACAGGATAAGGTTTGGAATTTTGGTTTGTTCCAGACCCCAACCTTAACCTTAATAGGTGACCTCGTGCTCAGAGAAGGGTGTGTCCCAAGGGCTGGTGCTGGACTCATGACTGATGTACTCACCCCGGTAGCAGCAAAGGGCCAGCGTGAGCAGCAGGAGACACACCGACAGCCTCATGGTGGCTTATTCTGCTGTGAGCTCGGCTTTAACCAATGATGAGTGATTTAGACTCAGCCCCGGGAGCCTGTGGAGCCGTGGAGCCCAGGGCTATTTGTACCTAGGGAGCCTGGCTGGTCCTGCCCACATGGGCATCTGGCAGGTGATGAGGCCTGGCTTCCAGCCCTCCCTTCCTAGCCAGGGCTGCTGCCATCCATCAGTGTCACATCCCCACACCTCCCTGCATCCTGAGTGGGGCGGAGCACGGGAGGGCAGCCCTGCAGAAACTCTGCTCTGTGCTCCAGGTGAGTGTCCAGGTGCCTCTGGCAATGTTCCCTGGAACCTCAGTTTGCTTTTGGGCTTTTGAGGATTATCTCTCTGTTCTTTATGTCAGTGCAAGGGCAAATGTGAGTTCTCATTTCAGGAGGACAGAAACCGGGGGTGCAGGAAGCTAGGGGCTGTGGTTTGGTTATAGGAGAGCAGGCACAGAAGAGACCCCACTTTGACCTCCACTGCATGTCTGACAATCAGCCACACGTGTTTCAGCTGCACATAGATCAAGTCTGAACCAGACCTATCCTCCCACTCAGCCCCTTCCATCCCCACCATCTTCACCACATAGGTACCTAAAACATAGCTGCATACACCCCACCTTTGGAGGATTTCCTTGGGGAAAACAACCACTCCCCCTGTCCTCTACTCTGTCTCACTCCAAGATCTGTGTCTTTATTTATGGGTGGAGTTGTCAACATAGCACAGGTTCAAATTTTCTGTCTACTAAAAGCAAGCCTCCAGTGACCTCTAGCCACCCATATCTCCTCATAGGGCTGATGGGATGATTAAATTGCCCAACTTTTTTTACCCAAGGAGCTGCTGGGGTGTCTGGAGGCAAACAGGCATCAGAAATACTGGTCTTCGCTTCTAGGCAGGGACGATAATGGAAAGGAAGAGATGGATGAACAGGGTGGGTGGTCACTTCCCTCTAACCTCTGGGCTCAAGTTTTCCACTTCTAACCCAGCTCTGCTGCCTGGGTCATCTCATTGTTGATGGAAAGCGAAGGCCATCCCCAGCAAAAGCAATAGACACCCTTCTGCCCTTCCACTGCAGTGCCATCATTTGGTGAGTAGGAAATCACCAGAAATTTGGCTCTTAAGTGAACACACATTTGAGAACAGTCACAGCCCAGGCCAGAGCTTTCCATTCTCTGCTCTGCAATCAAATCACTTGGGGCTCTTAAACTATACTGACTCCCCGCAGGCTGCTTCCCTTTCTGGGGATTTTGATTCAGTAGTTCTAGGGCGAGGTCCTCTTCTGTTTAAACTGCTCTGGTGGGTCTGATGGGCAGCAGTACTGAGAACCACCCAGAAAGACCTTTATGAAGGAAGCGGACCTTATGGTCTGTGTCATCAGAGACACCTTGGCAGGTCTGGCTGAGTCCCAGCTGAGGGCGACAATGCCTCTCACTTCCATCACCCAAAATGGTGGGGAAGCCCCTGATGCCACCTCTGCCTCCAACCCTAAGGAGTGGAAGGTCCAGTGGCAAAGCCCATGGCTAGGAGGGTTCAGATCCATGTCTATGGGCTATTGAACCCTCTGAAAATTAGTTTATGTAAACACAGTTTTCTCGTTTGTAAAAGTAGGTTAAAAATGGTGCCTACATCATTGGGTTGATAGATGTTCAAATGAGTGTGTGTGTGTGTGTGTGTGTGTAAAATTTACCAGGTCTGGCCAGGCGCAGTGGCTCACACTTATAATCCCAGCACTTTGGGAGGCCGAGGCGGGTGGATCACCTGAGGTCAGGAGGTTGAGACCAGTCTGGCCAACATGGTGAAACCCCGTCTCTACTAAAAATACAAAAAATTAGCTGGGTGTGGTGGCATGTGCCTATAGTCCCAGCTACTCAGGAGACTGAGGCAGGAGAATCTCTTGAACAAGGGAGGCAGAGTTGTGGTGAGCTGAGATGGCACCACTGCACTCCAGCCTGGGCAACAAGAGCAAAACTCCATCTCAAAAAAGAAAAAAAAATTAACAAGGTCTGACATGTAGTAAACGCTCAATAAATGTTGACTACTATTACCTTGTCCCACCTGTCATACATTTCATGGATCATTACCAGTTCCTAGTTTAAAGCACAGCCAACCCCTCAAAAAAAAAAATCACTGATTTTCAGAACTACAATTCATGGGCCACATAAGGACATATTAGTTAATATCAGACCCCACATACAACAGGGGTCCCCTAAAATTATAATACTGTGTTTTTACTGCACCTTTTCTGTTTTGATATGTTTAGATACACAAATACTTGTCATTGTATTACAACTGCCTACAGTGTTCAGAACAGTAATATGCTGTACAGGTTTGTGGTCCAGGAGCAACAGGCTTACCTATTAATAGCTGAGGTGTGCAGTAGGCTATGCCATCTAGGTTTGTATAACTGCATTTTATGATGTTCACACAATGACAATTGCCTATGCATTTCTCAGAATGTGTCCCAGTCACTAAGTGACACACAACTGTCTAAGGAAACCTGGATACACCCCCACTATCTGAAATAAATGGAGGAAACCCAGCTCATGGTCTCTGAGACTGCAGACCCAGGGACACGAATTTAGGTTCTTACAGATGACAGATGGGTGAGGAATTTTCCATAGCTGTTGAACAGAGCTTTCCTGATGTGGGCTTGGCCTTCATCTGTATATTCCATTAGGAAGGATGTGTATATCTGAAAGAGGATTGCTTCCCACATATTTTTATCATTCCTGTAGCTCTTAACATCTGCTCGGGGCTTTTTCTAGTTTTCATAGGTGGTACTTTTGATGACTGCTCTACTCCTTCCCTGGTTGGCTTAAGATCTTCTCATTTTGGCCGGGCATGGTGGCTCACACCTGTAATCCCAGCGCTTTGGGAGGCCAAGGCAGGTGGATCATTTGAGGCCAGGAGTTCGAGACCAGCCTGGGCAACATACAAGACCTTGTCTCTATAAACAATTTTAAAAATTAGCCAGGCATGGTGGTGGGTGCCTGTATTCACAGCCACTAAAGAGGTTGAGGTGGGAGGATTGCATGAGCCCAGGAGTTTCAGGCTACAGTGAGCCCTGATTATGCCACTGCACTCCAGCCTGGGCAACAGAGCAAGAATTTGTCTCTAAAAACATGAAATAAAATAAAATAAACGTTTTTAATGCAAAAAAAAGTATGTGAAGTGATGGATTTGTTAATTAATTTGATTGTATTTGATGTGTGTATTGTAAACATACATCAAAACATTATATTGTATGCCATAAAAATATACAAGTTTAGGTCAGGCTCAGTGGCTCGTGCCTATAATCACAGCACTTTGGGAGACTGAGGTGGGCAGATTACCTGAGGTCAGGAGTTTGAGACCAGCCTGACCAACATAGCAAAACCTTGTCTCTACTAAAAATACAAAAATTAACTAGGTTTGGTGCTGGGTGTCTGTAATCCCAGCTGCTTGGGAGGCTGAGGCAAGAGAATGGCTTGAACCTGGGAGGCGGAGGTTGCAGTGAGCCAAGATCATACCACTGCACTCCAGCCTGGATGACAGAATGAGACTCTGTCTCAAAAAAAAAATTAAAGAAAAATATATATATACAATTATTATTTGTCTATTTAAATTAAAAAAATTGTATGGAGAGAAACATGATGTTAACAATATTCTCTTCAAACAAAGGGCAAAATTCATATAAAAGATAAATCCATGAACATAAATTGGTCATTATTTATAGATAGTTATTCAACTATCAGGGAAATTTAAGACAATCCACTAGAAAAACTGTCAATATTGATTTGCCACCACAGCTGCCAGCATGCATTCACATGAGCACAGATCCTGCTGCCACTGCTCTGATGAAGTGCTTTGGCAGGGTGTTGTTGCCAGCAGACTGGGAACACCTCCACCTCACCAGCACAGCGGGTGCTTAACCTCAAGGGGCCGGAGAACAAAGCAATGGGCCTGGTACCAGGCCTCCAGGGTTAGAGCAAGCAGCCCAGGAGTGCTGAACTGAACTGAACCTTGGCCTTCTGAAATCTTCCAGAAACAAAGCCCAGTCAACTGAACCCAACTGATACCACAGTCAAACCCTCAAGGGCATCAAAGAATGCAAAAGAAAAAAACCGGGCCGGGTGCAGTGGCTCACACCTGTAATCCCAGCATTTTCGGAGGCCGAGGCAGGCGGATCATGAGGTCAAGAGATCAAGACCATCCTGGCTAACATGGTGAAACTTCGTCTCTAATAAAAATACAAAAATTAGCTGGGCGCGGTGGTGCATGCCTGTAGTCCCAGTTACTTTGGAGGCTGAGGCCCATCCAAGGGACAGCAACTTCAAAGATTAAAAGAACATCAGTCCACTCAGATGAGAAAGAATCAGCACAAAAACTCTGGCAACTCAAAAAGCCAGAGTGTCGTCTTACCTCCAAATGACCACACTAGTTCCCCAGCAATGGTTCTTAATCAGCTCTGTGGGAAAGAGAGTTTCTGGGATGCCAGATGAGTTGGTCTCCCCTGTGTGAGACACCCATGGGAAGCCATGGGTGGCCTTTGAGGAGAAAAGTCTCCTTATTGCCTTCATGTCTTTTTGCCCCTAAAGCATAACAGCTCAGCGGCATTCCAGAGGTTGCTTGGGGAGATAACACTCCCTTGAAGCAGTGGAGTATAATCAAACATCTTGGCTCCCCCTGAAACCCACTCCCACCCATTTCATTCCGGATAAGTTAAAGATCTTAAGTAGTTTAGACACACGCCTTTGCTCAAGGAAATTCACAGAAACCGCCACTGCTATACATCTTATTGAACGACGCACGAATTCTCCTTCGTTGATTAATCCTTTTCCTCATCCCTTCCTACCCTTCCCATCTGCCCTAAGAACAAAGAACTTGTAAACCAATAAATTAGGTGGAGCCGAAGAGCTCTGGGCCCTGAGCAAGCCTCTGACGCTCCGGTCCCTTGGACCTGCCTTTTAAAATTTTATTCTGTCTCTTTCTAACTCCTTTGTCTCGGCTGGACTCGGGGTACCCGCCAGGTGGTGTGGGGCTGGTTTCCCCAACAAGCTCAAATGGCTGAAACGACAGACACAGAATTCACAATCTGAATAGGAACGAAGATCAATGACATTCAGGAGAAGGCCAAAACCCAATTCAAGGAATCTAAGGAATCCAATAAAATGAGACAAGAGCTGAAAGAGAAAATAGTCGTTTTAAGAAAGAACCAAACTGATCTGATAGAGCTGAAAAACTCACTACAAAAAATTGTGTAATACAATCGGAAGTATTAACAACAGAATACACCAAGCTGAGGAAAGAATCTCAGAGCTCAAAGAACGATTCTTCAAATCAACTCAGTCAGACAAAAATAAAGAAAAAGGAATAAAAAAGAATGAACAAAACCTCTAAGAAATATGGGATTATGTAAAAAGACCAAACGCACAGCTCACTGGCATCCCTGAAAGAAAAGGGGAGAGAGCAAGCAACTTGGAAAACATTTTTATTTTTTTGAGACAGAGTCTCACTCTGTTGTCCAGGTTGGAGTGCAATGGCATGATCTCAGCTCACTGCAACCTCTGCCTCCCAGGTTCAAGCGATTCTCCTGCCTTAGCCTCCCGAGTAGCTGGGATTACAGGCACTCACCACCACTCCTGGCTAATTTTTTTGTATTTTTAATAGAGACGGGGTTTTACCATGTTGGCCAGGCTGGTCTTGAACTCCTGACCTCAGGTGATCCACCCACCTCGGCCTCCCAAAGTGCTGGGATTATGGGCATGAGCCACCGTGCCTGGCCGGAAAACATATTTGAGGATATTCTCTGCAAAAATTTCTGCAACCTTGCTAAAGAGGTCAACATTGAAATTCAGGAAATGCAGGGAACCCCTGTTAGATGATAGTATACAAGGTGACCATCCTCAAGACTCATAATTGTCAGATTAACCAAGGTTAACATGGAAGAAAAAAAGGCAGCTAGAGAGAAGGGGCAGGTCATCAACAAAGGGAACCTCATCAAGCTAACTGTACCTTTCAGCAAAAACTCTACAAGCCAGAAAAGACTGGGAACCTATATTCAGAATTCTTAAAGAAAATAAATCCCAACCAAGAATTTCATATCCAGCCAAACTAAGGTTCATAAGTGAAGGAGAAATAAGATTCTTTTCAGACAAGCAACTGCTAAGGAAATTTAGTACCACGAGACCTGCCTTACAAGAAGTCCTTAACAGAATGCCAAACATGGAAATGAAAAACCACTACTGGCCACCACAAAAACACACTTAAGTACATGACCATTGACACTATAAAACAATGACACAATCAAGTCTATATGACAACCAGCTAATAACACAATGACAATCAAATCTGCACATATCAATATTAACTTTGAACATAAACAGGCTAAATACTCCAATTAAAAGGCACAGACTGGCAAGTTGGATAAAGAAGAACGACCCAACTGTATGCTGTCTTCAAGAAACTCATCTCATAGGCATGATACCCATAGGCTCAAAGAAATGGAAAAAATCTACCAAGCAAACAGAAAACATAAAAGAGCAGGCATTGCTATTCTAATTTTAGACAAAAAAGGCTTTAAACCAACAATGATCAAAAAAAGACAAAGAAAGCCAGGCACAGTGGCTCACCCCTGTAATCCCAGCACTTTGGGAGGCCAAGGCAGGCAGATCATTTGAGGCTAGGAGCTTGAGACTAGCCTGGCCAACATGGCAAAACCCCATCTCTACTAAAAAAAAAAAATACAAAAATTAGGCCAGGAGCAATAGCCCATGCTTGTAATCTCAGCACTTTGGGAGGCTGAGGTGGGCAGATCACCTGAGGTCAGGAGTTTGAGACCAGCCTGGCCAACATGGTAAAACCCCATCTCTACTAAAAATACAAAAAATTAGCCATGCGTGATGGTGCACACCTGTAATCCCAGCTACTCAGGAGGCTGAAGCATGAAAATCACTTGAACCCTGGAGGTGGCGGTTGCAGTGAGCCAAGATTGTGCCACTGTACCCAAGCCTGAGTGACAGAGTGAGACTCTGCCTAAAAAAAAATACAAAAATTAGCTCGGTGTGGTGGCACACGCCTGTAATCCCAGCTACTTAGTAGGCTGAGGCAGGAGAATCACTTGAGGCAGAGGTCACAGTGAGCCAAGATTGCACCACTGCACTCCAGCCTGGGTAGCAGAGTGGGACTCTGTCTCAAAAAAAAAAAAAAAAAAAAGACAAAGAAGGGCATTACGTAATGATAAAGGGTTCAATTCAACAGGAAGACTTAACTGTCCTACTTATATATGCACCCAACACTGGAGCACCTATTTATACAACAAGTTTTCAGAGACTCACAAAGAGACTTACATAACCACATAATAATAGTGGGAGACTTCAACACCCTACTGACAGTATTAGACAGGTCATCGAAGCAGAAAACTAACAGTGATATTCAGGACCAGAACTCAACACTTGATCAAATAGACCTAACAGACATCTGCAGAACACTCCACCAGAAAACAACAGAATATACATTCTTCTCATCTGCACATGACACATACTCTAAAATTGACCACATGATTGGCCATAAAACAATTCCCAGCAAATTCAAACCAAGTGAAATCGTACTAGCCACACCCTTGAACGACAGTGCAATAAAAATAGAAATCAACACTAAGATCTCTCAACACCATACAATTACATGGAAAGTAAACAACATGCTCCTGAATGACTTTTGGGTAAACAATTAAATGAAGGCAGAAATCAAGAAATTCTTTGAAACTAGTGAAAATGGATAAAACATACCAGAATCTCTGGAACAGAAGTGTTAAGTAAAGAAGTGTTAAAAGGAAAGCTTATAGTGCTAAATGCCCACATCGAAAAGTTAGAAAGATCTCAAATAAAACCTAACGTGATCCCCAGAAGAACTATAAAAACAACAGCAAACCAACCCCAAAGCTGGCAGAAGAAAAGAAATAACCAAATTCAGAGCTGAACTGAATGAAACTGAGATGTGAAAAACCACACAAAAGCTGAATGAAACCAAAATTTCGTTATTTGAAAGAATAAATAAGATTGATAGACTGCTAGCTAGACTAATAAAGAAAAAAGAGAGAAGATCCAAATAAATACAATCGGAAATGACAAAGGGACATTACCACCGACCCCCTCCCCCCGACCCCAACAAAATACAAAAACCCTCAGAGAGTATTACACACCTCTATGCACACAAACTAGAAAACCAAGAAGAAATGGATAAATTCCTGGAAGCATACAACCTCTCAAGATTGAACCAGGAAGAAATTGAAACTCTGAACAGACCAATAACAAGTTCTAGGAGAACTTGTAATAAAAAGCCTACCAACCAGAAAAAGCCCTGGAAAAGATGGATTCACAGCCTAATTCTGTTACACATATAGAGTTGCACCAATCCTATAGAAACTATTCCGAAAAATTGAGGGGAGGGACTCCTCCCCAACTCATTCTATAAGGCCAGAATCATTCCGATACCAAAACCTCACAGAGACACAATGAAAAAAAGAAAACTTCAGGTCAACATTCCTGATGAACATAGATGCAAAATCCTCAACAAAATACTAGCAAACCAAATCCAGCAGCACATCAAAAAACTAACCCACCATGATCAAGTAGGTATTTCCAGGATGCAAGTTTGGTTGAACATATGTAAATCAATACATGTGATTTATCACATAAACAGAACTAAAAACAAAAACCACATAATGACCTCAAAAGAGGCAGAAAAGGCTTCTGATAAAAACCCTCAACAAACTAGGCTTTAAAGGAACATACCTCAAAATAATAACAGCCATCTGTAACAAACCCACAGACAACATACTGAATGGGCAAACACTGTAAGCATTCCCCTTGAGAACCAGAACAAGACAAGGATGCCCACTCTCACCACTCCTATTTAACATAGTACTAGAAGTCCTAGCCAGAGCAATCAGGCAAGAGAAAGAAACTGCATCCAAATAGGAAAAGAGGAAGTCAAACTACCCCTGTTTGCAGATGATTTGATTCTGTACCTATAAAACCCCATAGTCTCTGCCCAAAAGCTCCAATTGCTATTAAACAACTTTAGGAAAGTTTCAGGATACAAAATCAGTGCACAAAAATCAGTAGCATATCTATACACCAATATCGTCCAAGATGAGAGCTAACTCAAAAACACAATCTCGTTCACAATAGCCATCCATAAAAATAAAATACCTAGGAATACAGCTAACCAGGGAGGTAAAATATCTCTACAATGAGAATTATAAAACACCACTGAAGGAAATCAGAGACAACACAAACATATGGAAAAACATTTCATATTCCATATTCATGGATGGAAAGGCTCCATATTGTTAAAATGGCCATACACCCAAAGCAATTTACAGATTCAATGCTATTCCTAGCAAACCACCAATAACATCTTTCACAGAATTGGAAAAAGTTATTCTAAAATTCATATGGAACCAAAAAAGAGTCTGACTAGCCAAAGCAATCCTAAGCAAAAAGAACAAAGCTGGAGACATAACATTACCTACTTCAAACAAGGCTACAGTAACCAAAACAGTCTGGCACTGGTACAAAAACAGACACATAGACCAGTGGAACAGAATGGAGAACTCAGAAACAAAGTCACACACCTACAACCATCGAATCTTAGACAAGGTTGATAAAAACAAGCAAGGAAAAAAGGACTCCCTATTCAATTAATCATGCTGGGATAACTGGTTAGCTATATGCAGAAGATTGAAACGAGACCCTTCCTTTCACCATATGCAAAAGTCAACTCAAAATATATTAAAGACTTAACTGTAAAACCTGAAACTATAAAAACTCTAAAAGAAAACCTAGGAAATACGATTCTAGACATAGGCCCTACCAAAGGTTTCGTGATGAAGATGGCAAAAGTAATTGCAAAAAAAAAAAAAAATTGACACATGGGACCTAGTTAAACTAAAGAGCTTCTGCACAACGAAATATACTATCATCAGAGTAAACAGACAATCTACAAAATGGAAGAAAATATTTGCACACTACGCATCCAACAAAGGTCTATCCAGAATCTAAAAGGAACTTAAACAAATTAACAAGCAAAAAACAAACAATCCCATTAAAAAGTTGGCAAAGGCCAGGCACAGTGGCTCATGCCTGTAATCCCCAGCAGTTTGAGAGGCCGACGTGGGAGGATCGCTTAAGCCTGGGAGGCTGAGGTTGCAGTTTGGAGCCATGACTGCAATTTGGAGCCATGACTGTGCCACTGCACTCCAGCCTGGGCAACAGGGCAAGACCCTGCCTAAAAACAAACAAACAAACAAACAAACAAAAACACAAAAAAAAGTTGGCAAAAGACATGAACAGACACTTCTCAAAAGAAGACATGCTCGTGGCCAACAAGCATACAAAAAATGCCCAACATCACTAATCATTAGAGAAATGCAAATCAAAGCCACAATGTGATACCGTCTTACACCAGTCAGAATGGCTATTACTAACAGATGCAGACAAGTTTGCAGAGAAATAGGAATGTTTGTACGCTGCTGGTGGGAATGTAAATTAGTTCAGCCATTGTGGAAAGCAGTTTGGAAATTTCTCAAAGAACTTAAAGCAGAACTACCATTCGACCCAGCAATCTCATTACTGGATATATACCCAAAGGAATATGAATTATTCTGCCCTAAAGACATATGCATGCATATGTTCATTGCCACACTATTCGCAATAGCAAAGGCCTGGAATTAACCTAGACGCCCATCAGCGGTGGACTGGGTAAAGAAAACGTGGTACATATAGACTGTGGAATACTATACATCCGTAAAAAAGAATGAGATCATGTTTTTTTGCAGCAATGAAGTTAGAGGCCATTATCCTAAACAAATTAACATTGAAACAGAAAATGAAATATTGCATGTTCTCACTTACAAGTGGGGGCTAAACATTGAATACATATGGACACAAAGAAGGGAACAAGAGATACCAGGGCCTACCTGAGGGTGGAGAGTGGGAGGAGGGTGAAGATTGAAAAACTACCTATTGGGTACTACGCTTATTACCTGATGATGAAATAATCTGTACACCAAACCCCCACGCCATGCAATTTACCCATATAGCAAACCTGGACATGTACCCTCTGAACCTAAAAAAAACAAAGTTGGAAAGAAAAAAAAAAGCCATCTATCATGGCTTTTAAATATTTCAACTGGAAACTTAGGGAGTACAGTAATAGATGCTGAATGAATTCCATCATCCATCGTTCTGGTGTCTGATAATTTTGTATTTTATTTTCCTTAAGAAAAAAATTACATAATATTAATTAGAAAATAAATAAATAATGAAACTGATGAGTTTATCAAGTTAGCTGAATAATGATCACCAATTTGGAAATGAATCACTTTCCTGTAAGCAGCTATTGCATTACATAACAGGAAAAAAATTATACCATCGACAATAGTAACGACAGTAGCAACAAAAATATACTGAAACATATGTATTGGAAATATACAAACTTTTAACAATAAAATCATGAAATTTTACGTGAAATTTACACAAAGATAAAAGGGAATCTAAACAAATGGAGACACACACCTTGTTCTGAAGCAAATTTTGGAAAATTTTAAGATGTCAACTATTCTCAATTATTCTACAAATTCAGGCAGCCCCCATCAGAATCCGAATAGGGTAGCTGTATGCTTTGTTTTGAATTCTGAAGTGGTGTTTGGAATATGAATTGTTCTCTGGATATATACCCAACTTGTGAGTTTTTCAGCTCGTTGCTTAGCCTTGCAGCCACAGTTTCCTCATCTGTAAAATAAGGTGATAAAAAAAGCATCTACCTCATAGGATTTGTATAAAGAATAAATGAATTAGTAAAGGAAAAGTACCCAGTACAGTGCCTAGCAGTAAATGTCAATGATTGCAATTATGTAACAACAAGGGGAGAGAAAGTCAAATAAAATAAATCACCTCAATCCCAAAGTAAAATATCAAACTAAATCTGAGTCTATTAATAAGGAATGTTTATTTATCCTATGCTACCAAAGTGTGCTTCAGAATCTGGCTTTGGTTTCATTGACATTTCTCACAGTTAAGATAATTACTCACATATGGTCAAGTCCAAGTGAATATCATTGTGCTGTTAATATCCTTAATGAATCTTGGACCAAAGGACATAGAAGGGTCGGAAGTTGGGTAAACATTACCAATCCCCAAGACACACAGAGTCTCTGGACTCCCGTCCTCAGCAGGATGTGCTGGTCGCAAGTGTCCTTTTGGCTGAGGTTATCATCCAAGGATATTCTAGGGACACAGTGTTCAAATTGATGAACACACACTTGGGGGATGGAGACTTTTAAGGGATCACTTTGAGATCCTCACATCATATAGGCTTTTACTATTTATGGATCATGTGGTCACATTGGTTCTCCTTCCTACCTCCCTTCCATAATCACTCTCGTTCCATTTCACTAAAGACAGAAGGCATATGCATCCTTCATCAGAATCTTAACACAGAGCATGGACTCTGCAGGTAGAAATCTCTAGACTTCAAAGAAACTATTTAAAGTATTGTTTTGTGATAACAACATTTTTTCCATATCAAGTGGTATCTAATTTATCGTTTTTAATAAACTCAAAGGAGGTCTTAATTTAGCAGTGGCTGATAAATCATTAAAAATAATGTTTAAAATAGGCAAAAGACCTTAATAGACCTAAGACTTAATAGACCTTAATAGACTGATCAGAGAAGTGCAAATCAAAACCACAATTAGGTCATACCTGTTAGAATGGCTATTACAAGTATTATCGAGGATGTGGAGAAAAGAAAACCTTTTACCCACTATTGGTGGAAATATAAATTAGTACGGTCATGAAAAACAGTATGGAGTTTCCTCAAAAAATTAAAAATAAAACAACCATATGATCCAGCAATCCTACCACAGAGTATACAATCATTCTTCTCTATACTCAGGGGATTGGTTCCAGGCACTCACCCCTTACATATATCAAAAACTGCACAAACTCATGTCCTGCATTCGGCCCTGTGGAACCCCTATATTCAAAAGGTCAGCCCTCCATATACACAAGTTTCACATGCCTCAAACACTGCATTTTCAACTGACATTTGGTTGAAAAAAGCGGTGTGTAAGTGGACCTGCACAGTTCAAACCCATGTTGCTCAAGGGTCAACCTTGTATGCAAAGGAAACAAAATCAGTATGTTCAAGAGACATCTACAATCCCATGCTTATTGCAGAACTATTTACAATAGCTAAGATATGGAATCAACCTCAGTGTTGAAAAGCAAATAAATGGATTTTTTTAATGTGGTATATGTACACAAAGAAATACTATTAGGTCATAAAAAAAGAATGAAATACTGTCATTTGTGACAACATGGATGACCCTGAAGAACATTATGTAAAGTGAAATAAGCCAGACACAGTAGATAAATAACACATGTTCTCACTCATAAGTGGAATCTAAAGTTTTTGATCTGGCCGGGCACAGTGGCTCACGCCTGTAATCCCAGCACTTCGGGAGGCCAAGGTGGGTGGATCACTTGAGGCTAGGAGTTCGAGACCAGCCTGGCCAACATGGTGAGACCCTGTTTCTACTAAAAATACAAAACTTAGCCGGGCTTGGTGACACGTGCCTGTAATCCCAGCTACTCGGGAGGCTGAGGCAGGAGAATCGCTTGAACCCAGGAGGCAGAGGTTGCAGTGAGCCCAGATTGCCCCACTGCACTCCAGCCTGGGCAACAGAGCAAGACTTCATTTCAAAAAAATTTAAAAATAAATAAATAAATAAAATAAAAATGTTGATCTCATAGAAGTAGAGAGTAGAACAGTGGTTACCAGATACTGGAGAGGGTACGGAATGGAAGAGAGAGGATGGAGAGCGGTTGGTCAACAGGTACAAAGTTACAATTAGGAAAAATGAGTTCTGATGTCCTATCACTCAGTGGGCGACTGTAGTTAATAATAACATATTGGGTATCTTAAAATAGCTAGAAGAGAAGATTTTGAATGTTCTCACCACAAAGAAATGATAAATGTTTGAGATGATGGATATGTTAATTACCCTGATTGATCATTATGCAATGTATACATTTATTAAAACATCACATTTTTGTATTAGGTGTCAATTAAAAATTAAAAATAATAATTTTGAGTGATAAATCACTATGTCATCTTTAGCCTATAGCTCAGAGGAATTCAGAGAACCAAGTGGTATCACTATCGCAATAGTCATTCTTTTCCCATCTGCCCATTTATGTAACAAGTATTTACAGATTTTACATCTTTGAAGATGAGAAACATGAATAAAATTGTCTCATTTTAGCAATAAAAAATATAATCCATGAATATACAAAATCAAAAAGGGCTTCATTAAGCCCTCAGCTTATTAAGAGATATATTAACATGTTACTTCATTTATTTAATGATTATCAAAAATTGAAATACATATGTCAGGTCATTAGTCAAAGCTTCAAGAATCTCTGCTGGTACCCAGGTCACCAATGTATCACATGTCACAAACTCCTTGCAGACCTCATACATACTCAGAATTCTTGCTGCAAGTTCTGAGTTGTAAGTCCCACAATATGGAAAAGGACCTCTGAAGTCGTTTCCTTCACTTTATTCACCAAATCTTGCCGTGATCAACTGGTCCTGTGCTGTCTAAATCCTTTACCTGTGTCATACCCTAGGAAGAAGAATAAAGGAAAGAAATCAGAAATTCTTAGTTTGGGGCCAGGTGCAGTAGTTCACGCCTGTAATCCCAGTTCTTTGGGAGGTTGAAGGGGGCAGATCGCTTAAGCCCAAGAGTTTGAGACCAGCCTGGGCAATATGGCAAGACCCTGTCTCTGCAAAAACAAACAAACAAAAAGTTTTAACTTAGACAGGTGTGGTGGCACTTGCCTGTAGGCCCATCTACTCAGGAGGCTGAGGTGGGAGAGTTGCTTGAGCCCAGGAGTTCAAGGATGCACTGAGGTACGATCATGCTGCTGCACTCCAGCCCAGGCAACAGAGCAAGAGTCCGTCTCAAAAAAAAAAGAAAAAAGAAAAGGAAAAGATTCTTAGTTTGTTCTTGAATTTTCCAAAATAATATTTTCTCACTGTATGCACTACCCTATTTGTTTTGTTTATTTGTTTGTTTGTTTGTTTTTGAGACAGAGTCTTACTCTGTTGCCCAGGCTGGAGTGCAGTGGTGCGATCTCAATCTCGGCTCACTGCAACCTCCACCTCCCGGGTTTGAGCAATTCTCGTGCCTCAGCCTCCCAAGTAGCTGGGATTACAGGCACACGCCACCACGCCAGGCTAATTTTTGTATTTTTAGTAGCGATCGGTTTTTACCATATTGGGCAGGCTCGTCTCGAACTCCCGACCTCAAGCAATCCGCCCACCTCAGCCTCCTAAAGTGCTGGGATTACAGGCATGAGCCACCGTGCCCAGCTGCACTACCCTACTTGTGCTGTTCATAATGCTGCAAACCAGTGCAGATACCATTTGGGACACCACCTAGAGTTTGGGGACCCTTCTTCATCCACCTTTAAATTGACTTCATACATCATCTCCCATTAGTGGAGTACATCCATAACCCAGATCTAAAGAGTACGTTCTCTGGATGGCCTGAAGCTTCTGGAAAGCAGGCACTTTTTAATCGTGATACCTTTTACCTCAGTAATACAATACAATTCCATAACTTTGTATTTGGAATTAACTTCAAACTCCAATCGATGTTGCAATGATATGTCTGTATAGCTTTACCCAATTCCATTTATTGTTGAGGGCTTATTCCATTTGCTTTAGTAATACAGTCTCCTTGGGGCAATTCTATTCAACAGAGACTCAGAACAAGGGTCTCATTTTACGGAATTTTCCAACGGGTATGCAAAGCCTCAGACATCAAATTACAACCATATATCCCACACCCTCCCCAGAGCTCTGACAAGGCTATATACAAATTCAGTGGCAAAACAGAGGTGACATAAACTATAGTGAACAGACTTTATGTGGCCTAAAACCCTCCTAATGTCTTGATGAACATGCAGGATGTGTTCAAATCAGCTGTGGGGCTCTGCTCCTGTGAAATCATCATGGCCCCAGGAGAGGTCCAGCAATTTTCCTCTGCAATAGAGCAGATTCTTGAAAGTCAAGGAGTTTTGGCCGGGCATGGTGGCTCACGCCTGCAATCCTAGCACTTTGGGAGGCCAAGGCGGGTGGATCACGAGGTCAGGAGTTTGAGACCAGCCTGGCCAACATAGTGAAACCCCGTCTCTACTATAAACACAAAAAAATTAGCTGGGTGGGGTAGCAGGCACCTGTAATCCTAGCTACTCGGGAAGCTGAGGCACGAGAATCGCTTGAACCCGGGAGGCAGAGGTTGCAGTGAGCTGAGATCGCGCCACTGCACTTCAGCCTGGGCAACAGAGTGATTCTTTGTCTCAAAATAAAAAAAGAAAGAAAGAGAGAGAGAAGAAGGAAGGAAGGAAGGAAGGAAGGAAGTCAATCAGTCAGTCAAGGAGTCTCCTTCATCCTAAGTTCCTGTCAAGGCTGACACCAACGTGAGGCTCTCTTCCAATACATCTCTTCTACCTGGGGAACTGATCTTACCTAAAGGAATGTCAGAGAAAGAACTGCCTGGCAGCGAAGTAAGCCAGGCCCTAACACCCTATCTTGACCATCCCCGCAGTTAGTAAGTCGTGCTGGACCTTGCTTGAGATACCTGCATCTCATGGTAAGTCTGTCCCACCTTGAAAACCAGAGACTTGAGAACGTCAAGCACAACCACATCAAAGGTACCACCCAAAGAAGGGGAGTCTGAGACCACCCAAAAGAGGCAGTTGGTATCCTCTGCAAAAACAGGTGCCACTTAGGATGATGAAAATCAGATTTTTTTTCATATTTAGCCTAGAAGGAAAAGGGGTTACCCCTTTGGCACCCATAATGAGTTGATGGCTTTTTTTTTTTAACAGAATTCTAGAAGAACTGCACAGAGAAGCAGACTGAATAACCCCAAGACTTGTAATGGACCAGCAAACTTCTGAACTCATACTCACCTAGGATCCTTGATAGCAATTATTTTTGCTTAATCTCACGGTTTTCTGCTGCCCACTGGGAAGACCCTTCTTCCCCAATAGTCCTTTGCACTGAAGGGAACAATAAAAACATTATGTGAAAAAAAACATATATTGCAGAAGAACAGAGCAAAGTGGTGTGAGGTCGCTGTCCACATCTCATTGTGTATTTCAACTCTCATCCTGCCTGTATTCAATTTCAATAATTATCCAAGACCTATCTTAAACCTAATTTCCTCTTTCTTTCCAAAAGCTCCTCTATCTGAAGGTTTTTTCTCCAGCACATGTTTGAACTTCAGTTTCCTCTCATCTTATTTCTCTGTAGATTTCATCCTATCTGCTCTCCATCCATCAGAAAAGCTTAAATATTTCTCATCAAATATTGTCACTTGCTTGTTTCCACTATACTGTAGAGTTTGCCACTTTGTTCTTTTGTTGTCATTTTAAGTTGTTATTTTTTTCAGATTTCTAAAGAGGATGGACAAGGATTAAACTCATGCTCATCCTGTGTTCTTTATCCGGTCTCAAGTGATGCGTTTTATTTGTTGACTTCCATTACGGTCAGGTGCTTGACTGACAGATAACTGTGACGATCATGGGCTTGTGATGGCAAAGGGCAGGGGTTTTTTTTTTTTTAAGCAACTGTAACTCCCTCTAAATCTCCTTTTGACATTTGCTTCTGTAATAGAAATGCTAATCTTTCTAGATGTGTGGTAGTGACAAAGAGGAAAATAATCCAGGGAAGGGAATTGGAGCAACAGCAGGGAAAGAAGTTCCAGTATTATTTCTTGTTTTGTTTTGTTTTCAGACAGAGTCTTGCTCTGTTGCCAGGCTGCAGTGCAGTGGCGTGATTTTGGCTCACTGCAATCTCCGCCTCCCAGGTTCAACCGATTCCCCTGCCTCAGTCTCCCGAGTAGCTGGGACTACAGGCAGGCGCCATCGTGCCCAGCTAATTTACTTTTTGTATTTTAGAAGAGACGGGGTTTCACCATGCTGGCCAGGATGGTCTCGATCTCCTGACCTCATGATCTGCCTGCCTCAGCCTCCCAAAGTGCTGGGATTACAGACATGAGCCACCACGCCCGGCCCCAGTATTGTTTAAGTAAGAAAGCTAATCCAGCTTTTCGTAATCCAGGGTAAAATTTGTCTATCTGTGGGACACCACTAACAGGATGCCCTGATGCCTCCCCAGGTTCAACAGGGAAGAGGCGGGCAGGCAGACAAGTAAAATTAAGGATTTGGGGTCCAGATATATTTTCCCATCTCTGGGTTATATGGACTGTGTGAGCTTGGAAAAGCCATTTAATCTTTTTAAGTCTCAGTAAATAAAGACTACACTTTCTTTACGTGAAAGTCAGTAGAATTAAATAATAGTATGTGTGAAAAACCCTCAGCTGTGCTGAGACGATCCCTTTAACATGAACCATCCAGTCAGTCTCATCCCGCTCCAAATAAGGCACTTTGGAGTCATCTTCACTTCCCTTCTAGTTTTATCCTTCAAATCTTCCTTTTCATCCCACACACCACAAACACAGTCGCAGCTACCCCCTTCTTTCCCTCTGTCCTTGATAGACAACCCCTAATCTCATTTCTTCTCAGCTTCTGTCTCCTTGGTAAGAAATCTGACGAGATAAATAGTATATACACCTGCTAGGATAACGCACAGTCCTCTCAAGAAGAAACGACCCTGTCAGTTGTTTTGACCTTATGCAAACACGAGTGAAACTTGTATTTCATTGTGTTCACTTTGAGAACGGCATCCAGGAACGGAACGCAAGGGCTCCTGCTAGTGACGGATGGTCTATTTCAAGTGTTCAGAGATTCCAGACTCTACATGAAATGGCGCCACCTTGAGGCTCAAACCTTATTGTTGGCGTTCAATTTAAGAAAAACTCATCAGACATCTCCTACTACAGGCCAGCCTTTGGTAATTAAAAGAATAAAACGGGCCGGGCGCTGTGGCTCACGCCTGTCATCCCAGCACTTTGGGAGGCCGAGGCGGGTGGATCACCGAGGTCAGGAGTTCGAGACCAGCCTGACCAACATGGTGAAACCCTGTCTCTACTAAAAATACAAAAATTAGCCAGGCCTGATGGCGCGCGCCTATAATCCCAGCTACTCTGGAGGCTGAGGCAGGAGAATCGCTTGAGCCTGGGAGGCAGAGGTTGCAGTGAGACGAGATCGCACCACTGCACTCCAGCCTGGGTGATAGAGCCAGACCCCGTCTCAAAAAACAAACAAACAAAAAAAACAAAACAAAACAAAAGAAAGAAAGAAAGAAAAAAAAAATGGCCACGTAAACCAACCTATACATAGGAGGCTTTTTGGAGGACATGATGAAGAGGTGAAGAAAGAAAGTACCTAGGCTGAAGGAACAGTCTAACCTCCAGCTACCTGGCATAGAGTCAGTGCAGAAGAAGACCTGATGGGAACTCAGCAGAGTGGACTCCTAGGAAGAGGGTGAGAACTGCAACCAGGTGAACCAAGACTAGGGAAACTGCTTCTGATTATGCACAGGGGATAAGATCCAGCCCCTGGGGAGCGGTGGTTAACAACAAGTACACATCATGTAAGTGCCCCGGGCACCCCTTAGTGCAAGGGGAGCTATAATTCTACCAGAACACTCTGGATGTATACATATGTTCACACAAGACCTTCCTTGTGGATTAAGACAATATAACAGCAATTTGAGAAAGAAGGTGGCTCAGGGGACACTATCCCACACAGTGCAGACAGGAAATTCTGAGCGGTTTATCATTTGGTCAGTAGGAAGTCATCAGGAAGTCATCAGAAAGTCATGAAAGTCTAGAATCAGTGGCTTGCTCACCAGCTGTAAAGGAGACAGTCATGAGTTAGGGATCAATAATTGGTAATTATCAGAGATCAATAATTAGTAATTTGACAGAGATTTACCAGGGAGGAATCAAAATTCCCCACCTCTGAAGGGTGGCGGGGGGATATTTTTACTGTGTCTCAAGATCCTGCTGGCTCCTTTAAGCCATATGTGACATATTAATCATCTTTCCACATACAAACATGCACTTGAATGACCCCTCTAGAGTCATTTAAGGACAGGCTAGGGCCATTTTTAATATGCTAAAGAACAGAGCACTTTCCCAGGCTTAGGGACTGTGGATGGTCCCAGAGACTCCAATGGTCCAGGAAGTGGAAAGTCCTCACCCATGACACTTACTTTCCTCCCAGGACTGGAGGGCAAAAGAGGAAAACAAGAAAAATATGGAGAAAATATGAAGAAAAAACAAAAGAATGTGACAATTCTTGTTCCCAATTTTGAAACAACTTCACATATTCCTTAAAACAAAGATGACAACATAAAACTATAAAAAGGTATCAAAAACCTCACAATAAGGCTTTTCTAATTACTGGGGGAAATGGCAGCCATTCCTCCCGCAGCTGTGCTGCCTCCTCGTCCTCCTCCTCATTGTTGCTGCCAAAAAGGTCAATGTCATTGCCCTTGTCATCCTCTGCTGGTGTGGTTGGCTTCTTGGCCAGGGCTCCACTTGGCACATGGGAGACACGTGCTGGGTCTGAGGGACTGTGGCCCGGTGGCCAGCAGAGCTCTTCTCCAGCACGTTCAGCTGGGCCTCCAGCCTGGACATGGCCTGCTGCAGCTCCTGCACCACGCTGCTCAGCCTCTGGTTCTCCACTTCCAGACTGGCGATCAGGACAACAAGCTCGCTGTGTTCTCCGTTGGGGCCGCTGGAGACCCTGGGGCCTGAGCTTCTGGCCAGGGATTTCTGGATGTTCTCTCTGGCTCTCGCAATGTCATGGAGGATCACGCTGGCGCCATTCTTCTGGCGGGAGGTGCTGGCCACAGGCCCGTTCATTTGCTCGTACAATCTCCTTTCTGCAATGTCATATTTGAACTTGTCAAACCAGATCTTCTCATATACTGAGAAGTTTGTAGCCATTTTTCTGATGCCAGCCAAGGACTCAGCAACGAGGGAGGAGGAATCGGTGGACGTGGGACGCCTGAGGCAAGAGAACAGAAGACTTAATGTTGTTAAGATGTCAATACTACCCAAAGATTCAATGCAATCCCTATCAAAATCCCAAAAATGGTTTTTCCAGAAATAGAAAAAACAATTATAAAATCCATATGGAATATCAAGGAACCCCAAATAGTGAAAGCAATCTTGAAAAGACGGAACAAAGCTGGAGAACTTGCTACAAAGTGACAGTAATCAAAACAATGTGGTACTGGCATAAAGACAGCCATGTAGACCAATGGAATAAAATAGAAAGGCCAGAAATAGAGTAAAAATAGAGTTACCACATGATCCAGCAATTCCCCTTCAGGGTATACACAAAATAATTGAAAGCAGAGTCTCAAAAAAAGATTTGTACATCCATGTTCACAGCAGCATTATTCACAATAAAACACAGAAGCAACCCAAGTGTCCATCAACAGACACATGAATAATCAAAATATAGTACATACATACAAGGGAATATTATCTAGCCTTAAAAAGGAAGGAAAACTACATGCTACAACATGAATAAATCTTGAAGACATGTTAAGTGCAATAAGTCAGTTACATAAAAAAAGACAAATAACGTATGATTCCACTTATATGTATGTAAAATAGTCAAAATCATAGAAACAGAGAGTAGAATGGTGATTGCCAGGGGACGGGGGAGGGAGGAATAGGAAATTATTGTTTAATGGGTATAACTTTTCAGTTTTGCAAGATGAAAAGCACTCTGGAGATAGATGGCAGTAATGGTTGCACAAAATTACAAAATGTATTTAATACCACTGATATATACATTTTAAAATTATTTAAAAAAACGATTAAGATGGTAATTTTCATGTTTTGTGTATTTTACTGCAATAAAAGAATTGAACAAAGTAATGGCAATATTTTTTTCATGTGACAGCTTTTCACTTAGAGGGCAGGGCTTTTCCAAACAAATTAAAGTTATTAGGCAAGCCTGTGTGTCTTGGAGACTTTATTATTTTGTTTGTTTTAATAAATACAGACAGGGTCTTGTTATGTCACTCAGGCTGGTCTCAAACTGTGCCCGCCATTCTTTAGAAATTTTGGGAAATACAGGGTTGGGTGCAATGGCTCATGCCTGTAATCCCAGCACTTTGGGAAGCTGAGGCAGGGGGATCACTTGAGCCCAGGGGTTGGAGACCAGCCTCAGTGACATAGTGAGACCTCATCTCTACAAAAAATCAAAAAAATGAGGCAGGAAGATTGCTTGAGCCTGGGAGGTTGAGGCCACAACGAGCCGTGATCATGCCCCTGCATTCCCGCCTGGGCAACTGAAGTGAAACCCTGTCTCTAAATAAATAAATAAAATAAATTTGGGGAAATAAAGAAAAGCCCATAGAAGTCACCCATATACAACCAGTGTTAACTTGCTGGGCTCATGGGGTCAAGTCTTTTCCCATCCATCCAGACACAGATACCTGGATATCAGCATCTTGCTGCACAGGTGGGCTCATGCTCTGTGTGCATTGTTCCCTGGACAAGGCACAATGGCCATTCCCCCATCATGATAAATGTGCCTAACTCTTTTCTTCCCACCTCCATGTGCAAAAAGGTAGTTGAGTCAAGCAAAGCTTCTTTGAGGGCTCCAGAGCTGACTTCCCAGCTGCTACTGGTCCTTTTGGGTCCTCTCCCAGTGTTGAGACTCCTGATTTCAAGGACCCTGATTTCAAGGGTGCTGATTTTGAGGGTCTGAAGAAGTTCAAAGAGGAGGTGGATATCCAGCCAGCTAAGCAGAAAACAGCAACAGTCAACGGTAGTGAGCCCCTCTCTGCCCTTCTCTCTAACAGTGACATCCTGAGTCAGGGCTCAGTCCTGGGCAGAACGAGAGTCCTGGGCAGTTCCCAAGAGGAACTGGCCTGGAGGCCCAAAGGGCGGGATATCCACTTCACTGTGCCTTATCAATGTGCAGCTCAGGTATGAGAATCTGGTCATTAGGGCCTGACCAGTAAAGTTCCCAATATCCAAAGTTACAGAGCCCCGAAAGTCCCCCAGCTGCCTAGAGGTGCTTAGCAAAAAGTAAAAATAATACAACTCTGTGTTTGACCCTCACGTACTCTACAGCTCCTTTGGCCACTCCCTTTCTCTGCCAAACCCCAGGACCCTGTGTACCCCTGCTGTTCTCCCTGTCCCACCAGATCTCCCCTGGCCTCACAGGAACCTGACAAAAGGGAAGTGAGACAGGACAGATATGAAGAAAATGTGAAGTGATGGTTATTTTACACCTAGGCATCAAGAGACACAGTCGTTTGCTCAGCAGGTGGGATTTCTCCACATAGGCGGCAAGGAGAAACAATGCCGGGGTCCAGCATCAGAGACAAAGCTGGCAGAATTCACCTGCCCAGACCCCTCCTGCCTCCTGTTTCCCATTGGCCAAAGTTCACCCCATGAACTTCAATTCCCTGCACTTCTGGGACATGTCATCTGTACAGCTCCATCAGTGATACCAGATCCCACGTCCTGCGGCCAGGGACCAGAAACCCCGGGTGGGAAATAGCAGTCTGGGAGAGGGCCCTACTTTGCCAGGGCAAGGACTGGGAAGTCCCCACTGGCATCAGAAAAGTCTGGGTGCTTTTGGCCAACAAGAGGCAATGGAGGGAAGCCTCTTAACATTTCTGATGTCTTGACATGCGTCGTAGCAGGCTTGCCTTAGAGCAACACCTTCGAAGTCCAGTGGAGCTTCCTGCCCGACTGCACACTCCACACAACCTTGGGCTTGAGGTTGCTTTAACTCTTTGAGTGTCACTTTCCAGAGACTTAAAATGAAGATGAAGATAATATCACCCCTCAATCAGCAAATGCGATTGAAGGTTATGGCCAACGCAACTCAACTCGCCCAGTGCCTCACACACAGTAGGCACTTTGCGATTAAAGGTTGTCATCCATATTCCCAGACTATTCCCCGGGAAGTGGTTAGACAGAGCTGGACAACAAACCCCATCTCCTTGGCCCTGACACAGGGAGTGGCAAAAGGAGCTGTAGAGTCCACATCAGGGCCAAACACAGATTTTTATTATTTTTATTTTTTGCTAAGTGACTCCAGGCAGGTGGCGGACAATTAGGGGAGGTCCCTGTTGTAATTCCCAGCCCTGCCCTCCTACCCGAGGAATGAGAGAGGATTCCCTGCATTGCAGTCTGCATGTTGACCTCATGTAGACTAACACGCCTTAGTCTACTGGAGGGAGACAGAGAACACCCTGCATTCTCTGCCCGAGTCACTCTCCTCAATCTGCTTCAGTAGAACGTGAGACACAACTGTTGAAGGCCAGCAGCCCCTGGTCCCGAGCGCGGCAGTGCCACAGTGGATGCTCTCCCACCTGAGCCCTCGGACTGGGCCTCAGTGGGTCCTGCTCCCACAAGTGTCACTGTCTCAATCCGGAGAGTGGAGCTCGTAGGAACAGGACCTCATTGCCACATTTTCTTGGCCCCTTTCATTAAAAACACTGCAATCACCTTCATGGTAAGGCTCCTCCCTGTGGAGGTCTCCTACAGAAGTAGGTGAGGACTGGTTGCTGGGATTGAAGAGAGTGGCATGGTAGCTGAGGATAATAAGGGGTACTGGGGTAAGACGGAGAGGTTTGGGGGCCACACAAGTTGTCCATCTAGGGAACGTAGAGGTCACCTAGATCAAGCCAGTGTTGCCCAAGTAGCAAAAAAAAAGAAAAAAGAAAAAAAAAGTCTGGTCTTTTTTAGCCCCGAGAGGTGTCTTTGATGAAATTCTGACCAGATGAAGCCACCATCACTGCCCTGGGCTTACACATTACCTACATACCCTAAATCAATCACTGTCTGTTTTCTGTCTTTCTCTAAGCCATAGAGCCTGCTCTCTATCTGTTAAGTCTAGGGCCATCACAAACATGCAAACAATGACACTGTAAGATAACTTGGGCCAGGTGCAGTCACTCAAGCCTGTAATCCCAGCACTTTGGGAGGCGGAGGGTAGGTAGATCACCTGAGGTCAGGAGTTCGAGACCAGCCTGGCCGACAAACATGGAGAAACCCCATCTCTACTGAAAACACAAAAATTAGCCAGGCATGGTGGCGGATGCCTGTAAGCCCAGCTACTCGGGAGGCTGAGGCAGGAGAATAGCTTGAACTCAGGAGGCAGAGGTTGCAGTGAGCCGAGATCATGCCACTGCACTCCAGCCTGGGTGACAGAGCGAGACTCCTTCTCAAAAAACAAACAAACAAACTAACAAAACAAAACAAAACAAAACAAAACAAAAAACACCACATAAGATAACTGGGGCAGAAGGCCTCTAGCCCCTAGCCCCTAGCCCCTTTCCCTACCATTCCCGCAGTAGTGGCTGCACCCCTCCAGTCCTTTCTGCTGCACCCCCAGCACCTCTGGGGCACTTTCTGAGTTAAATAATTAGTTATAGGAGTCCTCACTGGGCATAATCCATACTTGTCTTATTACAGTGTCCCAGGGGCAAGTAGGACAGGAGCCCTGCAGAGGGCTCCTGCCTCTGTTATTCTCAAATCACAACTCAAAGACACTAAACACATTCCTCAAGATCCCTTACTCCAATTCTCAAGGACCAATTCCCCACTCAACCAATCCTGCCAGGCCAGGGGCAGAGCTGGCAGGAAGAATAGAGATCCAAAAAAAAAAAAAACCGTCATAGCTTTCATGGGTTATTAGCTCCTGTTCTTTTATAGGAGCTCCTATTAGCTCCTATTCTTTTATAGGTAGAATAGTTCACCTGAAATTAATCTGATACTATCAACTTTCCTATATCATAATAGCAGAGGAATGGGCATATTTAAAGTGCAAATTAATACAGGTAGGGGTATGTGTGTGTGTATCTGTGGGCAAGTAAGATTAAAGCTTCATGGATCAGGCAACCAAACCTGAGTCAAAGTATCCATCTTCATGTCAGCTGTTTCAGGCTTAATAAACTGCAATAAAAGCAAATACCCCCACAAAGGAATGACTACTTAAAAGGCACTTTAAAAGCCCCCCTGGCCGGGTGTGGTGGCTCACACCTGTAATCCCAGCACTTTGGGAGTCCGAGGTGGGTGGATCACCTGAGGTCGCGAGTTCGAGACCAGTCAGGCCAACATGGTGAAACCCCATCTCTACTAAAAATACAAAATTATCCAGGCATGGTGGTATGTGCCTGTAATCCCAGCTACTAGGGAGGCTGAGACAGGAAAATCACTTGAACTCGGGAGGCGGAGGTTGCAGTGAGCTGAGATTGCACCATTGCACTCCAGTCTGGGCAACAAGAGTGAAACTCTGTCTCAGAAAGGAAAAAAACAAAAACAAAAAAGAACTCCCCTTTGCAAGCTGTAGTTTACTTCCTCCTTCCAGCATGCAGGGTAGATCTCTTTGGTTGAGAACATTCAAAATTACTGGACAGGAGTGGGGATGTGGTTGGGGTTGGCCATGTAAGTTACTTTCTACTTTGCTGGCTCAGAGCAGTGAGCACTGTAAGGAGTACAGAGCAGGTGCTTCAGGCATCAGGTAACTCAGCTTAGCTCTGAGTGCTGCTACCCAGGTTTCTATAGATGTCCAAGGAAGCCTCAGAATCAAGCTCCAAGAGGTTCAGATAGGAGAATAACCTGCGATCTGCATTGTTTGCAATCCCTTGGAATACAGGTTACAGCCCACTTTCCTTCTCATGCCTGCTCTTTCTTCTTTCTTAAACCTGGAGGAATGTTTGCACCATGGAAGCCCAGAGGGAAGAAAGGCTGCTATGGGTCTTGCCCCCGCAGAACTCAGCCAGCAGCCACAGTTGCTCAGTAGCAAGTGGTACCCACAGTTCAAGGCCCCAGATCCCACTGCAACACGTGGACTAGGCATGTGCTGTGAAAAGCCCAGATGGAGCCAGAAAAAAGCTGTGGCTTAGTTTACTTAAGGGAGACAGGAAAAGCCTCACATGGCAGGTAGCTAGCAGGTACTTGACAAGAGGAAATGTGCCAGGCATGCAACGGGGTGGGCTACAGTGAAGGGTGGGGTTAGCATCCATAAATGGGTCCTACTGAAGCAAGAAAGCCTGGATAATCCCAGGTTTTCTCATCTTCATCCTAACCAAGTGGTGAGGATCAAGCCCCGTTCTATTCCTGAGAATACGGCAGGATGGGCTATTTGTACCATCCCACCCCGGGGCAGAATGAAAGATGCTGAGTAACAGTAACTTTTAAAGAGCAAAAGTTTCTAATTTTGATGAAGTCCAATTGACTTTTGCTTTTATAGTTCACACTTTTGGTGTCATATGTAAAAAACCTGTGCCAAACACAAAGACACTAGGATTTTCTCCTGTTTTCTTATTTATTTATTTACTTATTATACTTTAAATTCTGAGGTACAGGTGCAGAATGTGCAGTTTTGTTACATAGGCATACATGTGCCATGGTGGTTTGCTGCACCCATCAACTCGTCACCTACATTAGGTATTTCTTTTAATGCTATCCCTCCCCTAGCTTCTCACCTGCCGACAGGCCCCAGTGTGTGATGTTCCCCTCGCTGTGTCCATGTGTTCTCCTTGTTCATCTCCCACTTATGAGTGAGAACGTGCAGTGTTTGGTTTTCTGTTCCTGTGTTAGTTTGCTGAGGATGATGGTTTCCAGCTTCATTCATGTCCCTGCAAAGGACATTAACTCGTCCTTTTTTATGGCTGCAAAGTATTCCATGGTGTATATGTGCAAGATTTTCTTTATCCAATCTATCATTGATGGACATTTAGGTTGGTTCCAAGTCTTTGTTGTTGTGAATAGTGCCGCAATAAACATACATGTGCATGTGTCTTTATGGTAGAATGATTTAAAATCCTTTGGGTATATACCCACTAATGGGATTGCTGGACAGAATGGTATTTCTAGTTCTAGATCCCTGAGGAATCGCCACACTGTCTTCCACAATGGTTGAACTAATTTACACTCCCACTGATAGTAAAAGTGTTCCTATTTCTCCACATCCTCACCAGCACCTGTTATTTCCTGACTTTAATAATCACCATTCTAACTGGTGTGAGATGGTATCTAATTGTGGTTTTGATTTGCATTTCTCTAATGACCAGTGATGATGAGCTTTTTTTCATGTTTGTTGGCTGCATAAATGTCTTCTTTTGAGAAGTGTCTGTTCATATCCTTTGCCCACTTTTTAATGGGGTTGTTTGTTTGTTTCTTGTAAATTTGTTTAAGTTCTTTGTAGATTCTGGATATCAGCCCTTTGGCAGATGGATAAATTGCAAAAATTTTCTCCCATTCTGTAGATTGCCTGTTCACTCTGATGATAGTTTCTTTTGCTGTGCAGAAGCTTTTTAGTTTAATTATATCCCATTTGTCAATTTTGACTTTTGTTGCCATTGCTTTTGGTGTTTTAGACATGAACTCTTTGCCCATACCTATGTCTTGAATGGTATTGCCTAAGAATCTTCTATCATTTTTATGGTTTTAGGTCTTACATTTAAGTCTTTAATCCATCTTGAGTTAATTTTTGTATAAGCTGTAAGGAAGGGGTCCAGTTTCAGTTTTCTGAATATGGCTACCAGTTTTCCCAACACCATGTATTAAATAGGGAATCCTTTCCCCATTGCTTGTTTTTGTCAGGGTTGTCAAAGATCAGATGGTTGTAGATGTGTGGTGTTATTTCTGAGGCCTCTGTTCTGTTCCATTGGTCTATATATCTGTTTTGGTACCAGTACCATGCTGTTTTGGTTACTGTAGCCTTGTACTATAGTTTGAAGTCAGGTAGTGTGATGGCTCCAGCTTTGTTCTTTTTGCTTAGGATTGTCTTGGCCATGCGGGCTCTTTCTTGGTTCCATATGAGATTTAAAGTAGTTTTTTCCAATTCTGTGAAGAAAGTCAATGGCGGCTTGATGGGGATAGCATTGAATCTATAAATTACTTTGGGCAGTATGGCAATTTTCACGATATTGATTCTTTCTATCCATGAACATGGAATGTTTTTCTATTTATTTGTGTCCTTTCTTATTTCCTTGAGCAGTGGTTTGTAGTTCTCCTTGAAAAGGTCCTTCACATCCCTTGTAAGTTGTATTCCTAGGTATTTTATTCTCTTTGTAGCAATTGTGAACAGGAGTTCACTCATGACTTGGCTCTCTGTTTATTATTGGTGTATAGGAATGCTTGTGATTTTTGCACATTGATTTTGTATCCTGAGACTTTGCTGAAGTTGCTTATCAGCTTAAGGAGATTTTGGGCTGAGATGGTGGAGTTTTCTAAATATACAATCATGTCATCTGCAAACAGAGACAATTTGACTTCCTCTTTTCATATTTGAATACACTTTATTTCTTTCCCTTGCCTGATTGGCCTGGCCAGAACTTCCAATACTATGTTGAATAGGAGTGGTGAGAGAGGGCATCCTTGTCTTGTGGTGGTTTTCAAAAGGAATGCTTCCAATTTTTGCCCATTCAGTATGATATTGGCTGTGGGTTTGTCATAAATAGCTCTTATTATTTTGAGATATGTTCCATCAATACCTAGTTTATTGAGAGTTTTTAGCATGAAGGGTGTTGAATTTTGTCGAATGCCTTTTCTGCATCTATTGAGATAATCGTGGTTTTTGTCATTGGTTCTGTTTATGTGATGAATTACCTTGATTGATTTGCTTATGTTGAACCAGGCTTGCATCCCAGGGATGAAGCCAACTTGATCATGGTGGATAAGCTTTTTGATGTGCTTCTGGATTCAGTTTGCCAGTATTTTATTGAAGATTTTCACATCAATGTTCATCAGGAATATTGGCCCGAAATTTTCTATTTTTGTTGTGTCTCTGCCAGGTTTTGGTATCAGGATAATGCTGGCCTCATAAAATGAATCAGGGAGGATTCCCTCTTTTTCTATTGTTTGGAATACTTTCAGAAGGAATGGTACCTTCTACCAGAATTCGGCTGTGTACCTCTGGTAGAATTCGGCTGTGAATCCATCTGGTCCTGAACTTTTTTTGGTTGGTAGGCTATTAATTGCTGCCTCAATTTCAGAACTTGTTATTGGTCTATTTAGGGATTCGACTTCTTCCTGGTTTAGACTTGGGAGGGTGTATGTGTCCAGGAATTTATCCATTTCTTCTAGATTTTCTAGTTTATTTGGGTAGAGGTATTTATAGTATTCTCTGATGGTAGTTTGTATTTCTGTAGGATCCTCTTTATCATTTTTTATTGCGTGTATTTGATTCTTCTCTCTTTTCTTCTTTATTAGTCTGGCTAGTCGTCTATCTATTTTGTTGATCTTTTCACAAAACCGACTCCGGATTCATTGATTTTTTTCGAAGGGTTTTTTGTGTCTCTATCTCCTTCAGTTCTGCTCTGATCTTAGTTATGTCTTGTCTTCTGCTAGCTTTTGATTTGTTTGCTCTTGCTTCTCTAGTTCTTTTAATTGTGATGTTTCAGTGTCGATATTAGATCTTTCCTGCTTTCTCTTGTGGGCATTTAGTTCTGTAAATTTCCCTCTACACACTGCTTTAAATGTATCCCAGAGATTCTGGTACATTGTGTCATTCTCATTGGTTTCAAAGAACATCTTTATTTCTGCCTTCATTTCATTACTCAGTAGTCTTTCAGGAGCAGGTTGTTCAGTTTCCATGTAGTTGTGCAGTTTTTAGTGAGTTTTATTAATCTGAGTTCTAATTTGATTGCACTGTGGTCTGAGAGACTGTTACGATTTCCATTCTTTTGCATTTGCTGAGGAGTGTTTTACTTCCAATTATGTGATCAGTTTTAGTATAAGTGTGATGAGGTGCTGAGAAGAGTGTATATTCTGTTGATTTGGGGTGGAGAGTTCTGTAGATGTCTATAAGGTCCACTTGGTCCAGAGCTGAGTTCAAGTCCTGAATATCCTTGTTAATTTTCTTCTCATTGATCTATCTAATATTGACAGTGGGGTGCTAAAGTCTCCCATTCTTATTGTGTGGGAGTCTAAGTCTCTCTGTATGTCTCTAAGAACTTGCTTTATGAATCTGAGTGTTCCTGTATTGGGTGCATTTATATTTAGGGTAGTTAGCACTTCTTGTTGCATTGATCCCTTTACCACTATGTAATGCCCTTGTCTCTTTTGATCTTTGTTGGTTTAAAGTCTGTTTTATCAGAGACTAAGATTGCAACCCCTGCTTTTTTTTGCTTAGCATTTGCTTGGTAAATATTCCTCCATCCCTTTATTTTGAGCCTATGTGTGTCTTTGCACGTTAAATGGGTCTCCTGAATACAGCACACCGATGGATCTTGACTCTTTATCCAATTTGCCAGTCTGTGTCTTTTAATTGGGGCATTCAGCCCATTTACATTTAAGGTTAATATTGTTATGTGTGAATTTGATCCTGTCAAATTTGATGCTAGCTGGTTATTTTGCCTGTTAGTTGTGAATTTTCTTCATAGTGTTGATGGTCTTTACAATTTGGTATGTTTTTGCAGTGGCTGGTACCAGTTGTACCTTTCAGTGTTTAGTGCTTCCTTCAGGAGCTCTTGTAAAGCAGGCCTGGTGGGGACAAAATCTCTCTGCATTTGCTTGTCTGTAAAGGATTTTATTTCTCCTTCTCTTATGAAACTTAGTTTGGCTGGATATGAAATTCTGGGTTGAAAATTCTTTTAAGAATGTTGAATATTGGCCCCCCACTCTCTTCTGGCCTGTAGGGTTTCTGCAGAGAGATCCACTGTTAGTCTGATGGGCCTCCCTTTGTGGGTAACCTGACCTTTCTCTCTGGCTGCCCTTAACATTTTTTCCTTCATTTCCACCTTGGTGAATCTGACGATTATGTGTCTTGGGGTTGCTCAAGGAGTATCTTTGTGGTATTCTCTGTATTTCTTGAATTTGAATGTTGGCCTGTCTTGCTAGGTTGGGGAAGTTCTCCTGGATAATATCCTGAAGAGTGTTTTCCAACTTGGTTCCATTCTCCCTGTCACTTTCATGTTCACCAATGCTCTGTGGTGGCTGGGACCCACCAAGCCAAACCACTTGGCTCCCTGGCTTCAGCCCCTTTCCAGGGCAGTAATGGTTCTGTCTCACTGGCGTTCCAGGCACCACTGGGTTATGGGAAAAAAAAATTCCTGCTGCTAGCTCAGTGTCTGCCCAAATGGTCACCCAGTTTTGTGCTTGAAACCCAGGGCCCTGATGGCGTAGGATTGGAGGGGATCTCCTGTTCTGCAGGTTACAAAGACATTGGGAAAAGTGCAGTATCTGGGCTGGAGTGCACTGTTCCTCAGGCACAGTCCCTCACGGCTTCCCTTGGGTAGGGAGAGAATTCCGACCCCTTGCACTTCCCAGGTGAGGCAACGCCCCACCCTGCTTTGGCTCGCCCTCTGTGGGCTGCACCCACTGTCCAACCAGTCCCAGTGAGGTGAACTGGGTACCTCAGTTGGAAATGCAGAGATCACCTGCCTTATGCCTCAATCTCACTGGGAGCTGCAGACTAGAGAGGTTCCTGTTTGGCCATCTTCCCAGCAATCCGTTTTCTTCTAGGAGTGTTGTATTTTTAGCTCTTACATTTAGGCCTATGATCCATTAGGAATTAAACCTGATATATGGTGTTAAGAAGGGCTGGAGCTTTTTAAAAACGTATCCAGTTGTTCCACGACAATTTGTTGAAAAAATTATGCTGCCCCCATTGAATTGCCTTTCCACCTTTGCCAAAACCAAGTGATTATATATGTGTAGTTCTATTTCTGGATTCCATAAAATTTCATGTATCTATGACTACCTTTATACCAATATACTATCCTGATTCTTGTAGCTTTGAGAACTAGGCAGCCGCTTGGGCTGACACTGGATCCATCACTGAAGGGGGTCCACCGAACCACAAGCATGTAGCCACAAGCGCAATCCCAGATGAGCCCCCAAATTTGTAACTGCCCAAGGGATTCACCTTGCCCGCTGCCTAGACAGAGCCTATTCATCAAGACAGGGGAATCAAAATAAAGAAAGAGTAATTCATGCAGAGCCAGCTGTGCGGGAGATCGGAGTTTTATTATTACTCAAATCAATCTCCTCCTGTAGCTTTGAAGTGAGCCTTGCAGGTAGTGTGACCTCTCCAAATTTGTTATTTTTAAGTTGTTTTAGCTATTGTAGGTCCTATGCTGTTAAATACAATTTTTGAGACAGGGTCTTGCTGTGTCACCCAGGCCGGAGAGCAGTGACACAATCACTGCTTATTGCAGTCTGGACTTCCCAGGCTCACGTGATCCTCCCATCTCAGTCTCCTGAGTAGCTGGGACTACAGATACGTGCTCAGCTAATTTTTGTATTTTTTGTAGAGGCAGGGATTTACGATGTTGCCCAGGCTGGTCTCAGACTTCTGGGCTCAAGCCATCCGCCCACCTCAGACTCCCAATGTCCTAGGATTATAGGTGTGAGCCACTGTACCCAGCATAAATATAAATTGTAAAACCAAATTTTTTCATAAGCTTCTATCCAAAAAAAAAAAAAAAAAAAGCCATTTGGGGCTGGGTGCAGTGGCTCATGCCTGTAATTCCAGCAATTTGGGAGGCCAAGACAGGTGTATCACTAGAGTGAGACCAGCCTGACCAACATAGCAAACCCCATCTCTACTAGAAATACAAAAATTAGCCAGGCATGATGGCACACACCTGTAGTCCCAGCTACTTGGGAGGCTGAGGCACAAGACTCACTTGAACTCGGGAGGCAGAGATCATGCCACTACACTCCAGCCTAGGCGACAAAGTGACACTCTCCAAAATAAATAAATAAATAAAAGGCCATTTGGAATTGGTTAAGACTGGGCTAAATCTTTTAGGGGGAAACTGACATCTTCAGTACACTGAGTTTCTGATCCATGAACACAGTATATATCCCACTTAAGTCTTCATTGATTTCTCTCAGCAACCTTTTGAAGTTCTCACTGTATTGCACAGGTCTTCCTGATCTTTTGTCAGACTTATTCCTTAGATTTTGATAATTTTGGACATTATAAACTGTATTCCTTAAATTTCAATTCCTGGTTGCACATGGCTAGTACATAGAAATACAATAGATTTTTGTATATTAACCTTGTATGCCAAGCCCATATTAATCCTAATAGCTTTTAGGTAGATACTATCAGATATTCTACAAGTTGTCTCTGGCAGGTTTTAATTCTTCTTTCCCAATGCCTTTTTCTTTTTGCCTTACTGTGCTGGCCAGAACTACCATAAAATGTTCAGAAGGAATGAGAGTGGGCATCCTTGTACTTGACTTGGTAGCAGGAGGAATGCATCTAGACATTCACTAGGAAGTGTTTGCTGGAGTTTTGTAGAAGTGCCCTATCAAACTGAGGAAATTCCCTTTAAATCTTAAAGCTTTTATCTTAAATTACTAGTATGGAATCATCAAATCATTGAATTTCTGTATCTATTAATTTAATCATATGATTTTCCTCCTCTATAATTAATAGTGAATTACATTAACTTCCAAATGTTAAACCTGCCTTGCATTCCTAAGATAAACTCTGTTTGGTCAAGATGCATTATCCTGGCCGGGCATAGTGGCTCACACCTGTAATCTCAGCACTTTGGGAGGACAAGGTAGGTGGGTCACTCGAGGCCAGGAGTTTGAGACCAGCCTGGCCAACATGGCAAAACCCCATCTCTACTGAAAATACAAAAATTAGCTGGGCTGGTGGTGCATACCCGTAATCCCAGCTACTCAGGAGGCCAAGGCACAAGAGTTTCTTAAACCCAGGAGGCAGAGGTTGCAGCAAGCCGAGATCCCACCACTGCACTCCAGCCTGGGCAACAGAGTGAGACCCTGCCTCCAACAACAACAACAACAACAACAAAAAGTGTAATCCTTTTTATTTAACTTGTTGGACTTGATAAAACTCTAAGAATTCTTGTGTTGATGTTCATGAGGGATAATTGTCTTCTTTTCTTGCAATGTCTGATTTGGGGATCAAAGCAATGCTGGCCTCAGAGACAGAACTGAGTATTCTTTCCTCTTATATTTCTTGTGAGAGGTTGTGCAGAATTAGTATTATTCCCTTAAATACGTGGCAACATTTACCACTAAAGCTACCTATGTCTACCGTTTTCTTTGTGATAACACATCTTTCATAGAGCTATGTAGGTTTTCCACTTCTTCCTAAGTAAACTAATTTGTATCTTTTAAGGAATCTGCATGGGTTCATCTAAATTGTCAAATGTATTCCTAGAAGTTATTCGTAATAGTCTCTTATTATTGTTGTAATATCTGTAGAATCTGTAGTGAAGCTACCTAATTTCTGACATTGGTAATCTATCTTTTCTCCTGATCAGTCTAAAGAGAATTTTCTTGAGCTTCTCAAAGAACCAGCTTTTGGTTAATTAATTTTCTATATTTTCTCTTCCTAATGTCTAATTTCTGTTTTACTTGCATGATTTCCCCTTTTCTGTGTACACTTTTAATTTGGTCTTTTTTTCCTAGTTTCTTAAAGTGGAAGCTGAGGTCACTGATTTGAGACCTTTTTTTCTAACACAGGCATTGAGCCCTATAAATTCCCCTCAGTACTGCTTTACTTGCATCACGGGATACAAAGCCGACACAAAAGCCAACTGTATTTCTATACACCAGCAATGAACAAGTAGAAACCAAAAATCAGAAAAACAATACCATTTACAACAGCTCCAAGAAAATAGTTACAAATCTAAGAAAATATGTACAAGATCTGTATGCTAAAACTATAAAATGCTGAAGAAAGAAACTAAACATGCAAATAAATGGAGAGACACGTCATGTTCACGGATTAAAAGGCGATCATAAATATGTTAATTCTCCCCAAACTTATCTATAGATTTAATGCAATTCTAATCAAAATCCCAGCAGGACTTTTGTAGCTAAGCTAATCCTAAAATTTAAATGGAAAGGTAACACTGATACAATAGTCAAAATAATTTTAAAAGAAAAATAAAATTGGAAGAATTATATTACCAGATTTTAATACTTATTACAAAGCTATAGTCATCTTGACTTATGTGGTATTGGCAAAAGGAGAGATGTACAGATCAATGGGAGAAAATAAAAAGTCTAGAAATAGACCCATACCAATATGGCTAATTCCTGACAAAGATATAAAAGAAATTCAGCAGAGAAAGGATAGTCTTTCCAACAAATGGTGCTGGAACAACTAGACATCCATCCATATGCTCCTAAACACAAACAAAAAACATAAACCTCATACTTAAAAAAAACTTAAAATAGATCATAAATCTAAACGTTAACATGTAAAATAATAAAACATTTAGAAGAAAACAAAGGAGAATTAGGACCTAGGACTAGACAATAGTTTCTTAGACATGACAAAAAAATCACACTCTATTTTAAAAATTTAATTAATTGGACTTCATCAAATTAAAATTTTTGTTCTCTGAAAAACACTGGTAAGTAAACAAAAAGACAAGCTGGGCTAGGCATGGCGGCTCATGCCTACAATCTCAGCATTTTGGGAGGCCAAGGCAGAAGGATCACTTCAGGCCAGGAGTTCGAGACCAGCCTGGCCAACGTAGCAAGATCCCATCTCTAAAAAAAAAAAAAAAAAAAAAAAAAAATTTTTTTTTTAAAGACAAGCTACAGACTGGGAGAAAATGCTGCAAAACACATATCTGACAACATATTTGTATCCATAATATGTAGATTCTTAAACCCAATGGTAATATAACAATCCAATTTTAAGATGAACAAAAGATTTGAAGACTCTTCACCAAAGACATACAGATGACAGAAATGCACATGAAAAGATGTTCACCATCAGCCATTAGGGAAATTCAAATTAAAGCCATGATTAGATATCAGTACACACCTATCAGAATGGCTAAAATAAGAAACAGACAATACCAAGTGCTGATAAATATGCAGACCAATTGGAATTACCTTTCTGCTGAATAACAACTTTTTCTTAAACACACTATGTAAAGATGCTTTAAGTGATATTTTGATATTGTGCTTTTAGACAGACACACTCGCCAATTGACTCAGTACAAGTGTCTAGTCAGAGAATATAGGGAAAAAAATTTGAATTGCACAACATATGTGAACAAAACATAAAATGCTTTTCTTGGCATGGGTAGAAACTTCCAGACTTCCGTCTATTGTGTTCACTATTTCCTCATTTTTAAAAGTGTTCTTGGATTTAGGCTTTATTTTGTCCTTAAGCAGAACTTCTGAAAAAGTTCAAATAGTAAACATATTCAGCTTTGCATGGAGGGGCCTCTGCTGCACAACTTAACACTGCCCTCGGAGCAGAGCAACTGGAGACAACAATGGAAATGGGCATTTCCATTGCTTGTGTTTCGATAAAACTTTAAAGAACCGACTGTGGCTGGATTTGGCCCACAGGCCATAGTTTGACAACCCGGGGCTACAGTAGCAGATATATGCATTCAGAAGGCAGCAGTAGGCAGCTCACAGGCAGGACCACAGCCAGCTTTCATTGGTTCTAAGCATTTAATTAGCAGCTGCCTGGTTTTGCTGGGGAAATATCTCGCTGCTTGCAAGCACTGGTCCCAAGGTGGTCTCAAGGGATACCCCTTTTCTACTCAGACCTCATGCTTCACCAGCACATAGATGCTCTCAAGTCCATTTGCACCTGAGCAGCACGGGTGGAGCCTGGGGAATGGAGAGGGTAGGGGACTAAGTGGCAGGGCCGTGTCAAGACCCAGGTCTTTCCCAATGAACAAACTCCCCTTTACAAACAGGGAGCACCCCAAAAAATAGGAAGGAGCTCCACCTGCCCCATCGTGACAGTAACTGACGTGTTCCTCAAGGGTTATCCAGGCAGTGGAACCACTCACTGCAGCAGCATCTCCGAGGGTGGGGGCCTGCACCTGGTGATCCTGAGGCACACCGCAGGTGATGGAACAGTACCTTCGTCCTGCAGGCCACTGGTGGCCCAAGACACACAGCTACAGGGCTGGGACTGAGGCGCCCAGTCTTCATGGTATCAACAGCAGGCTTGAAGGAATATACTTTATTAATCTACCTCCCAAACGCTAAAATGCCAAAGACTAAAATGCTAACATTCAGCTAAATTAAAACAACTATTTACAGAGCACTGTCTGCAGGCCATGTGGGGCTGGGCCCATTTCTTCCCCACCCACCCACCCAGCCCATCCTCCAAACAGGCCTGGGGCCACCTGCCACCTGCAGCAGAAACACCCAGCACAGAGGACGTTTATATACACCTGGCCAAGCCCTCCACAATGGCATGCCAAGAAGGAGGGCAACAGACCAAGACAGAGACCGACAGACAGACAGATAGACATGGACAGGAGGCGAGGCTGCCAAGAAGGCCGCAGGCCAGCCTCAGTGCTTCTTCAGGCTGTAGGCCAGGCTGCTGGGGACCCTGGCGCCCTGCAGGGGCGGTGAGTTCCAGACAGCAGAGCTGGTGCGCTTGTGATAGCGGGGCTTGCTCTTCTTGAAGATATCCTCCAAGTCCAGTGGGAGAATGGTTCCAAAGAGCTCCAGAAGGTTCGGTGGGTGGTAGTACTGGTGAATGATAGCCTGGCTGAGCGGGGTGCCTGCAGGAGACCACAGACCAGACACTGCCTTGGGGCTCTCCATGAACCTCCCCATCCCTTGCCCACCACAGAGCCCTGTCACCCTCTCCAACCTCCCTACAGAGAGCTCTGTCACCCTCTTCAGCCCTGCCCCTGCCTGTACCACCATCAAACCCAGAGAACGCCCTTGTGTCACATCCTTCCAACCTTCCTCTGGCAGCTTAACCTTACAAAGTCCTTGAGAGCTCGCATGAGCCAGGCACTCCTTGAACCTGTCCCGACCACCACCTGGGAGGCAGGTTCTGTATTCTCCCATTCAGCAGATTTGCCCAAAGGCATACAGCTAATAATGGCAGAGCCTGTGTTTGAAGACAAGCCCAGTTCCAGAGCTTAAGCATAGGATGCCATCCTTGACCACCTTGGCCAGCTGCTTCTCACAGACCCCACAGGCCCTGGTGCAGTGCTGAGGGGGCCTCTGGGCAGTGGATGTGGGAAGGCACAGTCCTGACAACGGGGCTGAGGAAGACCCAGGGGATCAGGAGGCCAGACATGCACCAGCACTTGCTCAGCACCAGGTGCGGCTCTAAGGGCCAGCCGTGAGCTCACTCATGTCACTCTCAACAGAACTCCTCAGCTGGGTCTTGTCTTCACCCCCCTTTCACGGATGAGGAAACTATTTAAGTAAGCTGTTCAAAGTCACCTCCGATTAGATGGCTTTGCAAGCGAGCTGGCTCCTGCTCACTGCCATCTCCCAAATGACTTGACACTAGTAGTTAAGAGGCTTAAAGCACATGCCAGTTACTGTAGGGTTCAGATGAGGTGAAACTCACAAAAACAAGTTTCTGTAGTGTGCCTACCAGCTATGGGATTCCAGGCCCTTCCCTCTGGGGCGTCTGCACCCCTCCCTGACTTCCGGCTCAGCAACCACTGCAAGGCACCCATGGTACCCACGGGCCCCATCCACTCTGGCAGCACCCACTTCTAGCACCTACCCTGCTCACTCAAGCTGGCCTTGCACTCAGGCCTGAGACATTGCAGTCACGCTCACCCACATTCTGGTTTAATGCTGGGGCCTGTAAACTCCAGGTCAGATCCTGCTCAAGTGCCTCATGCACTCCTCAAGGACTTTCCTGCCTCCCCGAGCTGGCTGGAAGCCCCAGGCTCCAGCTTGGTGTTCTGCCTAAACCCTTCCCCATTCTAGCTCTGCCTCTGCCCCAGGTGGCTTACTTAGGTCCAAGTCTCTTCAGCCCTGCTGGATGGGACTCTAAGGAAGGGCCTAGTCCAAGTCAGGACACCCAGCAGCATATGCCATGCCCAAGCCCAGCACAATTTCATATATTTGTTGAGAACAAAGGAACCCAACCTCATAGGTCTGGTCCTCAGGAAAGCACAATGACCACAGGGTGCCCCACACTCCCCAGGGCACATGCATACCCAAGGCTAGAGCCTCGAACTGCCAACTGAAGCACACGGCAGCCTCCCAACACCGCAGCAGCCAACCCACTACTTCCAGGGCCCTCAAGGTGAGGACCAGGGAGGGCCTGAGTCTCCCAGGGAGCTGTGGGCTTTGCTTACCTCGGGCCCAGGTGGGGATGGGCTTCCGGGGATGGGCCTCATCATCGGTGGAGTCGTCGCTATTCAGATCCATCCCGTAGTTATCTGGGTTGATCTTGGGAGGGGCCCTGTGCCCTTGCGGAGTCATCTGATATGAGGTACAAGCTGGAGACTGCAAAAACAAACGTGGCCGTCAGTTCCCTCCATGGCATTCCCATCTCTCACCACCGAGGAGTGCTGGGGCACTGCTCACCTCCTCCTATTTCACAGGAGAAACAAAAGGTGCAGGATCACTTTTTCTTTTTTTTTGAGACAGAATCTCACTGTCGCCCAGGCTGGAGTGCAGTGGTGTGATCTCGGCTCACTGCAACCTCCGCCTCCCAGGTTCAAGAGATTCTCATGCCTCAGCTTTCCCAAGTAGCTGGATTACAGGTGTGCACCACCACACCCGGCCAATTTTTTGTATGTTTAGTAGAGACTGGGTTTCACTATGTTGACCAGGCTGGTCTCGAACTCCTGACCTCAAGTAATCTGTCCCCTTGGCCTCCCAATATGCTGGGATTACAGGCGAGAACCACTGCACCAGGCCTACTTTTTAATTTTAAAAAGTCACAGAACACACACGACTCTGTATCTCCTTTTTTGATGCTAAGGTGTATTGCAAACTTTCTTCCAGGTCAGTGTGTCTAGAATCCTCCTGGGAACCACTAAGGAGACTCCAGGATTTGCAACGTAACCATCCATCATTGACAGATACCATACTAACTTCCAAGTTTTCCACATCTTAACAATGCTGCAATGAAAACATTGTTTTGTTTGGTAACAGCAGTGAAGTGAAAATAGATCAAATGCTCATCAAGAGGAGCCGGCTGAATTCCAGCACAATTAAGGTACACAGCCATCAAAACTAAGAAATTGACCTGTGTTGAAATAGACAGATGTCTATAATATACTAAGTGAAAAAAAACCATGGGGGTTGGGGGCCTGGAAATCAAGCCACCAAATGGTATGTGCCCATTTTAAATATGTATGTGTATGGGTGAAAGAGAGAGAGAGAGAGAGAGGATATCTGTGTGTGTGTTAAAAGGGTTACATAAGTAAAAATCTAGAAGGATATACAACGCGCTTAGTAGAGTTTTCCTGAGGGTCCCTTTTTTTAAAACTGTATACTCTTCTATAAAGTTTAGTTCCTTTTTATCCCCCACCTCAACAAATTCTACTTTTAGAATAACAAAGAATATAAAAAGAAGTAAAAACAATTGGGCCAAGTGTATCTGTCCTTTTCCTTAGGGGCCTAACACAGCCTGTGCCTCTAGCTACTGGGAAGAGAATAGAGTGGGCCCCTCCACCTGAGAGCCTCTCCACTGGGGCCCAGGTGGCACCTGCACGTCCACAGTCACATTCAGGGCCTTGCTGGCCCCTGCTGCCTCCTTGGCTTTCTTCTCTTGCTCCTCCTGCAGCTGCCGCTCAGCCAGACGCTGCTGCTCTTCCTGGAACCCAGGTGGCAATGGGGTGTTAGGGAGCTGTGCAGGTGCCCTTCCCTCCCCTCCCCTTCCCTCCGCTCCATTCTCCTCCCTTTCCCTCCCCTCCCTAGGCAGCCCCTGCTGCAGGAGTCCAGACCCGCCCACAGCTCAGGGCAGACCCCAGGGGAGCCCGCAACCCAGCTCCCCTCACCTTCTTCTTCTTCTCCTCCAGTTCCCTCTGCAGCTGCTCCTTCTGCAGCCGCAGGGCCTTCTCCCGCTCCTGCAGCTCCCTGAGGACCCAGCAAGAGCCTGTTAGGACAGGAAGTGGAGGCCCAGCCCAAGCCCTGTTCCCATCCCTGCTGGGGAAACCAGGCCCAGCCAGTAGGACACACCTTAGAAAGTGGGATTGCTGAATGGGCAACCAGCTTAGAGCCAAGAGCTGCGCTTTTGCCCCGGGGCTAGAAGTGTGCACACCTGAGGGTGCAGGGAACACAAGCTGGAGCCCAACATTTGGCCCCCACTTTTCCTTGTAACTTGGGTCTCTGAGCCTCATAACACTTTTATACAATGGAGACCATAACACATTTCCTCCAGGGTCAACATGAGAATCAAATGGGATAATCCACAATACCCCTTTTTATCCTAACCTTCAGGGCAGACACTGGCTCCAAGCATGAACAAGAGGCTGTGGATGAGTTCTGGAGTCACCTCCACAACACACTGGCTCATGACTTTGAACATGTCATTTAACCTCTCTGGACCTGTTTCCCCCTGTGTGAAGTGGAGCTGATGGCTCCCATGCCACCATGGGCTTCAACTGAGGACTAAACAAGGAAACAGGTGTAAAGCATGCAGCTCGGGTACCCACCAAAGCTGCCGACACTATGACTATCACACCGCCACCCTCAAAGCCCCCTGCTCTGCCCAGCACCCTGCACATTAGCTACACCCTACGCCTTCTCGCCTTCCCAGACTCTGCCCAGAGGACCAAGGACAGCTTTGTCCCCATCAAGCAGCCCTGACTCAGTGCAGCCCCCTGGCTGTGACTCTTCACTTATCTGATAAACCTGAAGCCACCCACGAAGATGGACACGGAAAAAACGTGCTGCCCGGTGTTTCCCAGGAGGTAGAGCGGGAGAGGGAACAGCTACGGGGCCTGCATGTCTCACACACACGGGCCTTGTGCTCTACTTCTGTGCACACAGACACAGGATCCCATGTATCTCCTGACCAACAGTGAGTGTGGCTTTTCCTCCTTGGCAACCCCACGACTCTCAGAACAACCAGGCACAGGGTAGGCCAGGGACAAATGCCTGTAAAACTAAACATGGAACTCTTGTCTATTGTACAGAGACCACTGCATCTGCACAGCTGGAAAATCCCAGGGCTCCTGGGTCCACGGTTCCCAAGGCAGGGGAACAGTCTGAAAATATCGGTAGGGGGTAATCTGAGTTATCGTCCTCACCAGGGGAGATGCATTTAGTGGGGACAGGGGCCAAGGATGCCAAACATCCTGCAATGTAACACAAAGATCTTTCCTGCCCAAAATGCCCATGGTGGCCCTGCTGAGAAATATCAGCTCATCCTCTGAGCACCACACTCCTGACAGTTACAAAAAGACACCTAAGAGGTCAGCACATGCAGCTGGAGGCAGAACCAAGCCAAGCCCTAAGCAAGCCCACCTATCACTCCTTGGATCTCCCATAGCCAATGGGCAGTGTATTCAGGTGGGCCTCTGGGTTTGGTGCCAAGGAAAGCACCTGCAAACCGTCACATGCAGGTGGGGCTGTGTCCAGGCAAGGTTCACACCGTCTCTCTTCCACACACATGGAAGGCAGGCAGGCGGGCCAGCAGGTCCCTCACCTCTCGGCCTGGAGCCGCTCCTGCTCCCGCCGACGCTCCTGCTCTGCCAGCTGTCGCTCCTGCTCGCGCCGCTCCTGCTCCCGCCGCTCCTGCTCGCGCCGCTCCTGCTCGCGCCGCTCCTGCTCCCGCCGCTCCTGCTCCCGCTGCTCTGCCAGCCGCTTAGCCTCGGCCGCCTTCCGCAGCCGCTCCTGCTCCTCTTCCTTCTTCTTCTGCAGCAGCTCTTGGTGCCGCCGCTCTTCCTCCTCCTGAAACAGAGAGCAAGGTCAGGTGCTGCGGCCAGGCCCAGGCCAGAGAGGCAGGACAGCAGCCCTACTCCCCCGAAGCCCAGGTGCCCCTCATATCAGCCACCACCACGGACAACCCAGGAATGGCGCCGTGGGACATCCCGAGCAAGGCTCTGCCAGAACCACCAGCAGCAGCCTGAAAAGGCATCTTGTGACAGCTGCTGCTGCTGTAGATTTAGCAGAAAGGAACCTCGGAGCCAAACTCGCTAGCTATGAAACAACGGGCAAGCATTTAAACCCTCTGGCCTGTTTCCTCGTCTATAAAATGGAGACTGCAGTTATTCCTACACTTCATGGGGTTGCTGGGTTGATACGCACAACACACAGCAGGGCCTAGCACACAGTAAATAACTGACCTTGGTGACTAGTCACATAACCCCTAATGGTGGATTTGCCTTCTCTAGAGTCCTAAGACTGGCTGGGAAGAGGTGGGCCCTTACTCTTATAGGCAGAACAGTCAGGGGGTGGACCATAACAGCAATTGTATAGAACTCTTAGCAGGCATCAGACACTACTGAGCATTTTACAGACATTAACACATTTAACCCTCACTGCTACTTGAAGACATGGAAGCAGAGAGGTCAAGCAGCCTGTAGAAAGTCACACAGCTAATAAATGGCAGAGCTGAGATAGGCAGTCTGGCTCCAAGTACAAGCACTTAACCCTCAAATTACTGCTGCTACAGGAGAGGCAGATTCTGGTCACCATCCCCGCCCTGGAGACTTCTGGGAAACCTCCTTCTTAGCATGAAGCAACAAGATGGTCTGGGTCAACCCCACAAGGTGGGGTGCACCCAGTAGGGCCCCATGGTGCTGAGACAGCGCCCACCCCGCCCACCTCCTCCCTGAGGCCCACCTGTGCTCGCACCTGCTGCAGCCACCTGAGCCTACGTGCCTCCTCTTCCTGCTTCCTGCGTGCTTCCACCTCCTCCATCTTCTTGGCCGCCGCCTTTTTCTTGGCCTTCTCCTCTGCCAGCCGCTCCTCCTTGGCCTGCAGAGCCCACCCACACATGCCCATTGGAGCACCCACATTCAATCCTGCAGAGTGGAGCCCAGAACTGTGTGTGACAGGCCCCACCTGCCCCTGCACACCTGGCTTGTTCCCACCACCCAGGGAGAGGACACCAGAAGCCGGTCCTGCCTGAGTGTCAGACCCCACTCACAAAGGGCTGCCAGGGAAACCCAGAGCTGAGTGGACTCCAGGGCCCATGGGGCAGACAGGAGATGGGTACAGGGGTACAGTGACAAATCTGCAATTTCCTGAGGGGTCCAGTCCTAACCCTTGGCCCAAGTCCTGAATTGCCTGGGCCTCCACAGCCCAGGCTCCCACCTTCTCAGTCTTCTCGTCGATCTGAGCAAACTTCTGCTCAATCTGCTTCTTCTTCTCCTCCTTCATCTGCTCCACCCGCTCGCGGGCCTGCAGCACCTTGCGGAGGCGTTCCTCACGCTTCCTGCGGGGCATAGGATAGTCATGGGGAGCCCCACCAAGGCTGGGATGGGCCACAGTCCAGGAAGCCAGGCCACTTACAGCTTCACCTCCTCCAGCCGCCGCCGCTTGTCCTCCTCCACCTTCTGCCTGCGCAGCTGCTCGGCCTCCTCCTTCCGCCGCAGATTCTCCAGGCGCTGCCGCTCCTTCTCCTGGGGTGGCGGGGAGCGAGGGAGATGGGACATGAGCAAGGACGACCCCCCACCCAGCCCCAAAAGCTGCCCACAGTCCCCAGCAGCCTGCAGCCACGTGGGTGGCAGCATCAGAATGCTTCTTAGGCAGAGGTATCCCCAACGTGGCCCCAACAGCACCCAAGCCAAGGCCCGCAGCTCCCGCCTTTCCTCCCAGGAGCACTCAGCTACCTCGCAAGGGCCTGAGCCACAGTGCCCTCCATTGAGCCCTGCCAAGTTTTGGGCAACACAAAAGTCAGGCTCCAAATAGGATTTATGTGCTAATGACAACTACATAAACTGTGCATTGAAAAAGAAAATGAAGGATGAGCTTGGAAGGGTGAGGAGCAGAAAGGCAGCTCTCCCAATCATGGTGAATGTTCTAGTAAGGGGGTGGTGCAGATGCAAGGTTTAACTTACTACTGTCATGCTTTATAATATCCATACTATATGTATACATATATTCTATTGTGTATATCAACTATTTCATAATAGTTGAAAAAAATAAAAGGAAATATTGACAAATGCTAACAGTCTAGTGAGATGGATTAGGGATGGTATTAATTTTCTTTTATTTTCCAAACTTCCTGTGACATGGCTATGCACTTTTTTTTCTTTTTTTTTTTTTGTGTGGAGACAGAGTCTGCTCTGTCACCCAGGCTGGAGTGCAATGGCGCGATCTCGGCTCACTGCACCCTCCACCTCCCAGGTTCAAGCAATTCTCGTGCCTCAGCCTCGCGAGTAGCTGGAGCTACAGGCATGTGCCACCACACCCAGCTAATTTTTGTATTTCTAGTAGAGGTGGGGTTTCACTATGTTGGCCAGGCTGGTGCTGAACTCCTGACCTCAAGGGATCCGCCTGCCTTGGCCTTCCAAAGTGCTAGGATTACAGGTGTGAGCTACCACACCCAGCTGGCTATGTTCATTTTTAAGGCAACTTTAAAAAAGTACTAGTTGGCTGAAAAGCTGATTGATGCTGGCACCCCCTCCTGGGCAGACACAGAAAGTCCCAGGGGCACAGCCACAGCAATGGGCAGCCAGCAGGGATGGGCAGGGGCTCTAAGCCCTCCCTGGCCAAGGACAAGGCTAGTGCTTTCCCCTTGAACAGTCTGGGGCTGGGTGGAGGCTGGGACCCAGAGGGAAGCCCCACACCCATCACCCCAACCTGGCTCCCAGTAGACTCCCACCTTTAGGCACAGTGTCCAATAGCTTCCCCCTCTTCCTGTACTGGTTACTATCGATTTCTCCTTGGCTTCTGAGCCTAACTGGAGGAGCACTCTCGCCTAGAAATCTGGCTCCAAGGTAATACCATCCTCCCAAAGACGGAGAGAAGGGGTCCCGGGAACGGGTAAGATGGAGTGGACATACTCCACCTCTCTCTCCCACTGAATGCAGCTACAAAACCTGGACAGAATGCAAGGAGCGGCTACTTGAGGCCTCTGAAAACTAAAGAGGAGCAGGCAGATAGGGAAGAAGACCAGACTTGGAAGCACCAGCCAACCAGCAGTGAGTTCTCCATTGTTTTTCTCCAGCCTAACTCAACACAGCCTGGAACTCCAAAGGAGTCACTGGGGCACGGACAGAAAGAATTCCAGGACAAGCCCTCTAGTCCTGACTCAAGCAGCAGAAAGGGAGTATCTAATGCTCAGAGAAGGCAGAAATCCCATTTTTGTTTGTTCTCTTTTCTTCTTTGCCTTGTGCCCCAGCCCACAAGCAGTCCTATGGCAACCAGGGGCAGCAGCAGTTGAAGAAAAGCTGCCAAGTCAAAATTCGAGGGAGGAGCTGTGATCCCAAAAGTGTGGGCCAAACCCTGTGTGTTGCTCTTCTGTCTGTCCCCCTGCCAGGCGACCCTGGACAGAGAAAGCTGCCAAGTCAAAACTCAGAGGAGGAGCTGTGATCCCAAAAGTGTGGCCAAATCCTATGTGTTGTTCTTTCCCTGTCCCCCTGGCAGGTGGCCCTGGACACAGTCGTAGAAGCACACAAAGCAGAACAAGGTAACTGAAGCCCCAGCTTCCTGGCTGGAGGACAGAAAAGGGAGCCCCAGAGGAGATCGGGAAAATGATGCTGCAGGTTATTGACGAACGCCCAGGCTCAGCTCTAAGCTGCAGATGCTAGGATCTGATCCTAATTACCACACCGAAGGCTGAGAACTAAACTAACAGACCACCTGCCAAGTCCCAGGCTGACTGCTGACTGGCACACACCCGGGAAAAGTCCAAACAGCACTGCCATCTTCAAAATCGGGACTAACATTGGAACCAGAGTCCACAGAAGGCAGATGGGAACCTGCAGCCTAAACCTAACCAGGTCAATTGCTACTAAATTGCAATGCTGAGAAAATATCAACATTGTCCATAGATTTAAACAAGACCCAGAGACTCATAGCAGAATGTTCAGGATGCAGTCCAAAATGACTCCGTAGCCCCCTGGTCTCCTAACTATGGACTGTCCCCACCCACTAGATGCTTTGTGCAGGGACCTGGGATCCCCAAAGCAGGAAAGGGGACCACTTCCTGGTCTTCTCTATCACCCTGTGAGACCTGCAGGGCTCTAATCGGCACAGGTGGTAAGGCCACTGGAAGGTATACTGTCAGTCACCCTCTCCAACAAGAGGGGAACAGGCCTCCATGCGGAGAAGCCAGCTCAGGGCCCACCTGGCCAGCTGCTGGGAAGCCCCTCTCACCTGCCGAGGCCCTCAACTGGAGGCAGAAGCCCTCCCGGCTGTCACAGGTGTCCCTGTGTGGCTGCAGAGGACCCTTCAGAAGGCTTGCAGGAACTAAAGGAATGAGGTGTCTGTGGCCTTGGCAAATGGCACAGGGAGCTGGGGCTGCAGGCTAAGCATGTCCCCATCTGAGGGTCCTTGCTCAGGGCCTGCCTGGCTCGGCTCAGCTCTGAGGTGTCTGAGAAGAGAACAGCTTCTGCGACTTGTTTCTAGACGCTACCACCCACTGTTCTACTGTCACCCAGCACAGCAAGACCCAGCACTTCCACCTCAGTTCAGACCCACACTTGCGCTCCCCCATCACCCCACTGCCTCAAGGCTACTGCTCAGGTCTGTGAACCAATAAATCTCAGTAGCTCTGGGGACCACAGACAACCTGTCTGTTCTCTTCAAAGACCCACAGACCCTGACGGGGCCTGGTGCAGGGGAGGAGGGAGGGAAGGTGGCTGTGGAGAACACATCAAGCTGTAGCCCTGGTGAAAAGCCACACCCCCTTGCTTCCTCCTAAGAGCAGAGTCAAGGGCAGGGAGGGCAGAGAAGGACGCTGGGGCCCAGAACTGCTGGGCGCCTCCAGCCAGTGCACCCCTCACCGTCCCACTCTCTTCCTAAGGCTCCCCTCCCGCTTACAATGTTAGTGCATCTACAGGTGCTGTCAGCTACGCAGGGAAGGGGCTACAGCGGGTGAGTGCTAGGTGGGGCGAGGTTACCGACAGGAAAAGGCTTTACTTACGACGAAGCTGCACTGTGGAGGAGACAAGGGAAAAGGCAAGAGTTAATGCCAGGCCGGGGAGCATCCTGCCGGGCAGGCCACATGCCCAGCTGTGCCAGCAAGCCTGCGTGGGGCCTGCCCTCCTGCCAGCAGCACCCCCACCGCCTCTCCTGTCACCCAACCCTCACCCCAGTGGTGGAGGTGTCCACAAGTACCTCTCACCTTAACTACACAGATCCCCAGGGCTCACATTGAGCCGGCCAAGCCTCCAGGCTGTAGTCCAGAGCCCACAAGGTCAAGTGCAGGACAGTGCCCTCAGAGGTCAAGACAGCCGGTGGCCACAGAGGCTTCAACCGGCCCCTAACAGTGCCAGGCCACACTTGCCTCCGCCCAGGCTCACACTACTCCCAGTATCTTACAGGACAGACTGGACCTTCAGCCACACTGCCCAGCTCCCACAAAGCCCGGCCTGGGCACAGGCCCCTCACCTTGGGGTCCATGCGCAGGGGAGTGTTGCGCTTAATAAAGGACTTCATGACGCTGCGTGGGGCTGAGGTCGGGGTCATGAGCATCTGGTTCCTCTGCACTGTGTGCAGAAAGGTCCGGAGGGGCCGTACCACCTGCAGACGAGGACCAGGGTCAGAAGTGGGCAGGCGGGGCAGGGTACTGAAGGGGGTCAGGGCTCCAGGAGAGGGCAGGTGCCTGGCTCACCTTGCTGGCTGGGCAGGGTGAGGAAGGGGTCTTGCTCCTGGGGGGCTGCAGCTCCTCATCCTCCAGGTGCTGCTCCTCGTCCAGCTCACTCACGGCCTGCTTGTAGCTGCGCTTCCTCCTGCCAAGGCGCGGGCGGCGGCATCACAGGGCAGCCCGCCACAGCCCAGCCACACCCCATCAAAAGTCACCCCGGTGAACAATACCGGGCCCAGGCCACAGGCCTCTAGACTGAAAGAGGCTGCAGAGCCTAAGCAACCCTCTGCTGCCCACTCAGAGGAAGGGAGGTGAACAGTCCAAGGTCACATGGCCAGGAGACCACACTAAGACGGGGTCAACAATCGGGTCGCCCTATTCCCAGGTTTGCGCTCATCCACAGCATGGAGCTGCCTCCTTGGTTAAGTCACAACACCAGGCCACACCCCAGCAGAGAGGCTCTGAAGCCCCTGAGCACACATCCACCTTCCCTGAGCAAGGACACAAGGCCACATCCTCCAGGGCCCTCAGAGTTACCTACACACCCCTTCCCGGATGCAAACCTGGCACTCTGCGGTGGCTCTCTGGGTCCATCTGCTTGGTCCGTCTTGGCCTCTGTGAAGACAGCAATTTCAGCAAGGCTGCAGAAACGATGGCGGCGGCAGGGTGGGAATGGGGGTGTAGGGGGAAGGGGTCCTTGGGCAGCAGCCTTGGCAGTGGGCAAGGCTCCCTTCCTGGCAGCTCCGGGGTGGCCAAACGCAGACATATCAGCCTTAACCCTGACTAGCCTTGAGGAATCTACAAGCACTTTGGGAGGCCAAGGTGGGCGGATCCTTGAGGTCAGGAGTTCAGCACCAGCCTGGCCAACATAGTGAAACCCGGCCTCTACTAAAAATACAAATCTACAGATGCCAGGGCCTGGCTACCCCCAGCTCACGAACACCTCCCCGCGAGTGCCTGGCTCTATGATAGGCAAGGCAGGGCGGGACGGTCCTGTCGAGGCGGCAGCCCCAGACGTGCCCCACCCACCTCTGACACGAAGAACAGTGTGTGGACGCCTTGTAGAAGCAGGAGCTCCAAGCCCCTTGCACAGCTTCTAAATTCCACCCCTCCTGGGCCATGCAGCTGGTGTGGCCCTGACAGCAGGAGGGGGCAGCTCCCGCTGCAGGGTCAACATGGAGGGTGTAGGGTCAGTATTGTTTTGTTTCACTGCTAGGAGAAGGTGCACCTTACTCCAAAAGTTCCTCACAGCAGCCCTTGGGGCTGCAGGGCTGGCATGACCATTGTCCCTGACCACGTCGTAAAGAGGAGGAGGCCGTGTTCAAGATCTCACAGCTACAGTGCACTTTCCACCAGAGAGAGGCACCCTTCTCAGGGAGATGTGAGCAGGACCCTGGGACACTCCCAAACCCACTGCTCTCCAGCCCTCTTTAGACAAGGATGGACATACAAAGGTCAGAAAGGAGCTGGCGGGGGAGGCAAAGCAGGAGGCCAGGTGGGGTGTTCAATCCCCAGCCCACAGCTCTTCCCACTGGCCCCTGGAGTCAAGGTCAAGGCCTTGACCTGGCCTCTTCATATCCATACCCCGATGCAGCCCCTTCCTCTGCTTCCTGTCCCAACCAGCCACAGCCCCCCATGCTGCACTCAGTGACAGCTCCAGCCCAACGGTGGGAGGTGAAGTCTACAGACTCAAAAGGGATCTCTGCACCCCCAGGTTTAATTTCTCTTTAGCCTACTGGCCCAGAAAATGGGGCTTCCTTATCCCCAGAGAGAAGGTCAGGCCGAGGCCGCCAAGGCCCGCTGTGGCTCCGGGCACTGCACACGGCAGGTCAGGAAGCCTCACCTTGCTGCCCTGCAGAGGGTGTTTCCGGGCTGCTGGCTGCAGGCTTCGGGTTGGGTGTGCTGTTGGCAATCTCCGTGTCATTGTGGGGCCACGAGTTATTTCCATTGTTCTCAGGGACCTGTGGAAAGAACCAAGGCTTTAGGGGTCTTGACCTGGAACCCAAGGCCCAGGATGGCCGTAGTGCAGAGCGGGAGCCCCAGAGGTGAGTCCTCCCTTCCCCAGGCAGCCGTCTTACCTCTGGCTCAGCTGCCGCCACAGGCTCAGCCTCCTCGGGGGGTTCCTTCTGCTCAGAACTGAAAACAGAAGAGGGACTCTGAGGGGACTGCCCAGCTAGTCCAAGCCCTCCCCCTAGGGAGTCCCTCTACCATTCCAGGGATGGGGACCCAAGAGGTCAACACAAGGTGCCCTGGCCAGGGCCACGAACCCACAGCCCCCTGTAGGATAGGAGGATGGCAGCTCCCGGCAATGGCTCCATGGACAGACGAGGGATGTCAGCTTCAGAATGTGGCTTCATCTCCCTGGCACCCCACCACAGAGCTGTCTCAGGATGTGAGCCCTGTCCTCAGCTCCGCCTCCACCTCTTGGGCCCAGGTGAGCTGCATCTCTTTTGTGGTCTGTTCTCTATTCACCATGGGGCTGGCAAGGCCAGCAGGTCTGCCCTGTCACCCTGTTTCCCCGTCCCAAGAACAAACCCTCTGCTCTGCAGCAAGGAGGGAGGGGGCTGGTTTTAGTGATGGCAGGACACGGCCTCCAGGAAAAGGAGTCTGTGTCCTGGCCCGAAGCAGCACTGGGTGTAATCCTGGAGCACTCCTATCCTACCCCAGCCAGTTTGAATGTAGCTCTTCCTGGCAGCCCCGCCTCACCCCCAACCTCTGGAGCCCACGCCCCAGGGTCAGGTCTAGCCAGGCAACCAGCAACGCTGACGGGTGCTGCAAGGAGACCAGGTGGCCAACACCCACATCACTCACTGCCTGGTCAGACAGGGAAAACGGGGCAGCTCCTGGGCGGTCAAGGCTCAGTGGGGAAGACTCAGCCCAGGAATTGCTTCCAGCCCTGGTGCTCACCTTGGCTCCCTGTCCTGGTATGCCCTGCCTACCTCCGAAGCCCTGGAACTGAACTCACCCAACTTTCTGGGGCACCTCAACATTCAGGAGCCTCTCCAGGTAACTGTGACCTGAGGGGGAAAAGAAAGGCACAAAAGATCTCATCAGAGACCACACAGGTCCCACTCTAAGGGGTCCAGGGGACCGGGTTCCAGCAAGGGCCTGGCCACTGCTCCCATCACTAGCCGTGGAGCCCCCACCATGCCCAGGACCCTCCCCTCAGCACTCATACTAGTGTCCTTATCGGAGCTGCTGGCTTCATGTCCCCGGCTGCTTCCCAGATGGTCTTCCCATGCCCATCTGAGAGCACGGCTGGGCACCTTCACTGGGCTGGGAATATCTCGAGAAGAGGGACAATGTTTGCTGCAGCTCCAGGCCCCAAACTCCCAGCATGGGGCCCAACACAAAGCAGCTTATTCTGTCAACAAATATTCATCAAGTGTCTACAGTGTACTGGGACCTGGGCCAGGCCCCAGGACCCCAATGGTGAGCAAAACAGAACCACCATCTGGTCTAGATAACAATCATCAAATAGTCCTATCAACAACACCAGCATGGGCAATGGTGGAACAGAGCAGAGAAATTTTTTTTCTTTTTTTTGAGACGGAGTCTTGCTCTGTTGCCCAGGCTGGTGTGTAGTGGAACAATCTCAGCTCACTGCAACCACTGCCTCCTGGGTTCAAGCGACTTCCGGCTAATTTTTGTATTTTTAATAGAGACAGGGTTTCACCATGTTGGCCAGTCTGGTCTCGAACTCCTGACCTCAAGTGATCCACCCGCCTCGGCCTCCCAAAGTGCTGGGATTACAGGCGTGAGCCACTGCGCCTGGTCCAGAGCAGAGAATTTTAAAAGCCTATGATGGGGGGACCTGAGCTGGCCTGGAGGAGTTTACAAAGGAGGAGGATGTCCAGGCCAGTGGTTCTCAGCTTGCATCCTCTGACCCTTGGACGTCCTTGAGACCCATGGGGGATCCACGAGGTCGTAACTAATCATGATACTAAAATTATGATACTAAAATGTTACTTTCCCTTTCACTATGTTGACATTTGCCCTGATGGCACAAAAGCAATGAGGAACTAGCTGCTGAAGCCTCAGCCCCAGTCAAGGCCAGAGCATCAAACACTATCCTCGGACCACACACTCACGGGAAGGAGAGATGTCCAGTTTCACTGAGGAATGTCCTTGATGAAGGTGTAAAAAGTACTAATTTTTTTTCTTTTTTTGAGACAGACTCTCACTCTGTCACTCAGGCTGAATGCAGTGGCGCAATCTCAGCTCACTGCAACCTCCACCTCATGGGTTCAAGGGATTCTGGTGCCTCAGCCTCCCAAGTAGCTGGAATTACAGGCATGTACCATCACACCCAGCTAATTTTTTATATTTTTAGTAGAGATAGGGTTTCGCTATGTTGGCCAGGCTGGTCTTGAACTCGTCCTCAAGTGAACCACCTGCCTCAGCCTCCCAAAGTGCTGGGATTACAGGCGTGAGCCACTGCGCCTGCAAAAGTCCTAATTTTACTAAATCTAAACTCAAGTACATGCCATTCTACTCTTCTGTGTGCTGAGGTGGGAAGTGTGCACAATGCCTGTTGCTGCAAACCCAACTCTCTGTGAAAAGCGCTCGTCTCTAAGCTGCCAGCTGCACTAGCCACTTTTTCACCTGAACCACTATTATTAATTAAAAGAACGACTGACAATGGTTATTCAGTCTTGGGTATCTGGAAGACATTTTTTCACAAGTCAATGAAGTGAATCCATCACAAAAATAAAACACCACGTGCTGACAATAATTTAAAAATTGGGCCAAGGCCGGGTGCGGTGGCTCACGCCTGTAATCCCAGCACTTTGGGAGGCCGAGGCGGGCGGATCACTAGGTCAGGAGATCGAGACCACGGTGAAACCCCGTCTCTAGTAGAAATACAAAAAATTAGCCGGGCGTAGTGGTGGGCGCCTGTAGTCCCAGCTACTCGGGAGGCTGAGGCAGGAGAATGGCGTGAACCCGGGAGGCGGAGCTTGCAGTGAGCTGAGATTGTGCCACTGCACTCCAGCCTGGGCAACAGAGCAAGACTCCATCTCAAAAAGAAAAAAAAAATTGAGCCAAAACGAATCCAAGAGTAGAATTTTGAAAAGCGCGTATCCACCACCAGCAGGGTCACAGCATCCTAATATCTAAGGACTTTTCTGATGAGGTCAGAAAACAAATGTGCTTTTTTAGGATATTATATAATGAAGGGTGTCAACACTTGGAAGACGTGCATAACTTGGTGAAACAATATTTTCGAAATGATCGATGTATGTGGTTATGAAATCAGACACATCTAAAAGATCCATTCAAAGTGTGGCCAGTTGTGGTGGCTCACGCCTGTAATCCCAGCACTTTGGGAAGCCGAGGCAGACGGATGATTTGAGGTCAGGAGTTTGAGACCAGCCTGGCAACATGGTGAAACCCCGTCTCTACTGAAAAGACAAAAATTATCCGGGCGTCGGTGGGCACCTGTAATCCCAGCTACTCGGGAGGCTGAGGCAAGAGAATCACTTGAACCGGGAGGCAGAGGTTGCAGTGAGCTGAGATCGCACCACTGCACTCCAGCCTGGGCGACAGAGTGAGATTTCATCTCAAAAACAAAACAAAACAAAAAAAAACAAAACAAAGTGCAAGGTAGACCCGTGTGGAATCAGCAACATGGTTTCAGATTCCACACCACAACAAACCTTTAAGAACTACCACTTCTTGCGCTGGTCCTGATAACAAAGAATATGCATAATTATCTGAAAAAGCTATGAAGATACTCCTCCCTTTCCCAACTACACGTCTATGTGAGGCCAGATGTTCTTTAGCTACTTTTTTTTTTTGAGACAGAGTCTCACTGTATCACCCAGGCTGGAGTGAAGTGGCGTGAATTCAGCTCACTGTAACCTCCACCTCCCGGTTTCAAGCAATCCTCCTGCCTCAGCTTCCTGAGTAGCTGGGACTACAGGCACGTGCCACCACGCCCAGATAATTTTTTGTATTTTCAGTAGAGACAGGGTTTCACCATGTTGGCCAAGACAGTCTCAATCTCTTAACCTCATGATCTGCCCACCTCGGCCTCCCAATGTGCTGGGATTACAGGTGTGAGCCACCTCGCCCGTCCAGTTCTTCAGTTACTTTAACCCAAACAACACAATGCAACAACAGATCAAACGCAGAATGTGGCTTATTTAAAGTCATACAATAAAGAGATTTGCAAAATGTAGAATAATGCCAGTGTCTTCAGTACATTTTTGTTTTGGAAAAGTTATTTTTTCATAAAAAGTCTTAATGTAAACAGGTGATAGGCTTGGTACTTGCATTTTATAATGTTAAAATATTAAACAATATTTTTAAATCTTTAAAGTACTAAATATTCATATAAAAATATTAATATTTAAAATACTTTTAAACTCCTCAGTTTTAATTTTTAATACAGTAACGATCAATAGATATAACCTCATAATCAAAGCTTTTTTTTTTTTTTTTTTAACAGAGTCTCACTCTGTCTGGAGTGCAGTGGCACAATCTCAGCTCAGTGCAGCCTCGACCTCCTGGGTTCAAGCAATCCTCCCACCTCAGCCTCCTGAGTAGCTGGGACTACAGGCACATGCCACCATACCTGGCTAATTTTTTCCATTTTGGTAGAGATAGGGTCTGGCCATGTTGTCCAGGCTGTCAAAAGCTTTTTGAGGCTGAGGCTTAATCATTAAAAACAGGAAGCCCAGGTCCCTCACCCTCAGCACTCACCCTGGTATCCTCACCACAGCTGCTAGCTTTATGTCCCCGGCTTCTTCCTAGCTGGGAGCATGCCTGTTCCCAGTGCCACTGGTCTAGGGAGAAGGAGGGCCAAGGCCATGAGGCAGGAAAAAAAGAGGCTTTTTTGGGGAACAGAGAGAAGGTAGCTGAGCTGGCGCATCCTGAGCCATGGGGGCTTGGTCAGAGTTCAGGCTGGGAGGTGGCCAGCGGGAGGTTGGGGTGCACAGGGTCTCAGGAAAAGAGGGAAGACAGCAGGCCAGGCACAGAGAAGGGAAGCCAGGACCCTTCCTGGGTATAGCAGCCAGGTTTGGGGAGGTGGTGGGAGCAGCTGCAGCGCCGGGCTGACAGTCATGGGTGGTGATGACCCCCATTTAAGGGGTTTATACCCAGAAGATACATCCTCCTCATCTCCCCATGCTGTGTCATCCCAGCTCACGTGCTCCCTGATGAAGACGCCCATGTGACTACATGGCTCTCCCACCAGCACAAGCATTCTCTGGAATGCTAAGTGCCATCTGCACGACATTCAGGCCTCAGAGCTGGTCTGGTGGTAGGGAAGTGGCCTAAGCACTGGCAGAGGGATGGAAGGACTGTTCTCCAATGCAGAGGTGGCTCGAACGCCCCAAGGTGGAGTCCTGAGGCAGTGGGCCTGTCCCTTCCTATCCACTTCAGAACTGCTGCCCGATGGGCCCCGCAGGCACGTGCGCACCAGGCCAGGAGGCAGGGGATTCCTGCTGACACACAGCAGTTCCACGCCCCGGGGCCACACTCTGGCTTCCAGAAGCCCCCTCCACCCACGCTGACTGCTGGCTTTTTTTCCTATCTCATTTTTCCATTCCTCTGGTGCAGGTGTTTCCTTCCCATCCCGAATTTAATTTTTGGGAAATTAAATTTGTTAATTTCCCAAAAATTAACAAATTGAACTCAAATCCTTGTGTCAAGGGCTGCTCGTGGGGAACACCCAAACCAAGACCCCACCTTGGAGCTGCCCGAGAGCCTCTCCCAGAGCCTGGTATCAGGAAGACCCCCAGGAAGCCTCCTCCCCTGTCACCGCCCCACTCCCTGACACCCTTGCAGCTCCTCACTAGGGGTCGGCCTTGTCGCACCCAAACTGAGCATCAGCCATTGGTGAGTTTTCTCAAATAAGATGTACTGAGTATCCACTACACTCAAGCACTAAGATGAGTTATCTATTCACATTCAAAGCAAGTGTTATCACCATTTCACAGAAAAGCTGAGGTTGAGAGAAGGGGTGTGCCCAAGGTCACCCAGGGTCTGTGTGACTCCAGATCCTAGATCCTGTATCCTCCTCTCTCTCCTCCACCCCCTCAAGAGGAGAGATGATGCTGGGCTGGGAGTCAGACAGACCCAGGTAACATGCACCAGTCAAATCAGAAGCCCATTCATGGGCAGGGAAAGGGTAGACAGAGAGGGAAGAGTGATGGAAGGGCATGAGAGCTGCAGATCTGGATGTCTGCTCCAAAGGTCTCCAGAGATTCTCTGCAACCCTGCCTGGCCCTCCCTCTACAGGCCCAGGCTCACCTGCCCCCGCTTGAAGCCCCTTCCCAAGATCAGATCCAGGCCTGAGAAAATCTCCAAAACAGATCAGAACCATTTAGATCCTTCTGAGAATCCAGAAATAGACAGTGTGGCAGACTGCACATCTGCACACGCCCCAGAGTATGTCACCCCAAACCCTGGAGCAGGCCCGTCCCCAGGCAGTGTGACTCAGGCAGAGAGAAAGCTGCCAAGGTGAGGTGCCCTCCCCTGCCTGACAGGCCCTGCCCTGCGGCCTTGCACAAAGCCTCTTCTGCAAGCACCTGACTTTCTGGACAGAATGAAACACACAGCGCTCAAGCCCCAGCTTCCCGATTTACAGACTCCATGGCCTCCTTAAGCCTCAGTTTCCTCCTCTGTAAAGTGAAAAATTCCTCACAAGCTAACAATGCTGCTGTAAGGACCAAATGAAATAACCTTTCATTTTATAAATCTTAAAGTGCCAGGCAGATGCCAGCTACTATTTAACATGCGTTGAGATAAAACCTGGGCTGGGCGCAGTAGCTCACACTTGTAATCCCGGCACTTTGGGAGGCTAAGGCGGGTGAATCACTTGAGGTCAGGAGTTCGAAACCAGCCTGGCCAACATGGTGAAACCCCATCTCTACTAAAAAACAAAAACACAAAAATTAGCCTGGTGTGATGGCGGGCGCTTGTAATCCCTGCTACTCGGGAGACTGAGGCAGGAGAATTGCTTGAACCTGAGATGCATGCAGAGGTTGCAGTGAGCCGAGATCGTGCCATTGCACTCCAGCCTGGGCAACAGAGCGAGACTCTGTATCAAAAAAAAAAAAAGATAAATCCTGGCCTATCCTCGCCACCAATCCGCTGCTTTGCCCGTCCTCTGCCTGCATCCTTACAGCAGCCTCCTATCTGGTCTCCCTGTTTCCCTCACTTTCCCATCATCAAGCCACTTCTTTTGCTTCAGTGGGGTCAAGTTCAAGCTCTTGTGTGAGCATGAGCCCCAGACACCCATCACTTGTTGCTTTAGGCATCAGGGTCTTCGTACAAGCTGTTCCCTCTGCCAATAACACATATCCCCGCATTTTTTTTCCACTCAGCAAAAGCGCAGCCATCCTTCAGAACCCTCCCAGCTCAGATTCACCTCCTCATGCAGCCAGCCTGCCCCTCCAGACACCTGCTCCAGTGGGCAATGGCCCCCTAAGCTGAGATCTGAGAGAGCAGCTAACATTACCGAGTCCTTCCTATATGCCAGGCACCCTTCTAAACTCCCTGTGTGGGGTGACCAAAGAAAACCTCACAACGACCCTTTGAAGTGACGCGATTAGCCCCAGTTGACAGGCAAGGAGTGGAGGCCCGTGAAGTTTCCAGGACCTGCCCCAGGCTGCAGGGTGGGTGAATGGCTGAGTTGGCACTCAGACCCAGGCCGGCCAGCTCCAGAGTCAGCTTGGTTCCCCCTCCTGGCTCCCATCAGATGCCCAGTCATCTGATCTCCCCGAAGGAGCCTGCTGCCATAATTCCCTCCTCCAGATCAAACACAGTGTCGCCAATAGGCGGCGCGCAAACCCGGTGAATTTAAGTGGCCTCTGCAGCATAGGGTTGGGAGGAATGAGCTGGCCCTGCGGAAGAGGCCCAGGCTCCAGCCTCAACATGGCCAGTAACCACAGCCACACAGTGGCCGACCTTCCCGAAGCTCAGTTTCCTCACTTGTAAAGCAAGTAGGTTGGGTCAGACCTGCACCATCCAACGTGGAAGCCACTAGCTACATGTAACTATTTAAATCTAAAAGAAGTAGAATGCAATACAATTTAAAATTCAGTTCCTCAATCACACTAGCCACATTTTGAGGACACAATCGCCAGATGAGGCCAGCTAGCGGCCACCATCCCAGGACAGCACAGATGTGTAACATCTACCTCACTGCAGAAAGCTCTCTGGACAGCTCCTTGCTAGATGATCCCTCAGAAAGCCTCCATCTGAGCCTGGCACCAAGGACCACCCGCCACTGCCAAGCCCCCAGACTCACAGATGATGCGGCCAGAGGCAGCTGGCTCTTCGGCAGTCTTCTTGGCAAGCCTTCTGCTCGCCCTGCGGACAACACTTTCCTGTTTGGCCACCAGAGAGTACTTCTGGGCTAAGACTTGGGGACTCGGGGAAGACGGGGCGATCGGGCTGTGCCGCACCGATTGAGAGTCCGTGCGAGAGCCCGTGGGCGTGGAGAAGTTATCCGGCAGGATGGGAGCCAGCACCCGCTCCCGCCATGGAGAATCTGGAAAGGCTGGCGAGTCCCGTGGGCCAGGGGAGACCTGCGCAATCCTGAGCTTAGACGCAGACCGCCCCGTCCCGACCCCTTGACCCTTGGGGTCCTGGGGTGTAGCCATCAGGGAGCTCACTGTGATGGACTCCAGTATCCTGGCCTTCGACTTCTTAGGTGTTGATTCCTCATCTGATGTCGGGATGCCCTGGGAGGTTGGAGCTGTGGCTGAAGCTGGAGTCGGGGACAGAGTGCGGGGCAGAGGCTCGGTGGACATGAGCTGGGTGACATGCTGCTCAGCATTCTGGCGCTCACTGATGCCGATCTCCACCACAGGCACCAGCTGGCACTGGGTGTGGTTATCCTCGGGCTTCTTAGTCAGCATCGTGGGAGACTCAGGGGTGGGTGAAGAAGGTGCAGCCAATGCCATGGTAGCCGCGGCAGCTGCAGCCGCAGCACGGGTCACACGCCGCAGGACGGAGCCGTTCTCCCCGACCACTGTAGCCAGCTTCTCTACACTGTCCTTGCTGCGGAGGCGTCGGGAGCTCAGCTGGCTGCTCCGAGACTTTCTGCGGGATAACCTGGCAGGGGCAGCAGGGCAGAGGCTGAGACGGGCAGCAGGACAGGGTGGCACCCAGTCTCTCCAAGAGCCACCAGCTTGGATAGAGTATGATAAGAGAAGGTGAAGGCAAAAGATCTGGGTTCCAGGCCAGATTCTGCCACCTCTAGCCATGAGGCCCCAGGCCATTCTTGTCTGAGCCGCAGTCTTCCTAACTGTAAATTGGGGATCATGCCACAGTCCGCACAGAACTGGCTAGGAAGATTATATTCATCCAAACCTCCGGCTGACTGAAGTTACACCACACCGAGCCCCTGCTGAAAGCCTTACACACGCTCTGCCTTAATCCAGAGCACGCCCTTGAGAGGCAGAGACCACTATCCCCATTTTAGGGATGAGGAACGGAGGCTCAGAGAGGCAGAAATTCAATTCAAAGCCGTACTGCTCTGCTAAGGGGCAGAGCTGGGGTTCACACCCAAGCCTAACCCCAAGACCCAGCCTCTTTCCCTAGCACTCTGCAGCCCCAATCATTCCTGAGGGGGACTAAAACAAGCATGACAATATGACGGCTGGGACAAGGCACGTGGTCTACACCCCTGGTCACACTCACCTAACAGAAGGATGGCTTCTCTTTCTCATCCCACCTACGGAAATCTTTCCCATTCTCCAGGGCCCAGATCAAACACACCCACCCCCAACACACAGCCACAGATTTGGACTCCAGGGTCTTGGGTCAAGCTATAGTTCCCTGTGGCATCCCAACCCCTCTCAGCATGGCCCACGCAGTACCCGCGGTGGTACCCACCACCCCTCCTACAGGCTGCTACTTCCAAATCAACACCTTCAGAATCAAACTCCCAGATGGCACCAAGCCTCCGCAGAGCCCACTGCTCAGCTCACTCTCCCCCAACCCCTCCTACCTTCTCCTGATGGGATCTCTGTTTTCATCCTGAACATAAGAAATCCGTCTCTTCTTCCGTCGGTTCTTCTGAGAAGGTGTTTTGGGCATCAGCTCTGGCTCTTTGCTGAATTCTCTGTTTGGCACAAGGAGGGTGTCACTCGAGGCTGCCTGGGAACCACTGGTCCCCTCTCCCACCCAGCCTGGCCCCTGCCCATTTCCTGGCAGCGACAGGTCAAGCTGGGGTGTCCAGCACCAAGTGAGCTCTCCAAGGCCATGTGCAAGTCACCTGCGGGCACTCAGGGCTTCCTCCTGGAGACACGGCAGGGAAGCAAGCTCCCAGGCGCACGTCCATTGCCACATACCCTGAGAGGCCCAGCCAGCAACGATGGCGAATAGGCAAGGGACTGGATCTCTCCTGCTGCCTCTTCCCATGACACTAGGTCAGGCCCCCAGCACACTGCACACACAGTATACAGCAGGGAGCCCTGACAGGCTGTCTGTTTTGCCAGGTAGGCGGGGACGAGGGGCTGTTGTGTCCCCAAGACCAAAGCAGCCCAGACAGGCCCTGGTGTTCCCAGCCTCTCACTGTGCCCGTCTTCACCTGGTGAACATGCGCTCGGCCTCCTCTTGGATTTCCTCAAGCCACACCAAGTCCTTATTATCCATGTTGCAGAGAAACTCCATGAGCTTCTGGTCACATAGCTCCAGCAGGTGAATGGGCCCTGGGGCCGTCGTCCCCATGGTGGCTCTGTCTGGTGAAGGCAGGGACAAGAGGCACAAGTTAGGGGCCCAGGGTAGGGGTCTGGGGCTTTCTCCAAGCTGCAATACCCACCTGACCCACAACCACCACAAACACCCAGTGCCCGAACCAGGGCCCCTCTCTGCTCACAGCCACTCCCCAGAGCTGCAGAATTCCAAACACTCATCCCCTAGCCTCATCTCTACAAAGAGAAGCCCTTCTACTCACACTCTTCAAATACCTCCCTGTCCCCACCCCCCCGCCAGCATGACTGTCCCCATAAGTCCACAGTTCCCAACCAATTCTGACATTGACAGTCCTCCTTATAAATGGCCTTTTCTGGGCTTAAGATGACAGGGCACTGCCATCTGTCTTCCTGGCCACCCCAGGGCCCCTCACTCCCTGCCCAAACACAGTCCTGCTCTCGCTCTCCAGTAGGCCCTCATCTTACTACTCATGGTTAAGTGAGGGCTAAGACACAGCCACCCTGCACTACATACAAGCTGACTCCAGACATCAGGCCAAAGAACATCAAACCCAACTGCCTCTTTAAGAGGCCAGTGAGCAGAAGAGATTCTGTGTTCCAAAGGAATGAGTGAGAAAGTAGTGATCCAGAGATATGCCCTCAAGGGGCCTCCCACAACCCTCTCCCTTGAGCTGAAATGCCCTCCAAATGGAGCATAAATAGAACAAGAAGGGAACAGTAAGCAATATCTTGCTTTTAAGAAAACTTGCCTACAAGCATTGAGCAAGAGAAAACACAAAAACAGTTTTTTCTCACTTTCTTATAAAACTAGCAGCTCAGGTATCCTCCTTAAAACTTGATAACCAGCCGGGTGCAGTGGTTCACACCCGTAATCCCAGCACTTTGGGAGGCCGAGGCAGGTAGATCACATGAGGTCAGGAGTTCAAAACCAGCCTGGCCAATGTGGTGAAACCCCAACTCTACTAGAAATACAATTAGCTGGTCATGGTGGTGTGCGCCTGTAATCCCAGCTACTTGGGAGGCTGAGCCTGGAGAATCACTTGAACTAAGGAAGTGGAGGTTGCAGTGAGCCAAGATCACACCATTGCACCCCAGCCTGGGCATCGCAGCGAGACTGTCTCAAAAAAAAAAAAACAAAACAAAAAACTTGATAGCCATTACAAAAACTTCAAGCAAGGAAGAAGTACAATCAGCCCTCCATATCTGTGAGTTCCACATCCATGGATGCAATCAACCACCAGTGGAAAATATTTGAAAAAGAGCTGCATCTGTACTGAACATGTATAGACTCTTTTCCCTTGTCATTATTCCCTAATAATACAGTATAACAACTACTTGCATAGCTTTTACATCATATTAGGTGTTATAAATAATATAGAGATATAAAGTATACAGGAGGATGTGTGTAGGTTATATGCAAATACTATGTCATTTTATATCAGGGACTTGAACATCTGTGGATTTTGGTATCCAAAGGAGGTCCTGGAACCAATCCCCTGAGGATTCCAAGAGACAACCATATTCTACTACATCACAACAGGGGCTCATTAAATATCCCAACAGGTGAATGAGTGAAAGAACAAATGAATGGGTGGTGGTCATAAGCCATAACAACAAACTGCATGCCTCAAGTCAATGGCAGTGATCCACCATCCTGACTTACCTCTTTAAAACCAAGAACTGGCCGGGCACGGTGGCTCACGCCTGTAATCCCAGCACTTTAGAAGGCCGAAGTGGGCAGATCACGAGGTCAGGAGTTCAAGACCAGCCTGGCCAACGTGGTGAAACCCAGTCTCTACTAAAGATACAAAAAAATTAGCTGTGTGTGGTGGTGCACGCCTATAATCCCAGCTACTCAGGAGGCTGACGCAGGAGAATCGCTTGAACCTAGGAGGCAGAGGCTGCAATGAGCCAAGATCACACCACTGCACTCCAGCCCAGGCAACAGAGGGAGACTCTATCTCAAAAAAAAAAAAACCATGCACAACTCAGCCTCCCACCTACAATGGAAGGTCTTGTAAGGAAGGGATAAATTGCTGACCCCTTGATCCCTCACAGGGCGTAGCACCAGGTCAGGTTTCAGTCTCATGGGACTTCCTCAGGCTTGATTCAAGGACACAGTAGTCTTTGTTCCTCAACAAGCTCTGCCCTGCGTCTGGAACATTGTCTCACATTTTGTATGGCTCACTCCTCATGGCTTGGATCTCAGATCCTCAGGAAAACCTGAAAACCAATCTAAAGTAGCCCCAGCCATGATCCCATTCATTGATTGTAATTCTCTGCAGAGCACTTGCGTGCTTGTTTACCTGTTGCTTACTGCCTGTCCCTGCCCACTAAACAATTGCTCTCTGAGGGCAAACCCCTGTCTGTCTTGCTCATCGTTGAATGCCCAGAGCACAGCAGTGCCTGGCAACAAGGACTATTTGTTAAATGAATTAATCCACCCATCAACTCTACACCTAGAAATAAACATCCTATAGGTGCTCATCCCACCACACAAAGGGCACCAAATAAACTTAATCTGCACAGGTTAGAACTGACCAACACATGTTCAAAACCCCTGTTCCCAGATGCCAAGGGCAGCAATAATCAGGGCAGGGCCAAATGGGCAGGATCGTACAGGCTTTGGGCTGAAACCTCGGCTCTGCAGCCAGCCAATCATGGGCAAGCCCTTTTCACTGTCATCCCTCACCTTCCCCTAACCCTTCTGCACCCAGACCACAGCCCTGGCAAAGCGCAGGACCTCAGGCCAGAAAAGAGAAAACTGTTTAAGGAAGCCAAAGGTTTGCAGAGAAAAGCAACAACTGGCTAACTTTTTAAAAAGTATTTGTTCAAATGGGCAACGTGGATGAGAGCTTCTTTCACAAAGTCCATGAAAGCAATTGGACTTCTTTCACGGGGAGGTTTGCTTCTAGCAGACCTTAGCGCAACGATTTAAAAAGGGTTACCGTAAGTTAAAACAGAGGTGACCCTGAAAAAGAAGGAATCAGTGTACCAAGAATCAGGCTCCTGGAAGAGCAGCAAAAATCTCTTCTTCAACCCATGTAAGCACCTGCACACAGATAAAGAGCACTCAACACCTCACCGAGGAAGACACTCTCCAGTCTTCCTCCTCTCCAACACTTCTTCCACACCATACACCAGACTGAAGGCCCCATCGTCCTCCTCTATGACTCCTGTCCTTTTCAGGGTGCTGTAAGTTGGGCGCCTACCACACCTCTGTGCAGAAAGCGCATAGCAGCTGCTCCCATTTACTGAGTCATACTCCATGCCCGAGTCAGACATCATCTCATTTAATTCTCACCACAACCTTGAGGATACGCATGGGCAGATGAGGAAATTGAGGCAAAGAGAAGTCAAAATCAGCCGGTAAATCAGGGGCATAAATAGAACCGTGCCCTTAACCACGGGCTATACCGCCTTTAAACCGTGCCCTTAACCACTGGCTATACCGCCTTCTAGATATCAACTTCTGAAAGGCAGGTGCCCAGTCTTGGCTCTGGGCAACCCCGCGAGCAACCCATGTTAGCTGAATGAGACTGAACCGCTGACAGCGAACAGGCTTGGGGAGTGACAAGGGGCGGCCCAGCCTCCGGAAATGGTCAGTTTAAAATGCTGCTCAGCTGGGGGCGGGGGCGTTGAGAGAGGGGTTTAACTGCACAGAAATGCCATCTGGCATCATTCCGCCAAACAACCGGGTTGGTTTCGGGCTTCCTGCGCGTCCAAGTCAACACTAATCCTCACAGGCACAAGGTGCCAAGCAGCCGGGAGCGGAGGGAACGGGGCTATGCTCTAGGAAGCTGAGGGCCTAGGTGGAAAGGGTGGGAGGCATCTCGGGCCCGAGAACCAAGGCAGGCGACCTCGCCACTTGGAAGAGGTGACCCTCATATGCCCAGGTAGCCAGGGGCTGGGGTGGGGAGTCACGACCCTGGTCCGGAGTCGACAGGGACGGAGCAGAGGACCGGGGAAAAAATCGCGAACCACCCCCCAATCCCCACGCCCACGCGCACTCACTCGACTGCGCCACGTCCCCTGAAGGCTGCTCCGATCCAAGTCCGGTGGTATCCCTAGGTAAGGCCCCGCTTGCCCAGACCCACTTGGCTCCGGGCCTTCGGGACTCACCGCACGGGAGGAGCAACCAGGCGGCGCAGCGCGGGCGAAAACTATGATTTTCAAAACTGAAGGCTCAGCCAATCCTCGGCAAGTTTGTCCGGGCGGTTGCAAAATTTTAAGCCAATCAAATAACAGGAAGTACCAGTCAGCCCTCCTATTGGCCATATCCACTAGCAATCTGCGGGACTAAGAGGCGGGGAAAGGAAGCGAAAGACTTTAAGCCCCCTCAGCTTCCGGGTGCTGCGGCCGCGGCCGAGAGAGGAAGTAGATCCCCGCCTGGGAGGAGCCCGCAGACCTGGAACTACGAGTCCCGGCGAGCACTGCGAAGGCCACGCGCGGCTTTCTTTCTTCTCCAAGCACGGTGGCAGTCTTCTGATCTCTGCTGCTTTTTTTTCCTCATAAAAACATGTATGTATATACTTACATTGCTGAAAGACCAGCTTTTTAATGTAACAAATTATCTAGGTACAGAAGTCATAGGTTCCTCTTCCCATGAGAAAAACATTCCTCAAAATACAAACCAAACAGCATCCCAGAGGGAGTAAAATTTCATTGTACTGAAACATATACAAATTAAGGCTACCTTGGTATATAAACAATTTAGAAATTATGATGGAATAGTTCCACCAAATCATTTACGTATAGGAATTCATGCCATTTTTTAAAGAATTGGTAGTGGGGCTCAATTCAAACAATATTATGCATCCTTACATTCAACTTAATACACTTAGCAGCTATAAGGAGTGTAACTGTAACCCCACTTCCTGAAATCTCAGGAGTAATGTTAAAAATCCAAACCCATCAAAGGCCAGGGTGTTACGGTATTTGGCTCATGAATCGAAAAGCCTAATCATTTCAATTTAATCTTTACAAGTAGAACAAGATCCAAACATGGGACGTTTTCTTATTTTTCTTTGCTTTTGTGGTTGTAATGCCCTTTTGGTTTTCTGAGCAAGCTGAATACATCTGATAAATACTACCATTGGACAAAGGATCTAAACATTGAGATGTTTTACTAAATCAAGGTTTCAAGTTGGCACAATGTTTTTACTAAGTCATATTTCAATTAGTTCATCTTTCCAATATGGAGGCGGGGGGGGAAAGACAAGGACTAATATGTCCTATAAAGAATCTCTGGCCGGCGAGATCCCGCCACTGCACTCCAGCCTGGGCGACAGAGCGAGACTCCGTCTCAAAAAAAAAAAAAAAAAAAAAAAAGAATCTCTGGCCGGGCGCGGTGGCTCACGCCTGCAATCCTAGCACTTTGGGAGGCCGAGGCGGGTGGATTGCCTGAGCTCAGGAGTTCGAGACCAGCCTGGGCAACACAGTGGAACCCTGTCTCTACTAAAATACAAAAAAAAATTAGCCGGGCGTGGTGGCTTGCACCTGTAATCCCAGCGACTCGGGAGGCTGAGACAGGAGAATCGCTTGAACCCGGGAGGCAGAGGTTGCAGTGGGCCGAGATCGCGCCATTGCACTCCAGCCTGGGCCACAAAAAGCAAAAAACTCCGTCTCAAAAAAAAAATCTCTGCCGCTTTTGAGAAGTAAAAACAAAACGCCTTGTGAATGGCAACGGAGTGTGCGTTTATCTAGAGCCTTCTGTCATCTCTTGGGCGACAGAATCCTTGGTCACCTACCCTGGTACTGGACGTTTCTTGAGAGAAGTGGTTCTCATGCAGAGGAGGTTTTATCCCACCTCCGCCCCCCACATTTGGCAGTGTGTGAATTCATTTGGGTTTGGGAGAAGGGGTTAGTGGTATTTGGTGGGTAAAGGCCAGGGATGCTGCTGAACGCCATCTAGTGCATAAGACAGTCCCCACAGCAAGGAATTACCCGGCCCCAGATACCAGAATTGCTGCTGTTGAGAAACTGCTTTAGACAAAGTCACTTTACTCTGTGAGTCAAGGTTGCTGTTACCTGTAAAATAAGGCAGTTCAATCTTGAAGAGATTTGTACATCCACGGTCAGCTACCAACAGATAGTTTACCCTGTTCCCAGGTCGTCTGTAGTATTTTTCCTCTCCCTTTCTTCCCTCTCTTTATCAATTCTGTTTTTGCCTTTGTTATTTTACTCAGTTTACCAACTGACTCCATCATATGTGAGTAAATAATTTGTGAGCAAATTAACTAAACATTTCTGAGTTATTCTTTGAAGAATGTAAATAATTGGAAATCAGCTGAATCATAAAAGGATATGTTACCCAATCGTTAATCATTCTGTTTATTAATTCTGACATGAGTATCTCAAATTGTTTATTTGATTGTTACCTCGGAGAGTTTTCTACCCTGTGCAGTGCACTTTAGCAAGTTTCCAAGGGGATTAAGGTCCGTCTTTCTCAAGAGAGAGAAGAGCAACTATAAAAGGGGCTGAGGGGGCCGGGCGTGGTGGCTCACGCCTGTAATCCCAGTACTTTGGGAGGCCAAGGTGGGTGGATCACCTGAGGTCAGGAGTTCAAGACCAGCCTGACCAACATAGAGAAACCCTGTCTCTACTAAAAATACAAAATTAACCGGGCATGGTGGCATATGCCTGTGATCCCAGCTACTTGGGAGGCTGAGGCAGGAGAATCGCTTGAACCTGAAAGGTGGAGGTTGCGGTGAGCCGATATCGTGCCATTTTACTCCAGCCTGGGCAACAAGAGTGAAACTCCGTCTCAAAAAAATAAAAAAGAAAAGAAAAAAAGGAGGGGGGCTGAGGGAAAGGAAAACTAGTTTACTCCAGCCTGGGCAACAAGAGTGAAACTCCATCTCAAAAAAATAAAAAAGAATAGAAAAAAAGGAGGGGGGCTGAGGGAAAGGAAAACTAGCTAATGGCAGGTACATTCACAAGCAGATAAAAGAAGAAGTACAGTGCAGGCTGGGCGCGGTGGCTCATGCCTGTAATCCCAGCACTTTGGGAGGCTGAGGTGGGCGGATCACTCGAGGTCAGGAGTTCGAGACTAGCCTGGCCAACATGATGAAACCCCATTTCTACTGAAAATACAAAAAAAAAAAAAATATGGGTGTGGTGGCGTGCGCCTGTAATCCCAGCTACTCGGGAGGCTGAGGCAGGAGAATTGCTTGTACTCAGGAGGTGGAGGTTGCAGTGAGCCGAGATTGTGCCATTGCACTCTAGCCTGGGAGATAAGAGTGAAACTCCATCTCAAAAAAAAAAAAAAAAAAAGAAAAGAAAAAGTGCATACAGGACACACCTAAGAGAATATGAAATTGACTCCCTTAAAACTCTCCTTTTATTTTCCCCAAAGTCTTCTTTCTACCCCCAGTGGGGGACGTATTTCTTGATTTGCAGACCAGTGGACTGTATGCAACATTCCCCTTGCATTGAGGGCCTCTGGGGTAAAAGCTACAAAGGTTCACCACAGTCAAAGCTTTTGTCTGACCACTGAGCCGAGAATAGCCCTGAGCAAGCACATAAGCCCAAGTAAGACCAGAAGACCAGGATATAATTGTGTCCGCCTCCCTCTGGGCTTGGTTAAACTGTCTATGGCACCTGGCTGAAGGATACAGACTTCCAGGACCAGAAAGAATACGTAGGTAATGTGTAACCAGACTCTTGGAATGTGGGCCACGGAGCCACCCCACCTTTAAGCTAGAGAGTCCCCAGCACAGCCTATGGACTTAGAATGTCCCATCAATATTATAGTCATGGGTCAGGCACAATGGCTCACGCTTGTAATCCCAACACTTTGGTAGGCTGAGGAGGGTGGATCACTTGAGCCCAGCAATTTCAGACCAGCATGGGCAACATGGTGAAACCTTCTCTCTACAAAAAATACAAAAAATTAGCCAGGCATGGTGGCATGTGTCTGTAGTACCAGCTACTCATGAGGCCGAGGTGGGAGAACCACTTGAGCTGAAGAGGCAGAGGTTGCAGTGAGCCAAGGTTGCTGTGAGCAGAGATTGCGCCACTGCACTCCAGCCTGGGTGACAGAACTAGACACGGGTTAAAAAAAGAACAAAAAAAACTTTTATAAAGAAAGAACTGTAGATTCTTTCTGTGCTGCTTCAATATGTAAATAATTTTAAAAGCCTTTTGTCTGTTTTACAACCTAGGAATGTCTTTCTCAAAAACATGGGTGCCTGGTGTGAGATGTCAACCCAGCAATGCCATTGCTGGGTATATACCCAAAGGAATATAAATCATTCTACTGTAAAGACGCATGCACCCATATGTTCATCACAACACTATTCACAATAGCAAAAACCTGGAATCAACCTAAATGCCCATCAACAGTAGACTGGGTAAAGAAAATGTGGTACATGTACACCATGGAATACTATGCTGCCATAAAAAAGAACAAAATCGTGCCCTTTGTAGCAATATAGATGGAGCTGGAGACCATTATCCTAAGAAAACTAACACAGGTGCAGAAAACCAAATACCGCATGTTCTTACTTATAAGTGAGAACTAAACATTGAGAACACATGGACACAAAGAAGAGAACAATAGATACCAGGACCCACTTGAGACTGGAGTGTGGGAGGAGGGAGAGAATCAAAAAACTACCTATCAGGTACTATGCTTATTACCTGAGTGATGAAATAATCTGTACACCAAACTCCTATGACATGCGATTTACTTATATAACAAACCTGCACATGTACCACTGAACCTAAAAGTTAAGATTTTTTTAAAAAAACATGGGTACCATCTCTTTGAAATATAACCATCAAGAAAGATAGCACCCCTATCTCCCAGAGTCTGGAAGGACCCCTATCTCACTTCAATGGGTGCTGATTAACAAACACAGATGGCCTAATCACAGAGAAAAACCTTTGCAAAGTGTGGAATAACTCAATGCAATTCACACATCCCATTGATCAACCTCCCTCCTCATATGCTCCAGAACTTTTCTATTAGCTTACTCCAGCACTTAAAAACCCAACTGGGCACAGTGGCTCTTGCCTGTGATCCCAGCACTTTGGGAGGCTGAGGCTGGTGGATTACTTGAGGTCAGGAGTTCGAGACCAACCTGGCCAACATAGTGAAACCCCATCTCTACTAAAAATACAAAATTTAGCTGGGCATGATGGTAGGTGCCTGTGATCCCAGCTACTCAGGGGGCTGAGGCAGGAAAATCACTTGAACCCAGGAGGCAGAGGTTCCAGTGAGCCAAGATCATGTCACTGCACTCCAGCCTGGGTGACAGAGTGAGACTCCATCTCAAAAAAACAAAAACAAACAAAAAACCCTATGTACAATATATAGCAGCATTGCACTCCCACCTTTTGGTTAGTGGAGTTGAGCTCAGACTGTATTTAAGAGGTGACTGGGTCATGAGTGGGCTTTACCCCTGTGAATGGATTAATCCATTCATGTATGCATGGATCAATGGGTTAATGGATTAATGGGTTATCATGGGAGTAGGATTGGTGGTTTTATAAGAGAAAGAGAGACTTCAGCTATTGTGCTAAGCCCCCTTGCCGTATGATACCCTGTGCCACCTTGGGACTCTGCAGATAGTCCCCATCAGCAAGAAGGCCCTCACCAGATGCAGGTCCTTGACCCTGGACCTCTCAGTCTCTATAACGTCAAGAAATAAATTCCTTTTCTTTATAAATTACCCTCTTTCAGGTATTCTGTCATAAGCAACAGAAAAGAGGCTAAGACACTGACACATTTCTTTTCCTAGTTTAGATCTTAAACCAGGGGCCAACAAATTAGAGCAGTTAGGTCAAATCTGGCTTACCATGTTTTTGTATAGCCCATAAGCTGAGAATGGTTTTCACATTTTTCAATGGTTGAAAAAAAAATCAAAACAAGAATATTTTGTGACAGATGAAAACTTTAAGCATCCATAAATAAAGTTTTACTGGAACACAGCCAACATTAGACAATGCTGTACTACCTATGGCTGCTTTTGAGTAGGTGCAGTAAAGACCATTTCTGGTTTCATCATTTAGAACTGCTGCTTGGTGCACTACAAATTGCAGTGGCATAGTTATAATTCAACAGCATTTCAAGTGCCACACATATTACAATACCATGGGAGGTTTTTTTGTTTATTTTTATTTTTATTTTTCTCCAAGACAGAGTCTTGCTCTGTCACCTAGGCTGGAGTGCAGTGACACGATCTTGGCTCACTGCAACCTCCGCCTCCCAGGTTCAAGCAATTCTCTTGCCTCAGCCTTCCAAGCAGCTGGGATTACAGGCGCTTACCACCACGCCCAGCAAATTTTTGTGTTTTTAGTAGAGAGGGGGTTTCACCATGTTGAGCAGGCTGGTCTCGAACTCCTGACCTCGTGATCCATCCACCTCGGCCTCCCAAAGTGCTGGGATTACAGGCGTGAGCCACCACACCCAGCCATACTACAGTATTTTAAAATTACCAGTGCAAACCTATCAGCCTAAACAAAGCAAAAAAATGGATTTAGAATGTTGTGCTATTAAGGAACAGTGGAGTGTGGATTATTTTATCTAATTAGATGGCAAAGCAGTGTGTTTATTAGGCAATGATAGTAATCTGTGCTAAAGGAATATGATATATAGCAGCATTATCAGACTAAGCACTTACAATATTCCCAACTCACAGGAAAGCAATGTTCAAAAAATTATAAAATATAAAACATTATATCTCATCACAGTAGAATTTCTTCACAGAAATAAAAAATGAAAATTTGACTGCAACCAAAGTAAGTTTCCTAGTGCCTCATTTGTTAACCAAGCAAGGAAAACTGTTTTCTGCAGGTAATTTGATTAAATTGTGTTTGATTGCAGCAGCCAAGTAATGTGTCCACAGAAAATAAACTCTTAGCCTAGGCCAGGCAAGATGGCTCACACTTGTAATCCCAGCACTTTGGAAGGCCAAGGTGGGAGGATCACCTGAAGCCAGGAGTTTGAGACCAGCCTGAGCAACGAAGTGAGACCTCCATCTCTACAAAAAATAAAACTGATCATGGTAAAATTAGCTGAGCATGGTAGTACACACCTGTAGTCCCAGCTACATGAGAGACTGAGACAGGAGGATCACTTGGGCCCAGGAGGCTGTGGTCAGCTATCATCATGCCACTGCACTCCAGCCTTGGTGACAGAGCAAGACCTTGCCTCTAAAAAAATAAAACTATTAGCCTTTCGGTGAGAACAGTTGCTCAGAGAGTTGAGGACATTGGGAGCAATATCAATAGTTGTGGTGGGCCAAAGAGAAGCCCTCGAAAATATATATTCATGTCAAATTCATCCACTTCAAATCCCTGGAAACTGTGAATGCGACCTTATTTGGAAAAAGGACCCTTGCAGATGTAATTAAGTTAAGGATCATGAGATGAGATCATCCTGGATAACCTCAGTAAGTCCTAAATCCAATGACAAGTTTTCTTGTAGGAGACATAGACAAGAAGAGAAGATGATATGAAAATGGAGGCAAAGATTGGAGTGATGTGGCCACAAGCCAAGGAAACCAGCAACCACCAGAAGCTGAAAGAGGCAAAGAAGAATTCTGCCTCCCAGCCTCCAGAGGGAGTGTGACCCTGCTAACACCATGATTCAGACTTCCGGCCTCCAGAAGAATGTCTTTTTAAGCCACTACGTTTGTGGTAATTTGTTATAGCAGCCCTGGGAAACTAATACAGTTGTTAATTAAAAAAACAAGTCAAGTGATTTTAGGTAGTTTTTCTTGGCTCTTCATGAATTGACAGATGTTACTGATACTTCTCAGTTGTTTTTTACTTGAGTCAGTGCTGAGGCTGGCATGACTGCAGAGTTAGCCTCTATGAATAGACTGCATGGAATAACTATAGGAGGGAATATTTTCATAGAAGTTGAGGAAACACTAATTCAGTATAACCTGTAGTGGAATCTGCTAGGATGTGTTACAATTGATGGTAGTAAAAATGTATAGAGCAGATAAATGTTAATTGGACAAATTTACAAACCTTGTGACAGTGTAAGGTGTTAAAAACCTATGATTATTCATCATATTGTATATCAGTAGATACTTTCCTGAAAATATTTGAATCTGTCATGTGTTATTGAACCTGCAGTTTCAACAGGAAATTTAATTCACTCTCGTGCCATAGCCATCTTCAGCTCCATGAATTTTTGTCCAAAATAGAAACTGAATCTCTTTGCTTGCCCTATTACGCAGCAGTTCAAGGGATTCACAGTAGTAAAGATTTACTGTGATTGTTTAAGCTCAGAGCTGAATTTTTTCTGAATAGGAACTGCCCTCAACCCTTATTAAGGAACACTGAGTGGCTTTGGAAATTAGCTTTTGCTATAGACTTGGTAATATTTCTTAATGAATTCAACCTAAAATTAGCAGTCAAAACAGCACTAATATGCAAAACTTATACTGCAGTAAAGTCATTTTTATGATGGCTACACTGTTTGAATCACAAGTAAAGTCAAACTGCTTTACATGTTTCTTATGATGTCAAAAGTCAAAACAAGAATCAAAATCTGCATTCCCACACAAATTCGCAGCAGATAATTTTTCAAATTTAAGCTACAGTTCCAGTCAACTGTGCAACTGAGGAGCTTCTAATGCAGGGCAGGCTTAGCCTGGGAGAGTTCTTGGCTTTGCCTAGGAAACAAATCAAGGGCCAGCCAGAGGTTTTATTGAAGCAGCAGTGTGCAGAGCAGGGCTACCCCATAAGCAGTACACCCAGAGTAGCAGCTCAGAGGCAGTTCTGCGGTCATACTTACAACCACTTTTGTTTATATGCAAATTAAGGGGCAGATTATGCAGAAATTTCTAGAAATAAGGTGGTAACTTCCCAGTTGTCTCGCTGCCAGGGAAAAGGGCAGGAACTTTGGGGTGTTGCCATGGCAATGGGCATGGCACACTGGTGGGCATGTCTTTTTATTTTAATTTTATGAGTAAATGTGCAGGATGTGCAGGTTTGTTACATAGGTAAATGTGTGTCATGGGGTTTTGTTGTTAATATAGTTTGGCTCTGTGTCCCCACCCAAGTCTCATCTCGAATTGTAATCCCCCTGTATTGAGGGAGGGATTTGTAATCCCCTTGTGTCGAGCAAGGGGGGTGATTGGATCATGGGGGAGGTTTCCCCCATGTTGTTCTCATGATAGTGAGTGAGTTCTCACCTGATCTAATGGTTTTATAAGTGTTTGGAAGTTCTTCCTTCGCTCTTCTGTCTTCTGCCACCTTGTGAAGAAGCTACTTGATTCCCCTTCACTTTCTGTCATGATTGTAAGTTTCTTGAGGCCTCCCAAGCCATGTGGAACTCTTTCCTTTATAAATTACCCAGTGTTGGGTATTTCTTTATAGCAGTGTGAAAACAGACTAATACAGATGTACAGATTATTTCATTACCCAGGAATTAAGCCTAATATCTATTAGATATTTTTCCTGATCCTTTCCCTCCTCCCACCCACCGTCCTCTGGTAGGCCCCAGTGTGAGTTGTTCCCCTCCATGTGTCTATGTGTTCTTATCATTTAGCTCCCACTTACAAGTGAGAATATGCAGTATTTGGTTGTCTGTTCCTGCGTTAGTTTGCTAAGGATAATGGCCTCCAGCTCCATCCATGTCCCTGCAAAGGACATGACCTTGTTCCTTTTTATGGCTACAGAGTATTCCATGGTGTATATGTACTGCATTTTCTTTAGTCTGTTATTGATGAGCATTTAGGTTGATTCCATGTCTGCTGTTGTGAAAAGTGCTGCAGTGAACATACATGTGCATGTGTCTTTGTAACAGAATGATTTATATTCCTTTGGGTATATATCCAGTAATGGGATTGCTGGGTCAGATGGTAATTCTGTCTCTAGGTCTTTGAGGAATTGCCACACCCACACTGTCTTCCACAATGGTTGAACTAATTTACACTCCCACCAACAGTGTAAAAACGTTCCTTTTTCTCCACAACCTCACCAGCATCGGTTATTTTTTCACTTTTTAATAATAGCCATTCTGACTGGTGTGAGAATGGCTCATCGTGGTTTTCATTTGCATTTCACTAATGATCAGTGATATTCAGCTTTTTTTCATGATTTTTGGCCACAGGTATGTCTTCTTTTGAGAAGTGTCTGTTCATGTCCTTTGCTGGTGGGTGTGTCTTATGGGGTGGTGCTTTTGCCCCACGCCTGTTTTAACTAGTCCTCAATTAGGTCTGGTGTCCAAGCCCCACCTCTGGAGTTCCACTTCCTACTGCACTTCCACCTAACCTTCTATTGGCAGTGATTAATCTGCAATATGATGACCTGCAAAAAGGCAACTATCAAGAGAAGAATCAAATAGAATTCTGTAAATGCCTCCCTCCTATCCTGGCGATGAATATGATCAATTGAAGTCATATGCTGGGGGCCCCATACCAGTTTTTGGCAGTAAAGGACATTTCAAAAATGAAGTGGGTAAAATCTCACAGTAAATCTGTATTAACAGATGAACATTACAATCAATTTGTGTTTTAGAGCTAGAGAACACTAACTTTGAGCCGCTATTAAGGAAAATATTATCCTCAATATCCCACTCCCAAAAAAGAATTCCATACTTCTCATTAGTAGGCCTATACTAAAAATATATGTACTCTATTATAATATTTTTAATTTCATCAATTTAAAACATTGTGGCAATTTTGTTTTTCTCTCTTAAATGTCCTGGATTTTGTCTCTTGGCCTACAAAATCTAAAATAGTTACTATCTCACCCTTTAGAGGTCTGCTAACCCCAGCGCTAGAACACTTCTAGAACTGGCAGGGTGCAGTGGCTCACGCCTGTAATCCCAGCACTCTGGGAGGCCAAGGCCGTCAAATCACTTGAGGCTAGGAGTTCGAGACCAGCCCGACCAACATGGCGAAAGTCTCTACTAAAAATACAAAAATTAGCCAGGTGTGTTGGCGCACCTGTAATTCCAGCTAGTCAGGAGGCTGAGGCAGGAGAATCGCTTGAACCCAGGAGGGGGAGGCTGCAGTGAACCGAGATTGCACCACGGCACTCCATCCTGGGTGACAGTGGGAGAATACGTCTAAAGAAAAAAAAGGGGGACGGGCATGGTGGCTCATGCCTGTAATCCCAGCACTTTGGGAGGCCGAGGTGGGCAGATCATGAGGTCAAGAGGTTGAGACCATCCTGGCCAACATGGTGAAACCCCGTCTCTACTAAAAATACAGAAATTAGCCGGGCGTGGTGGCGCGCGCCTGTAATCCCAGATACTCATACTCGGGAGGCTGAGACAGGAGAATGGCTTGAACCCGGGAGGCGGAGGTTGCAGTGAGCCGAGATCGCGCCATTGCATTTCGGCCTGGCGACAGAGCAAGACTCCATCTCGGGAAAAAAAAAAAAGAAAGAAAAGAAAAAAGAAAAAAAAGGAACATTTCTAGAACTGAACATATTTGCCCCTTTAGGAACCTACAATGCAGTCCAAGGGACACAGGACTGAAGTCCCAACCCCACAGTCAGCCTCTCTTTAAACTTCAGCTACTGTTACAGCTCCTGCGGGGCAGAGGGCGCATGCGCAGCCCAGTCGTCCGCGCAGGCGCAGACGGTCCGAGGCTACTGAGTTTGCCAGGGGAGTGCGGGAAGAGGGGGTGCAGAGCTGGATGGTGTCCATCCCGGGCTGTTTGTGCCCAGGGGATTTGTACCCACCCTCGTGGACTCTGGGGCCTGCAGCCGTCGTTCTGGGAGTCTGGTGACCCGCGAGGCCGCTCACCCGGCCTGAGGAGGGGGTCGGGCTGCAGATGGTGATGTGCCTGGGAGTGGGTCCTGGCTCCTCTCGGACACCCCCAGCTTATCCCGAATGAAGTTTTCTTTTTATAAAAAAAAAAAAATCCATTTGTATTGCGAAATATAGAACACATCTTTTAAAAAGTGCACAAAACAGTTAAGCAGCTTATTACTTTATCAAAAACATTCCTGAAAAACCACCTCCCAGGGCAAGTAATAAAGCTCCATAGCCTCCCAGAGGCCTCCTGAGCCCTCCCGATACCCGCCCTCCTTAAATTAAAAATATGGTAATCATATTATTGCATTACCATCCAAGCAGCATCCCTAAGCATTATAGTTTAGTTTGCTTTTAAAATAATGCTTATGGCCGGGCGCAGTGGCTCACGCCTGTAATCCCAGCACTTTGGGAGGCCTAGGAGGGTGGATCACCTGAGATCAGGAGTTGGAGACCAACCTGGCCAACTTAGCGAAACCCGGTCCCCACTAAAAATACAAAAATTAGCCGGGCGTGGTGGCGGGCGCGCCTGTAGTCCCAGTTACTTGGGAGGCTGAGGCAGGAGAATCACTTGAACCTAGGAGGCAGAGGTTGCAGTGAGCCGAGATTGCACCACTGCACTCCAGCCTGGGGAACAGAGTGAGACTCCGTCTCAAAATATAATAATAATAATAATAATAATAATAATAATAATAATAATAATAATAATGATGATAATAGGCCGGGCGCAGTGGCTCACGCCTGTAATCCCAGCACTTTGGGAGGCCGAGGCGGGCGGATCACCTGAGGTCACGAGTTCAAGACCAGCTTGGCCAACATGGTGAAACCCCATCTCTACTAAAAATACAAAAATTAGCTGGGCATGGTGGCAGGCGCCTGTAATCCCAGCTACTCAGGAGGCCGAGGCAGGAGAATTGCTTGAACCTGGGAGGCGGAGGTTGCAGTGAGTCGAGATCGCGCCACTGTACTCCAGCCTGGGCGACAGAGTGAAACTCCATCTCAAAATAATAATAATAATAATAATAATAATAATGATACTTATAATAATGTAGCCTACCGTCTGCTCTTGCGTCTGGCATCTTTCACCTCCTCAGCTCCACAGGACTTTTTTTTTATTTTTCTGAGAAGGAGTCTCCCTGCCTCAGCCTCAGCCTCCCAGCTGGGATTGCAGGTGCCCGCCACCACACGGGACTAATTTTTGTACTTTTAGTAGAGGCAGGGTTTCACCACGTTGGCCAAGCTGGTCTCAAACCCCATTCTTTCCAGAATTACACTCTTTCTCTTCCTGTGATCCAGTGCCTGGAAGAGTTGCCTCATATTTTTTGTCTAGTTTTTCTGTAGTTTATGGTGGGAAGGCTAATTCTGTACCGGTTCCTCCACCATAGATGATAGCAGAAGTCACCCATGCTGTGTTTTATTTGAGGGCCTGTGTGTTGAAGTCTCAAAGGCTCCCTCTTGTTAGTTGTTGCCCTGTGATGATGGTGATGGCTGAGAGGCTCATTTACACCAACTAAAAAATGTGCAGACGGAAGGTTAATAAAAGAGTGCCTTTTGCCGGGCGCGGTGGCTCACGCCTGTAATCCCAGCACTTTGGGAGGCTGAGGCGGGTGGATCACGAGGTCAGGAGATCGAGACCATCCTGGCTAACGCGGTGAAACTCTGTCTCTACTAAAAATACAAAAAATTAGCCGGGAATAGTGGCGGGCGCCTGTAGTCCCAGCTACTCGGGAGGCTGAGGCAGGAGAATGGCGTGAACCTGGGAGGCGGAGCTTGCAGGGAGCCAAGATCGTGCCACTGCACTCCAGCCTGGGCGACAGAGCAAGACTCCGTCTCAAAAAAAAAATAAATAAATAAAAATAAAAATAAAAAAGAATAAAAGAGTGCCTTTTATCAACTTGCAGTAAAGAATAAAATTTCATCAGACTAGAATGTTTGTGTGCATATTATTGTTCAGTCTCTTTCATAAGCAGAGCACATGAGGAAAATGATAATCAGCCCCTTTTTTTTTTCCAGAGAGAGGATCTCAATCTGGCACCCAGGCTGGAGTGCAGTGGCATTATCATAGCTCACTGCAGCCTCAACCTCTGGAGCTCAAGCAGTCCTCTGCCTCAGCCTCCCAAGTAGCTGGAACTACAGGCACATGCTATCACACCCAGGTAATATTTTACTTTTTTGTAGAGATGTGGTCTCACCATGTTGCCCAGGCTGGTCTCAAACTACTGGCCTCAAGTAATCCTCCTGCCTTGGCCCACCAAAGTGCTGGGATTTTAGGCGTGAACCACTGCACCTGGCCAGAGGCTTTTATTGAGGGTTTAGTATGAAGAATTATTGTCATGAGTAGCCAGTTAACCTGGGGGCAATCCAGTGTGTTCTCTCTCTAAGGCACAATGGAAGCCACGGATAATCTGAAGGTTGTCAGTACTCACGGAGTTAGCATGGGGTTGCTAATAGTTTAGAGGAATATTTACCAATTAGAGGAATTATTAATGGCATCAAACTATGGAGGACGCCTCAGACACAGCCAAGGACCTAGTAAGGCACACAGGGAGAACGCCATGTGATCATGAAGGAAGAAGGCCAATTCGAGGAATGGTTAATGGCATCAAACTATGACAGCTTAGTGCATTCCATTTATATCAGAGAGAGTCTTGCCGATGGAATCAGAAATACATGAAGTCCTCCAGCCATAACTCCCTGCATCTATCTCCACCTAAAAGGAGAACCTGTCCTTTAGAACAGGAGATACTTCAGGTTTGGTGACTGAAACTCATTCTCCCTTATACAGCGCTTGGATAGGAAATGCCAACATTTGCTTCTCTGACTTTCCTTTTGCTTTGCTCAGGTGACCTTGCGTGTCTCTGCTCTGATCCCTTATAAGTGATCTCAGAGTTGAGCTCCCAGGTGACAACTGTGTTTTCCGTTTTCCTCATTTCCAGCTTCATCAGAAGCACCTCTCTGTAGCTCCAAGTATTGAAGGTAGTCGAGCACGTTAATTCTTCATTGCATTCTAAGCCTAACTTCTATTACAGAATAGTTTGTCTGGCTGTGGGCAGTCCAGCTTTCTCTGTTTCTTTGTCATACTTTCTTTGTAAGGGCACAGCACCCTTTTTTACCCTGGCTGACAAAGACATTGTATAAGGAATTCCTGCTCAGGATGAGTCACTGGACTGGAGATTCGAAGTTCACATATCCTTACAATTTGAAGTTTTCCAGTCGTTGGCTGCTTTGGGGAAGTCAACTTAATTTGGTTCAGCAAAATCAAAGTAACCACTGAAAAGTGTTTGAGGGATAAATCTCTGCAAAATCTGTATTCACTTGCTAGAGCTGCTGTAACAGTGTCACAAACGGAGCAGCTTAGACCGCAGAAATGTGTAATCCCACGATTGTGGAAGTCAGAAGTCTGAGATCAGGGTGTTGGTTGGGTCAGCCCCTTCTGAGAGCCATGAGGGTGAATCTGTTTGGTGCAGCTGTCGTGGCTTCTGGTGTTTTGTTGTTGTTATTGTGTTTTTTTTTTTTTTTGAGATGGAGTTTCACTCTTGTCGCCCAGGCTGGAGTGCAATGGTGCGATCTTCAGCTCACTGCAACCTCCACCTCCTGGGTTCAAATGATTCTCCTGCCTCAGCCTCCCAAATAGCTGGGATTACAGGCGCCGCCACCATACCCAGCTAATGTTTGTATTTTTAGTACATGGGGTTTCACCATGTTGGTCAGGCTAGTCTTGAACTCCTGACTTCAGGTGATCCACCAGCCTCCGCCTCCCAAAGTGCTGGGGTTATAGGCGTGAGCCACCACACTGGCCTGGCTCTGGTGTTTTGCTGAAAATCTGCCTTCATGATCACACGGCATTCTCCCTGTGTGCCTTACTAGGTCACGTAGCTGTGTCAGAGGTGTCCTCCACAGCAAAAGTCGCAGTGGGAGGCAAACCAAACATGAGGTGGTATCTTGCTTTCCCTGCCACAGAAGGACGGGTCATGGTAGTTCCCCAGCAACTCCAGAAATAGCTGGAGCTCGTGCAGCCTAATGAAACTGTGGTGCAGTGGCGTGGGCCCCGGACTTGGAACAAAAAGCCCTGGGGCACCTACGTGACTTAGAGGACCAGTGTCCCCATCTGCAGAATGAGGGCATTAAAACATGTTAAAACATAAAAATGAAGGTGGCTTCTTAAGGTCCCTCCACCGCCAAAGATGAATTCTTTCAGCAACAGGGCAGTCAAGCTTTAATCTGAATTTATAAATGAGCACCATACTGTAAATCCACTAGGGGGCAGTAACTGTTCGCATTTGGATCCACTGATCCGCAGGCCTTGAACTACCATGACACCTTTATTAGGAAAGCAAGAGGCAGGTGGGTGGGATAAGGAATCTGGTTTTCCCCTCCATACCAAGCTACAATAAAGCCTTATGAATCGTGGCCATTTGGGGCAATAAAAAAATGAGTATTTTGTTGTTTTCTGCATCAGCTTGAATTTCCCTGGATTTTACCCTTTACCCATGAGGATGGATCTCTTTTTCTTTTTCTTTTTTCTTTCAGACAGTTTCACTCTGTCACCCAGGCTGGAGTGCAGTGGTGCAATCTCACCTCACTGCAACTGTCGCCTCCCAGGTTCAAGCGATTCTCCTGCCTCAGCCTCCCAAGTAGCTGGAATTACTGGCATGTGCCACCACGCCCGACTACTTTTTGTATTTTTAGTAGAGACGAGGTTTCACCATGTTGGCCAGGCTGTTCTGGAACTCCTGACCTCAAGCGATCCGCCTGCCTCAGCCTCCCAAAGTGCTGGGATTACAGGTGTGAGCCACCGTGCCCGGCCTCATCTCTTTTTCTTAATATGTTACTTGTTAAGTTTCAGAATTTCAGACCTGAAGGGACCCTTTGCAGTTGTGGTGAGTAGCTAGCTCAAGGCAATGGCAAGTAAATGGCAGGACCAGGAATACAAACCATCAAGTCTATTTTCTCAGCTGTATGATGAGACGTGATCTCTGAAGTTCCTTTAGGTCTAAGAGTCTGGCTCTCTGGTCTTCATTATCCAGACTGATTTCTGCTTCCCTGTGGTGGATCTAAGCATTAAATTGGGCTGGTAGGTTGACTTTTCTGAATATGGAGAGCTGGATTATCTAAAACTTTCTCATCAGAATGGAATTTAATTAAATCTTATTAAATCCATTGTATCACATTAAATCTCAAGTTGCATTCATTAAAATGGTAGTTCTCTGGACTTTTGGATTTCACAGAGTAGCAAAATTTGCAAATACGTTTAAGCATTGAGTTAATTTTATTAAGTAAATATGTATGGGTTTTTTTTTAACACCTATCTCTTATTATCCTACTATTATAAAAGACATTTAAACTCAAAAAGAAGAGGGCATGCAATCTCAGAATACGTCAAAGTGACACAAATAAATTCCTTTATGAGGCCAGGCACGGTGGTTCACACCTGTAATCCCAGCACTTTGGGAGGCCGAGGCGGGCGGATCACCTGACGTCAGGAATTAGAGACCAGCCTGGCCAACATGGTGAAACCCTATCAATACTAAAAATACAAAAATTAGCTAGGCATGGTGGTGGGCACCCATAATCCCAGCTACTCAGGAGGCTGAGGCAGGAGAATCACTTGAACCCAGGAGGTAGAGTTTGCAGTGAGCCAAGATTGCACCACTGCACTCCAGCCTGGGCGACAAGAGTGAAACTCCATCTCAAAAAAAAAAAAATTCCTTTATGAAAAACTCATTGCATTGTTCTTATTTTTCTCGTATTGTACAAATCAGTAAAATCCTTGTCAGCCACTGGATCCAGCCTACAGATCAGCCTTGAGAACGTCTGCTTAAAGCAACTGACAATGTTATAAAAGTTCCTCCACAAAAGAGCTCTGCTGCCTGTGAATGCCTCCTTGAAGAGACAATGAAGGCAGAACACATATCCAAGCTGGGCAAAAGAAAACAGTGGGGGTCAAAAAGTATGTCTTTAAAGCTGCACTTCCAAAGAACTTCCTGAGAGATTTGTAATTTCTATTTCTGTATGATAAAACACTATTGGTGAGGCATGGTTGTTCATGCCTGTAATCCCAGCATTTTGAGAGGCCAAGGTGGGCGGATCACCTGAGGTCAGGAGTTCAAAACAAGTCTGGCCAACATGGTGAAACCCCGTCTCTACTAAAAATTAAAAAAAAAATTAAAAAAAAAATTAGCCAGGCATGGTGGTGCATGCCTGTATTCCTAGCTACATGGGAGGCTGAGGCAGGAGAATCGCTTGAACCCGGGACGGGGAGGTTGCAGTGAGCCGAGATCATGCCACTGCATTCCAGCCTGGGTTATGGAGCAAGACTCCCGTCTCATAGGAAAAAAAAACAAACAAAAAAACCCTACATTCTTAAGGCCTAAAATGTACTAAAAATAAAACAGGAAAACAAAAATGGGGGTAGGGTTCCTTCTGTGAATGCAAACATGCTTGACCAATGAGATGTAGTTGAAAACCTAGACCACTGGTACAGACTGAATTGTGTGGACTCTCCATACTCACATACAGCAGATGCAGAGAAGGGCACAGAGGGAGGGAGTGATAAATCTGAAGATAAATGGAGAATTCAGAATTCTCGCTTTGATGTACTCAGTGGCTTTTTGGCAAACCGTCTAATCCCAGTCTGCAGTTTGAAAGAACACGCTATAATTGTTAGCAGCACCCACTCAGATAATGCTGGAACTTGTTTGTAAATAAAGTTCCAGCTTTGACAAACCACATGCTCCTCACAGCCATTTATGCACTTTGCTTCATCTGTCTCTTATACTGTCTGAGAAAAAAATAGAGATGGGGGGTCTCACTATGTTGCTTAGGCTGGACCCGAACTCCTGGACTCCAGCCCATCCACCTGTCACAGGGTGAACCCCCACATTGGAGTTCAGCCCAGGAGGCGACGTGAGTTCTTGGCTTTGCACAGGAAGGAATTCAAGAGTTAACAGAGTAAAGTGAAAGCAAGTTTATTTTAAAAGTAAAGGAGTAAGAGTGGCTATGCCATCGGAAGAGCAGCCGTGAGAGTTGCAGGTTGCTATTTTTATGTTTGTTTCTTGCTCACATGCTAAACAAGGGTGGCTTATTCATGAATTTTCCAGGAAAAGGTCAGAGAATTCCCAGAAATGAGAGTTCCTCCCCTTTTTAGACCATATAGGGTAACTTCCGGATGTTGCCATGGCGTATGTAAGCTGTCGTGTTTCTGGTGGGAGTTTCCTTCACCATGGACAAATCATGGATTATGATTAGTGTATAATGAGCGGTGAGAGGACCAAGGGTCGCTTTCATCACCATCTTGGTTTTGGGGGGTTTTGGCTGGCTCCTTTACCACATCCTGTTTTATCAGGGGGGTCCTTGTGACCTATGTCTTGGGAAACAAGTCCTGCCAAACTCCTATCACACCCCCACCTCAGCATCCCAATAGCACAGAGTGCCCTTGTCTGCATTTGCCACATGTGAGTAGTCACCTGTATTAGTTCATTCCCACACTGCTATGAAGAAATACCTGAGACTGGGTAACTTATATAAAGGAAAGAGGTGTTTTGTTGTTGTTGTTGCTGGTGGTTTTTGTTTGTTTGTTTTTGAGATGGAGTCTCCCTCTCTTACCCAGGCTGGAGTGCAGTGGTACGATCTCGGCTCACTGCAACCTCTGCCTCCCAGGTTCAAGCAATTCTCCTGCCTCAGCCTCCCAGGTAGCCTGGATTACAGGCACCTGCCACCATGCCTGGCTAATTTTTTTGTATTTTTAGTAGAGACAGAGTTTCGCCATGTTGGCCAGGCTGGTTTTGAACTCCTGACCTCAAGTGATCCATCTGCCTCGGCCCCCATGCCTGGCCTAAAGGAAAGAGGTTTAATCGACTCACAGTTCCACAGGGCTGGGGAGGCCTCATGAAACTTATAGTCACGGCAGAAGGGGAAGCAAACACATCCTTCTTCACATGGCGGCAGGAAGGAGAAGAATGAGAGCGAGGGGGTGGGAGGGAAGCCCCTCATAAAACCATCAGAGCTCGTGAGAACTCACTATTGCGAGAACAGCATGAGGGTAACCACCACCAGGATTAAATTATCTCCCACCAGGTCCCTCCCATGACATGTGGGGATTGTGGAAACTACAATTCAAGATGAAATTTGGGTGGGGACACAGCCACATCATACCATCACTAGGAAGATCAAGACGTGATTAAAGGGTTAAAGCTTTCAGTTCCACCCCATGACTTTCAGGGGAGGGAGAGGGGCTGGAGATGTAGTGAATCACTCACGATCAGTGTTTTCCTTAATCATGCCTATGTAATGAAGCTGCCATAAAAACCCTAAATGATGGAGATGGGGTTCAAAGAGCTTCCAGGTTGGTGAATGCATCCACGAACCAGGAGGTTGACACACTCCAAACTCCACAGGGACAAACACTCCTGCATTTGGGACCCTTCCAGAGACCTCTGCCCTGTGTACCTCTTCATCTCACCGTTCATTTGTATCCTTTATAATAAACAGGTAAACATAAGTAAAGTGTTTCCCTGAGTTGTCTGAGCTGTTATAGCAAATTATTGAACATGAAGGGGGCTTAGGGGAACCCTTGATTTATAGCCATGTCAGACGGAACTGTGGGTCACCTGGGGACCCACTACTTGTGTCATCATCTGAAGGGGGAACAGTCTTGTGGGAAGTAAGCTCCTAACCTGTGGGGTCTCCCCTAACTCTGGGTAGTGTCAAATTGAATTAAATTGTGGGAGACCCAGTTGTTGTATGCAGAGTGTTAACAGAAAAACCAAACACTAAAATATTAAAAGAGGTTTATTCTGAGCCAATACGAGTGACCATGGCTTGGGGAACAGTCTCAAAAAGTCCTGAGAATGTGCCCAAGGTTGTTGGGTTATGGTTTGGTTTTATAAATTTTAGGGAGACAGGAATTTTAGGTAAAATCATAAATCAGTGTATACAGACTAAAGAGGTGGGATGTCTTGAAGTGGGGCCTCTATTATAGGTCATTGGTAGGTTCAAAGATTTTCTGATTGGCAATTGGTTGAAAGAGCTAAGCTTTGTCTCAGTAGAAAGAAATGCTTGCAATAAGATAAGGTGGGTTGTGGAGGCCAAGATTCTTGTTATGTAGATGAAGCCTCCTAGGTAGCAGCCCTCAGATAGAATAGATGGTGAATGTCTCTTTTCAGATCTTAAAGGTGTCAAGACCCTAATTTAGCCTTTCCTAGGTCCAGAAAAAGCCTAGAAAGGGAAGGCCTGGCTGCATTGATGAAAATTCTCTGCAGATGCAAATCCCACCCCCACCCCAAAAGACAGCTTTGTAGGGCCATTCCAAAATATTCAAAGACATCTATTTTGGACTAAAATATTTTTATTTCCTTCATGGTTTGCCATCTGTCATGTCATGCTATGCCAGTCAGCCTGGAATTTGGCATCTCACTGCCATAGTTTGTTTACTCAGTCTTATAATCTTTATTTTAATGTTCATGCTGGTCAACTGGGCCTAAACTCCAAAAGGGAGAAGGTGTCATGAAGTGTATCTGACCTCCCTTCCCGTCATGGCTGGGAATTCCATTTTTCAGGTTTCTCTGGGGTCCTCTTGGCCAAGAGGGGATCTATTCAGTTGGATAGGAGGCTTAGAATTTTATTTTTGGTTTACAAGAGAGTTGGAGAATGACTTGGTGTAGGAAACTCACATAGTTGATGTCAGAAGTGTTGTAAAAGTAGAAGGAATGTATTTTTCTTTATATGGATTTCCTACCAGAGTGATGTTTTCTAATTTATAATTATTCCAATTTGAAGAGATCCCACTAGTATTAAAAATGCTGGGCCAGGTGTGATGGCTCATGCCTGTAATCCCTGCACTTTGGGAGGCCAGGGCAGGCAGATAACTGGAGGTCAGGAATTTGAGACCAGCCTCCAACATTGCAAAACCTCCTCTCTACAAAAATACAAAAAAAAGAATTAGCCAGGTCTGGTCGTGGGCGCCTGTAATGCCAGCTACTGAGGAGGCTGAGACAGGAGAACTGCTTGAACCTGGGAGGCGGAAGTTGCAGTGAGCCGAGATCGCACCACTGCACTCCAGCCTGGGCAACGAGCGAAAACTCCATCTCATTAAAAAAAAAAAAAGTGCTGGCCGGGCATGGTGGCTCACGTTGGTAATCCCACCACTTTGCAGGACAAGATGGGAGTATCACTTGGGAGTTTGAGACCAGCCTAGGCAACATAGAAAGACCCCATCTCCACAAAAATAATTTTAAAATTAGCCAGTCATGGTGGCACACAACTGTAGTCTCAGCTACTCAGGAGGCTGAGGTGGGAGGCTCTCTTGAGCCCCAGGACTTCGAGGCTACAGTAAGCTATGATCACACTGTTGAACTCCAGCCTGGGTGACAGAATGAAACCTTGCCCCTACAAAATTAACATTTTTAAAAAGAAACACCGTGTGAGGACTCCCAAGCTCAAATAATTTAGTAAAGTCTTTGATACTAAATATAAAACACGGTCCTTTTTACATTTTGTCAGGGAGCACACTGGTAAGCCTGTGAAACCCATCATAGCTCAGCTTCTTAGCCACCATTGTAGGTTTTTACACGAATTTTTCAGACCTCCTTAATTGTACTGTCAGAAGGATGCATAAATTGAGCTACTTAAATTAAATATTTATGGATTGAATTTTAAGCTTTTAAGCTTGGATTTGATCATACTAGCAGATCTTTCTCCTTATTTATCAAAAATGACAAGCCCAGAAATAGCCCTGGTTGGAGATCAGTATCATTGTGCTCATAAGTTTGGTTTGAGGATAAATTGAGGCCTTGCATAAATAATCTCTCTTCATTATAGCATTGACCATCTTAGCTATATTTTACAGATTCTTCAGATGGCCACAGTGAATGGTTTGGTCATGAGAGTCTTCTCTGGGAAATAAACATACAGCTGGAGATCCCTATTAGGCTGAGGACATAAATAAATCAATGTTTTCTGGTTTGCACTGTAGCTCCAACACGTTAAAAGAAGAGGAGGAGGTGGAGGAGAAGGAGGGAGGGAAAGAGGGACGGGAGGAAAAAAATACACAGAAGAAAATACTCAAATCATAAAAGAAAGTTTAACCCAAAATATATGTGGATTGGAAAGTATTATGGATAAACCCTAAACATAGTTCTTAAAACTGGAAATTTGGCCTGGCATGGGGGCTCACACCTGTAATCCCAGCACTTTGGGAGGTTGAGGCAGGCGGATCACCTGAGGCCAGGAGTTTGAGACCAGCCTACCAACATGGCAAAACCCCATCTCTATAAAAAATACAAAAATTAGCCGGGCATGGTGGTGCATGCTTGTAGTCTCAGCTACTTGGGCTGCTGGGGTGGGAGAACCGCTTGAGCCTGGGAGGCGTAGGTTGCAGTGAGCTGAGATCGCACCACTGCACTCCAACCTGGGTGATAGAGTGAGACTCCATCTCAAAAAAAAAAAAAAAAAAAAAAAGCTGGCAATTAGTAGGGGCATTCAGAGTGCTCTCTAGACACTGTGTGTGCCTAATAAAACCAGGAGCCCGGGGGTATTTCTGCCTCTAAGCAAACAGGAAACAATAACTGCTTGGGATGTAGAGGGCTTCTTGCCATGACGTGTCCCCTGAACTTGAAG